>NC_000017.11:12309292-12612323 GCF_000001405.40 Homo sapiens | reverse complement strand
GGGGGGTTCTGAGTAAATTCAGCATTTCACAACATGGCATTTTATAACTGTGACAGATGACAGGGACTACAAAATTATACACTGATCTTTCTTTATTTTAAATTGGTGATTACCTATAAGGCTCATCCATCAAGGGCAGGCAGCCTAGAATTAAACCCATATTCTACACAAGGACAATCATTGCTTCTCTAGCTAATAGCTTTTTCCTACAGTTCTAGATGAGAAAGGGCATTGAGATTTTTCTCCATCTATGGATGGTATAGAAACAGTCAACTTGCTAAGGTGTGACTTGGACCAACAGCATTTCATCTGGAAATATGAAATTTCAGGCCCCACCCCGGACCTTCTGAATCAGAATCTGTATTTTTGCAATACCTCCTAGGAGATATGTATGTACATCACAGTTGAGAAACATTGCTTGAAGGATTGCAGAAGAATTTGTCTGCTATTAACGGGCTTTTGACAGTCAGCTTTGTTTTCCCTAGAACTGATTTGTAAGAACTGCACACAAGATGTCTATACCCAGTAGAGTCACCTGGATGTTTTTTAGGCAGCTAATCTGTGTTAAAGTAAGATGGGTAAACAGAGGCAGGTGACACATCCATCTGTGTAGAGCCTGTTTCCTAGAATTCCAACCTGTGGATTTTTCTTCTCCTTACAGACTTGATAGGACTTTGTTGCATCTCTCCCATCTCTGTAAACAAAGACTTTCTTGATGCATTCTCATTTGGCCTGAAATGGTATTGAACAAGTATAAAACAATAAAAGGACTTGAAATAGCCCCTTGGAATGCTTTGGAATCAAATTTGACTTAACGTTGTGAGAAATCACTTCAAACCTTTTCTCCCATCCAAGTCCAGTTTCTCCTTTGACGTGACCGTCCCGTTACAAGGACATAGATTGAATAACTAGTTATGAATTCCGCCATTGCTTCCAGAACTGAATTTTACAACTCTGTTAAGGATTGTTGACTTCTTGATCATGGCTGGTGTTTTCCCTTTTTTCCTGCCAAAACAGTAAATCTTCCTGCTTTCCTATAATCTCCTACATATGAATTTTTTTGCTGTTGATGGAGTAACTAAGCTGAACAAACTGCCATCTTAAGTCAAATATCAACATAAATAGCTATTTCATGTTACAAGTATTCTTTTTTTAAAAAAGCAAGACTATCTTATCCCAGGTTCCCAGAAGGATTTGAATATATATTTACTTATCTCATGTTGCCCAAATATCTCCAGGCCTCACCAGCCTGGGGCTGGGAATGAGGTTACATCCACATCTATGCCCAAATTATAATACTGTGAGCTCCAGAAAGAATAAAACCTCCTTTCCTATTGTTAGTTGGTCACTTTCAGGTGGTCCCAAAGGGATTCTTCCTAGGTATGCACAAATCATGCTTTCGGCTGAAGGCCTCTTCTGTCCCAGCCTGTCCTGTTGCGAAGCCTAATTTCTAAACCCATCTTTCTCAATAACTAGACAAAAACACTCAGGCATGTTAATGAATAAAAACAAATATCTGGAGAGTGGGTGATAACTAGCATCATCTGAACCCCAGCTTAGATAATGACAGGTGCCGTATGACTCTGAGTTGCGAAGCACAACCTTCAGCTATTATCCCTTGATCAGGTGTGACAATGTAGGAGCCGGGGCAGTGGCTTTGTTTTTTGCTTTTCCCAAATCCATATATATTCTTAAAGCAATTTCAGCTATGTATTCAGGAGGAAGCAAAAATGAATGAATGAAAGCACCCCTGTATATCTACATAGGTGTTTCAGTAGCCATGCCCAAAATTTCATGCAAAGACCCTTACAAAGAGTCTATTTTCTATTATTGTACATACACTGCAGATATTCCAGAGCCTCCCAAGCTTGCCAATTTTGTTTTCTAGTTTTCATATTAGAGATGATTCTTAGAAAAATGCTCTGTGTCAGAAAGGAAAAAGACAAAAGACAAACCAAGAGCATCTCAATCTATAGCCATTTAGCACTCAGGTCAATGAGACATCACTACGTGATTACTCAGTTTAATAATTGATATTTATAAGGTGACCTGACTCATAAAGGATGGATGGATATTGCCCACTATACCCTATATAAGGAGTGAAGGAAGTGTGTTAGAAACAGTCCCCTCAAAACTGAAAATATATTTTTTTGACACTCAGAGCTAAGAGAGGCAAGAAAATGTAACATCAAAGATATCTGCTGGGCAAAAAAAGTTCCCAAGGTGTAGGATCAGGGAATATAGGAAGTGAACTTTCTTGGATTCTCCCACTTCCCATCTTTGAATGAATTAACCTCCTTTAGCAAGACAGTCATGTGAATCTGTTGGGCAGAGATCTTCTGATTATCCCCAGGACACTGACAAAGACCCGATCTTGGTCTTCCATTCTGATGCTGGAATTACAATTCTGAAGGCCCTGTAATGCCACTAGAATTATAATTCTGGGGTCCATGCATTACCCCAAGCATCTGAATTGTTTTGAGAATGGAGAGAAGTATGATTTTTTTTTTTTTGATCAACAGAAACTTAGTACAGTATCTGACACACTGTAGATACCCCATATTTGCTGGGTGAATGAGATCACCCCACACATTCACTGCTGCTGCTTTCAGGGTACTCTCAAGCCTTAAGAACATGAAGAGATACCTGTGCCTGGAACCAGCAGGTAGGTAGAAGAGGGGAAGAAAATGGGCAACACCGTTTTTCTTATTTTTGCCCGCTAAGTCCTGTAATGAACCTCTGACTTAAGAGTTTGGATGCCAAGAGGGCATCTTTTTTCCCTTTTATGTTTTGTTTTGTTTTGTTTTGTTTTGTTTTTTGAGATGGAGTCTCGCTCTGTCACCCAGGCTGGAATCCAGTGGTGCAATCTTGATTCACTGCAACCTCCATCTCCTGGGTTCAAGCAATTCTCCTACCTCAGCCTCCCGAGTAGCTAGGATTACAGGTGCATGCCACCATGCCCAGCTAATTTTTGCATTTTCAGTAGAGATGGAGTTTCACCACGTTGGCCAGGCTGGTCTCAAACTCCTGATCTCAGGTGACTCGCCTGCCTCAGCTTCCCAAAGTGCTGGGATTACAGGCATGAGCCACCATGCCTGACCCCTTTTTATGTTCTTTTCTTATTTTACACAGTATTCCTTCAGTTCTTATCAACCCCCATGATTTAAAATATTAGGCTATTTAAATCATGAAAAATCATGATGCATGTAAAGGTCTGTAATCTTCATATTTTCAACTTCCTATTGAAAATCTCAATTTGAAGAGCTCCTTTTGATTCTTCGAACTCAAATCCAAAACAGACTCAATTATCCTCTCCGACACAGATCTTCCTGCTTGGTTTCTTAATTCATGGGCCAGTGCCCCCACCCACCCAGTTGCCCAAGACTGAAAATAGCTTCATGCTTTACTCCTTCTTCTCCCTTACTAGTAGTATCCAACCAATCTTCAAACACAATTCAGTCTATTTTCTAAGTTTCTCTCGAATCTATGCATTTCTTCCCAATTCCTTTACCTATGCTTGTCATTAGTGGTATCTCGAATATGCTTGCAATGCCAACGTGTGTATTGTGTGACCTGTGGGCACATGATTTGTATTATCATCCATAGACATACCTTGTTGTATTGTGCTTTGGGTTTTTTTTTTTATTTTGAGCTTTGCAAATACTGTGCTTTTTTACAAATTCAAAATTTGTGGCACCTGTGTGTCGGGCAAGCCCATTGATGTTATTTTTCCAACAGCACGTGTTCCCTTCATGTCTCTGTATCACATTTGGTAATTCTCATAATATTTCAAGCTTTTTCATTATTATATCTGTTCTGATGATCTGGGATCAGTAATTTTCTTTTCTTTTCTTTGAGATGGAGTCTTGCTCTGTTGCCTAGGCTGGAGTGCAGTGGCATGATCTCGGCTCACTGCAACCTCCGCCTCACAGGGTTCAAGAGATTCTCCTGCCTCAGCCTCCTGAATAGCTGGGATTACAGGCATGTGCCACCATACCTGGCTAATTTTTGTATTTTTAGTAGAGACGGGGTTTCACCATGTTGGCCAGGTTGGTCTCGAACTCCTGACCTCGTGATCCACCCACCTCGGCCTCCCAAAATGCTGGGATTACAGGCATGAGCCACCAAGCCTGGCCAATCAGTGTTCTTTGATGTTACCAGTGCAATTGTTTTGGGTTGCCAAGAACCACACCATATAAGATGGCAAACTTAATTGATAAATGTGTGTGTTCTGAATGTTCCACTGACTTGCAGTTCCCGTCTCCTTCCCTCTCCTTGGGCCTACCCATTCCCTGCGGCACAACAATATTGAAATTAGGCCAATTAATAACCCTACAGTGTTCCGTAAGTGTTCAAGTGAAAGGAAGAGTCACACATCTCTCACTTTAAATCAAAAACTAGAAATGATTAAGCTTAGTGAGGAAGGCACGTTGAAAGCTGAGATAGGCTGAAAGTTAGGCTCCTTGTGCCAAACAGCTAGCCAACTTGTCAATTCAAGGTAAATGTTCTTGAAGCAAATGAAAAATGCTACTCCAGTGAACACTTGAATGATAAGAAAGCGAAACAGCCTTATTGCTGATATGGAGAAAGTTTTAGTGGTCTAGATAGAAGATCAAACCAGCCCACAACATCCCCTTAAGCCAAAGCTTAATCCAGAGAAAGACCCTAACTCTATTTAGCTCTATGAAAGCTCAAAAGAGGTGAGGAAGAGGCAAAAGAAAAGTTTGAAGCTAGCAGAGGTTAGGTCATGAAGTTCAAAGAAGGAAGCTGTCTTCCTAACATAAACGTGCAAGGTCAGGCAGACAGTGCTGATGTAGAAGCTGCAGCAAGTTATCCAGAAGATCCAGCCGAGATCATTAATTAAGGTGGCTGCATTAAAAAACAGATTTTGTGGCCCGGAGTGGTGGCTCATGCCTGTAATCCCAGCACTTTGGGAGACTGAGGCGGGCGGATCCCCTGAGGTTGGGAGTTTGAGACCAGCCTGACCAAAATGGAGAAACTCCATCTCTACTAAAAATACAAAATGAGCTGGTGTGGTGGCGGGCACCTGTAATCCCAGCTACTCAGGAGGCTGGGGCAGGAGAATCGCTTGAACCCGGGAGGCGGAGGTTGTGGTGAGCTGAAATCGCTCCATTGTACTCCAGCCTGGGCAACAAGAGTGAAACTCCATCTCAAAAAATAATAAATAAATAAATAAATAAATAAATAAATAAATAAATAACAGATTTTGCATGTGGACAAAATAGGCTTCTGTTGGAAGAAGATTCCATCTAGGACTTTGATAGCTAGAGAAGAGAAGTCAATGTCTAGCTTCAAAGCTTCAAAGAACAGTCTGATTCTCTTGTTAGGGACGAATGTAGCTGGCAACTTTAAGATGAAGCAAATGCTCATTTACCATTCTGAAAATCCTAGGGCCCTTAAGAATTATGCTAAATCTACTCTGCCTGTGCTTCCTACATGAAATAACAGCCTAGATGAGAGCACAACTGTTTGCAGCATAATTTACTAAATATTTCAAGCCCACCATTGGAACCTACTGCTCAGAAAAAAAGAATTCCTTTCAAAACACTACTTCTCATTGACAGTGACCAATGCACCTGGTCACCCAAGAGCTCCGATGGAGACAAAGGTTGTTTTCATGGCTGCTAACTCAACATCCATTCTGCAGTCCATGGATCAAGGAGTAGTTTTGACTTTCAAATCTTATTTAAGAATACATTTTGTAAGACTATCACTGTCATGGATAGTGATTCCTCTGATGGATCTGGGCAAAGTAAAGTGAAAAGCTTCTGGAAAGTATTCACCATTCTAGATGCCATTAAGAACATTTGTGACTTACGGGAGGAGGTCAAAATATCAACATTAACAGGAGTTTGGAAGAAGTTGATTCCAACCCTTTTGGATAACTTTGAGGGGTTCAAGACTATAGTGGAGGAGGTCACTGCAGATGTGGTAAATACAAGAGAACTAGAATTAAAAGTAAAGCCTGCAGATGTGACTGCATTGCCGCAATCTCATGATCAAACTTTAAAGGATGTGGAGTTGTTCTTATACATGAGCAAAGAAAATGGTTTCTTGTGATAGACACTACTCTTAATGAAAATGCTGTAAACTTTGTTGAAATGACAAGAAAATGTTTAGAATACTACATCAACTTAGTTGATAAAGCAGTGGCAGGGTTTGAAAGAATTGACTTCAATTTTGAAAGTAGTTCTACTGTGGGTAACATGCTATCACATGGTATTGCATGTGATGGAGACATTCCTTGTGAAAAGAAGATTCAATCAATGAGGCAAACTTCCTTGTTGTCTTATTTTAGGAAATTGCTGCAGCCACTCCAACCTTCAGCAACCACCTCCTTGATCAGTCAGCAGCCATCAACATTGAGGCAAGACCCTCCACCAGCAAAATGATTATGACTTACTGAAGGTTCAGATAATCATTCTCACTTTTTGGCAACAAAGTATATTTTATTAAGGTATGTACATTTTTTTTTTTCCATTTAGACAGAGTCTCACTGTGTCTCCCAGGCTGGAGTGCAGTGGCGTGATCTCAGCTCACTGCAACCTCCGCCTCCCAGGTTCAAGCGATTCTCTGGCCTCAGCCTCCCTAGTATCTGGGATTACAGGCACCCACCACCACACCCAGTTAATTTTTGTATTTTTAGTAGAGGCGGAGTTTCGCCATGTTGGCCAGGCTGGTCCGAACTCCTGACCTCAGGTGATCCACCCGCCTTAGCCTCTCAAAGTGTTGGGATTACAGGTGTGAGCCACTGCGCCTGGCCCGGTATGTACATTGTTTTTTTAGACATAACACTACTGCACATTTAATAGACTACAATATAGTGTAAATATAGCTTTTATATGCACTGGGAAACCAAAAACTTTGTGTGACTCACTTTATTGCAATCTTCGCTTTATTGCAGTGGTCTGGAACAAACCCATTACATCTCTGAGGCATGTCTGTATTTAGAAGGCACCCCCCAGAGTTGTGCAAATTCAGCCTGCACAGACCTCCATAGCAGCTGCAACCATTGTCTAGCACTTAAAGGGCTTTTGAACTTCCTGCCCCCAACTCTACCTTCTCCTATCCATTCTGCCCACCAGCCAGTAATCTTTCAAAAGGATGAATCTAACCATCCTTCCCCTGCCCCCTGCCTTTCCTTAGGACACTTGATTGTCCTTTGCGTGAGTTTGCTAGGGCTGCTGTAACAAAGTACTAAAGATTGAGTGGTTCAAATGACAGAAATTTATTTTCTCACAATTCTGGAGGCTGGGAGTCCAAGAGCAAGGTGTCAGTTTCCTCTGAGGCCTCTCTTCTTGATATGCAGGTGGCTGTATACTCCCTGCGACTTTATGTGACCTTCCCTCTGGGTGTGTCTGTGTCCTAATTTCCTTTGCCTATGAAGACATCAGTCAGGGCCGGCGTGGTGGGTCATGCCTGTAATCCCAGCACTTTGGGAGGCCGAGGTGGGCGGATCACTTGAGGTCAGGAGTTCAAGACCAGTCTGGCCAACATGGCGAAACCCTGTCTCTATTAAAAAATACAAAAATTAGCTGGGCATGATGATGGGCACCTGTAATCCCAGCTACTTGGGAGACTGAGGCAGGGAGAATTGTTTGAACCCGGGAGGCGGAGGTTGCAATGAGCAGAGGTCATGCCGTTGCACTCCAGCCTGGGCGACAGAGCAAGACTCCATCTCAAAAAAAAAAAAAAAAAGACTTCAGTCAGATCAGACTACAGCCCACCCTCATGACCTCATTTTAACTGGGTTAGCCCTTTAAGGCCCCTATCTGTAAATACAGTTCCATTCTGAAGTGCTATAGCATTAGGGCTTCCATACATATGAGTTTTGGGGAGGCGCAATTTAGCCCACAGCAACCATGAAATAAAATCCAATTTCCTTAATATGGTGTTCAAGGCCTTTCGTGATGGGGCTGCTCCTCCCGCTGGGCTCTGGCTCTCACCCACCTCTTGGCATCCTGTGGTCTGGCGGGGGCTCTGTCCAGTTCTTTAGACCCACCACGCTCACTCCCCTCCCTCACCAGGCCCTTTCAGGTGCAGTCACCTCTGCCTGGAGCACCGTCTCTTCTCCCTGGTCTCCCATTCTCCTGGGAAATGACTCTGCTTCCTCCGAGCCTCACGTTCCATGGACTGTGTATCTTGGCCAGCCTGTATCTTGGCCACCCCTGTCCCCAGGGGTCCAGGTTTCAAGGTGCTTCTCTTTTGCGCTCCCATGAAATCTTATAGTCTCACCAATTACAGCACTTCATTCTCCATTTTATAATGACCAGTTGACCCACTGGTAACTCCCACTTGGTTTTGACGTATGAACCACAGTAACGTAAGGTGTGAACAATGCGAGAAACTGGGTGAAGTGGGCATAAGCCACTGTGTCTGTGAGGAAGGCCCTTGCAAATCCTCAAGTCTCTCAGACTCGCAGAAATGCATTTGGAAATATGGCCCTCGAGAGTGGGTGGCCCGTGGGAAAGGGCTGTGAGCCGCTGAGTCTCCAGGGCTTCCGAAGTTGCTTGGCATCAGGCATTGCCTAATATCCATGAGCTTAAATGCTACTGGGAACTCAATCATAATGTATTTACATTCTTATAAATCCAAATTACTGCTTGGAAACCATCCAGCAAATTCATTTCTGAGTAAGACAAATACATGAAAATCTTGCATTATGTGGATATGTGTCCAAAATATTACAATAAATATCAGTAGAATTTGCATTCAAATATTAGGCTATTTTTCCCAAATATGGCAGTGCTGTGATTATGTGATAAACATGAAAAAAGGCAAAATGCTTGTTTACATTTTGTCTTCAATTTTCTATTAGCAGGGTTTAAGTGTAGTGAGTTTGTATTTTCTCTTATTTAACTGGCCATTATTCTCTCTGAAAATCATATTATAAATAACCTACACAGCAGGAAAGAATGCTTGATACTGTTAAATTATTCTTTTTCTTTTTAATTAATACCTTCACCCTTGTGTCTTGAATAGAATAATCTAAGCACAGACAAGATGTGTTGGATCATAGTTAAAAAAAAGGGATATTCATTTAAATTTATTACTGGAATAAAGAGCCAGAGTCCCCATCAACAAAGACGATCTGCTTTTTGTGGCCCCAGAGTTTTAAGGAGCAGGTACAGGATCAGGAAACCCCCGATTCTAACTTGCAAGACTGGAGATTTGGGGATTCTGCCTGCCCCACATCTACTTCCAGGGATATTTTAAACTTAAATTATTCTTTGTCCTATAAGAAATGTATATTTGTTTTAAAAATTGGAACATAAATGAAAGCAAAAGCAAGTAATTAAAATATATTTAAGTAAGATTATACTGTTATAATTTGCTTTTTTATTATTCCATGTTCACAAATATACTTCTACAATTTTTTTTATGTCAGTTCATCCTTTATTATGTAATATGTGTGGTCATTGTACAACATTTTCCACATAGAATCTGAAAGTCATTATGTCCCATACTCAAATCTCACTCCTCAGGGTTACACATTTTGAAAGGTTTAATTTTTTTTTTTTTTTTTTTTGAGATGGAGTCTCGCTCTGTCGCCCAGGCTGGAGTGCAGTGGCGCGAACTCGGCTCACTGCAACCTCCGCCTCCTGGGTTCAAACAATTCTCCCTGCCTCAGTCTCCCAAGTAGCTGGGATTACAGGTGCCCACCATCATGCCCAGCTAATTTTTGTATTTTTAGTAGAGACAGGGTTTCACCATGTTGGCCAGGCTGATCTCGAACCCCTAACCTCAGGTGATCCGCCCGCCTTGGCCTCCCAAAGTGTTGGGATTACAGGTGTGAGCCACTGCGCCCGGCCAAATGGCTTGATATTTCAAGTAAACTTGTTATTTATAAAAATGGCAAAGATAGCTTATAAGGAGTTCCCATATGCCCTTCACCCCGTTTCTCCCATTGTTCACACCTTATGCTACTGTGGTTCATTTGTCAAAACCAAGAACCTGACATTGGTCCATTACTATTGATGAAACTCCAGATTTCACCAGTTTTCCATTAAGGTCCTCTTTCTGTTATAGGTTCCAATCCAGGGAACGACACTAGATTCTAATTTTTATGTCTTTCCACATCCATGACACTTTCTCAGTTGTTCTTTGCTTTTTTTATGACCTTGACAGCCTTAAGGGGTCTTGGACTGGAGGATACTTATTTTTAACCATATATTCATATTTTTCCATGTATATGTTAAAAATACCAAACATAACAAGCTATAGAATTTTAATACAAATATGACTTGTACTATACCCGTTTTATATATTTTTTTCATGTGCGGACATCATGCTACCTTAAAACTTACTTTCCTAAAAAGTTTCATAGTATTTAGTTATGTAGACTAAGTCTTAATTTATTAACCAGCCTCAGATGACAGATATCTCCTTAACATTCTATATTGAAATTACAAACTATGCTGCGATGATACTCCTAGATCTAAATCGCCAAGCATGTGATTGATAATTTTCTAAGGGTAACATACTAGAAGATGTCAAAGACTTTTCACTGAGAATATTATCTACATGGCCCAAAAGCTCTCCAAAAAGTTTTTGTGTATTTTTTTTTTTTTTTGAGAAGGCGTTTCACTCTTGGTGCCCAGACTGGAGTGCAATGGCACGACCTCAGCTCACTTCAACCTCCACCTCCTGGGTTCAAGTGATTCTCCTGCCTCAGGCTCCCCAGTAGCTGGGATTATAGGTGCCCACCACCATACCCAGCTAATTTTTGTATTTTTTGTAGAGATGGGGTTTCACCATGCTGGCCAGGCTGGTCTCGAACTCCTGACCTCAGGTGATCCTCCTGCCTTGGCCTCCCAAAGTACTGAGATTACAGGCGTGAGCCACTGCACCCGGCCCTAGTTTTTGTGTATTTGTAGTGCCAGCATTCATGTCTGCAACTGCATATTGCCGACCATTTCTTTCCCTAACGTGGAGTTTTGTTGTTTTTCATCTTTGACAACTTGATACATGAGAAGTGGCTGATTACATGTGAAGCTGAAATTTTTTCATGTTTATTACCCTTTTGACTTTTTTAAAAAAATTATATTTATGGGTATGCCCACATTGGTGGGGGTGGGGCGGGGAGAGGGGAACGGACGGGTCATCTTTTTCCTCACTCATTTATAAGAGCTCTTTCCACAGACAGGACAGTAGCCCTTTAACCTGATACATGAAAGTGACTTTTCTTAAGGTTCTGTTCTCCTTATTTTCTCCATAGTAGTTTTTATATATATAAAGGGAAGTTTTACATTTTTAATGTAGTCAATGATTATTTTTCCCATTATAAATATAAATTCTGCTCTTAGTATTATAGTCATGAAACCTTTCCCTATAATACAGCTATTTTGCTATTCACCTGTATTTTCTTCTGATATTTTCATCTCTCTGCCTTTCTTTAAACATTGAACCCATTTGTGGTTTAATTTGGTTTGAGATAGGATCCTAACTTTGTTTTTCCAAATGCTTAGCCAGCTGTCTCAACACCATTTAATGAACAACCCAGCCTTCCCCCATTGATCTGAGAATCCATTTTGACATTCCAAATTTAGGGACTAGAAGCAGACCACCTGTTAAGGATCCTGGAGCGATTTCCAGCAAGAGAAATAGGAATAGGCAATAGTGGAAAACCTGCCAGTTCTGTCTGTATGACCACTTTCAGTTAAATTGTCACTTTGCTGAAGGACATAGTCCAAGCAGAATACAATGATACATTTATATTCCTGCACTACACAGAGTTTATAGCTCTCTTGTCTCTTGCCTTTTACCCAGGAGCAGAGCTGTACTAGGAAGCGGCTCAGGGTTGCAGGCAACAGCTCTGTGCAAAACTGCCTGAGTCTCCTAAAAGGTATTCCAGTAAAAGTGTCCCTTAAGCTTTATGGTAGGCTTTCTACTTTTGCCATTTCATACATTTCTGCATAGAGAAACTTTATTCCCCAAATTAAGAAATCCACCACAAGTTACTAACTACCTAACAGTTTATAAGCTTAGTTGCAAATTCATTGAGTTACTTAAAGAATTAAAAATTACCTCTCTGATAATAAGTACCTAGAGGCCAGGCACTGGACTAAAAAAAAAATTTAAATTTTACCCAGTTCTCAGAGATATGTGCAAATATTGTCCCTAATTTTACAGATAAGAAACAAAGGCACAGATGTGGTAAGTAACTTGAAGACTGTCACACAGCTCTAAATGGTGGAGCAAGAATTCCAACCCCATCACAACCTGTGCTGACAACCACAACTTTCCATAACTTTCATCTGAACCTGAACGTTGATACATTTGCATGGCCTCTGATTCCTGGACTGAAAGACTTTAGTGACTATTGTAACAACTTCCCCACCAATGTGATTCCTTTCACTCCTAATGTATCTTCTTTTTTGCTTTGTGAAATTAAATCAACAAGGACACCAGGTCTTGAAATTGGGGTGTGGGCTCAATATATTGCACTGCAAACCCATTTTTCCAATTATGCAAAAATAATGTTGACAGAGTTTTAGTGGGTTCTAAAGGTTTATATGTGTTGCATTTCCTCTGTGGAATGTACCATCTACCACAAATGACAGCAGCTGACACAGAGCCAGTGACTCTGCCCATCTCTGTTCCTCCAGATCTCTCTGTGTTCCTTCCTGTCAACTCACAGTGAGAGGTTTAATGTGATTCATTACCTTTGCAGTTAGTAATTTTTATAAGATATCAATTATAATAGAATATAGCCATTTTATGCTCAAAGTGCCCTAAGCAATCTTTTCTGCAAACCCCTGACCTTATAGATTAAGAAACTGAAATTTGTCAATGTTAATTACATTCACAAAAGCACACAGCTGTTTAGTGGCAGAACCTGATGGAACGCTCAGATCTCCTGACCTCCACAGGCTTTGTTTGCTCTTTGTCCAACAGCTTGCTGCCTTCAGTTGTATGACGAATCTTGCTTTTTGATGATTTTTTTTTCTACAATGACTGGATGGCTGACTTAGGTTTCATGTAACCAAACACAGCTTGAAAGGGCTCTTCCCTATGCCATACAACAAAGTGCCTGTGAATGAGTTGATGGTTAAGACATGCGTACCCTACATCAACCTTCTAATCTTTTCTCAGTATGAAAATGTACAATTTATAGTGTCAGACTCCTGCAATGTAGGGATCAGAGCCTGAATAGTTTGCAAGTACATCTCCTAACTTCTTTTAATGGTCAGATGTCACAAAATGCTTTTTACAGGGCCTGCAAAGCACAATTCTTGCATAGTTTGGTTATCACTACATTCAATCCATGCACTCTACAAAATATGCTTTTAATTTTGTACATAAAAATACTATGTAAAAACTGCAGTTGGCTCACTCAGCATCCATTCCTGGTCCCTTCTTTCTTGTCATGATCTAGTCTAAGAGTCTGCAAAACTGCATACTTATTTTTTGGCTTCCTTTGTAGCTTTGGATGTTCATAGGGGATGTAAGCAAAATCTGTTGAAAGGGGTCTCTGACAAATAGTCCTGATCAAAAGAGGTATAGATGCAGAGGGTGGGCTCTCTTTCTTCTTCCAGCCTGGAGCATTTGTGATATCTATAGGTGCCATAGCTATCTTATAATGATGCAGCAACAAGCGTGACAAGGAAAACCAAAATGCTAAGGATGGCAGAATAAAAATGTTAGAAAGAGCCTGCGTCTCAGATGACATCATTAAGCAGCTGAAGGCATCCCCAGACATCCCCCACATACATTTATTGTTTTGTTTTAAATATAAAAGTATGCTTTGTAATAATATATTTTGAAAATTAAAAAATACAAAGAAGAAAAATGAAAATACATCATGATTCCTGTACTTAATTTTCAAGTGCTAATATTTTTGTGTGTTTTCTTAATACGTTATTTCTGTGAACATTTTTACCTATTAAAGTAGCATTAGTGTCTAAACTACTGTATAGTTTGACTTTCATTTTTTACTTAATGGTAAATTATGAGCATTTTTCCCGTGGCATTAAGTATTCTTATACAACATGGTTTAAAATAACCACATGGTATTCTATTCTATGAATATGCCACACTTTAGTTATCCAATTCTTCTTTGTTAGGATTTTTAGTTTTTTACCTTTTACCACTATTAATACTTATGTTATTAGTATTCTTCTCCATGAATCTTTATGTTAATCATCTTTTTCTTGGGATAAATTTCCCAAAGTGAAATTATTTGGTCCAAAAAATGATGATGTTTGCGATTTTTGATACTTATTGGCAAAGTTCCTGCCAAAAAGATTGTATTACTTTGGTTCCCATCACAGCTGGATTTGCAAGGTAGGACCCAGCTCAGACCCACCTAAAATTGCTTTCATTTTATTTGAAGGGCTCATGAATAAGCCAAAAAGGAACCAAACTAAACCGAACTAAAACCCGAAGGAATTAATTTGTCTAATTTTTGTTTCTTCAATTATTTGAAAAGAAGAGCATTTTCCCATATTTGTTAGGTACTTGTATTCTTTATGCAAATCATCTGTTTGGGCCTTTCTCTAATTATTTTTTGCTTATAGTAGTCATATTTCTCTTACTGATTTGTAAGAATTATTTACATATTAAAGACAACCATTATTTGTGTAAAGAATGTTACAATTTCACTTCTCTGATTATATAATGTGCTTATATTTTCTCCTATATATTATTTCACTTTTAAAATTAATTAATTATACAATTAATCTATCTGGAATTAATTTTGGAGTATTGTATGTGCAGAGGTCGAATTCTACTCTTTCCAATTGGCTAGGATTCTTACTGATTTTAAGTGGTTTTTATCTGATTTATATCTATTTCTGTTAACAATATTTGACACTTTAATATTTTACATTCTAAAATTATTACAGCTTGGGCATCCACTTTTGAAAAGATGGAGTAGACATAGTCTTCCCTTTTCTTCCTGCTAGGTGCAACTAAAAATTCTGGATATTCTGTACAAAAGAAACAAAATAAAAGTCTCAAGGATGGAGAGGAGGGACTGGCTAAAGATGCAGAGACCCAATGAATGACGCAGAGGTGAGTCCCTCAGGTTTTATTTTTGTTTTTTGTTTTTTGTTTTTTTTTGCCTCATGTATCCTAAACTTGGAAGTGAAGAAGCCAGCAACCCAGAAACCACCAATAAGCACACACACACGCGCGCGCGTGCGCGCGATCATAATGAAAGCCTGTTCTCATTAGCCAATGGACCAGAAAAGAGTCAACCTTACAAGACAGAAAACTTTCAGACGATAACTTCCCACTCCAGCGAAATGTCACAGAAAAAACTGTAATTATACCCTATACTCTGCAATAAAGACCAACTGAAGAGCCCAGAGTGTGTTGCCAGGTTAAAATACCCCTGTCAGCTGGTATCAAAAGAAGCTTAATACAGATTCAGGACTTTCATCCCACTCACTGGGTACAAGGCCACCTACTCCCCTCTCCATGGTGTCAGTGGAGGCCATGTAAAGACTAGTCATGAGGGCTGGGCACAGTGACTCACGCCTGTAATCCCAGTACTTTGGAAGGCTGAGGCGGGTGGATCACCTAAGGTCGACAGTTTGAGACCAGCCTGACCAACATGAAGAAACCCCGTCTCTACTAAAAATACAAAATTAGCCGGACATGGTGGCGCATGCCTGTAATTCCAGCTACTCTGGAGGCTGAGGCAGGAGAATCGCTTGAACCTGGGAGGCAGAGGTTGTGGTGAGCCGAGTTTGTGCTATTGCACTCCAGCCTGGGCAACAAGAGCAAAACTCTGTCTCAAAAAAAAAAAAAAAATAGTAATGAGGTGCCCTCCTTGCTGGGATAGTGTCAGAGAATTCCTAGTGGGAGCCTCGACTCCCATCCCCATCCAGAAGTTATGAGGAATCCTCTCCCTTGGCCGCAACGTGTCAACAGAAGAGAAGCCAGACCTTTCAAGCCTACCCGCAGAAATGAGGCAGCCTCCCCTTTCATTCACTAGAGTGGTGTCAGAGAAGACCTGCTAAAATAGGATTTAAAAAAGATCCAGTGTTTTGTATCATGATGCACAAAATATACTGGTTTCAATAAAAAAAATCACTTATCAAACCAAGAGCAAAGAACTTTTTAGCAAAATAATAGAACATTTCAGGTGAGGCACGGCTCATGCCTATAATCCCAGCACTTTGAGAGGCCAAGGCAGGTGGATCACCCGAGGTCAAGAGTTCAAGACCAGCCTGACCAACATAGTGAAACCCCGTTTCTACTAAAAAGCACAAGAATTAGCTGGGCGTGGTGGTGGGCTCCTGTAATCCCAGCTACTCGGGAGGCTGAGGCAGGGAGAATCACTAGAACCTGGTAGGCAGAGCTTGCAGTGAGCTGAGATCGTGCCACTGCACTCCAGCCTGGGCAACAGAGTAAGACTCAGTCTCAAAAAAAAAAAAAAAAAAAAAAAGATAATAATAATAGAACATTTCAACAAAGAAATATAAGATAAAAAGAACCAAATGGGAATTTTAGAACTAAAATATATAATAACCAAAATAGACAACTGAACAAATGGACTGAACAACAGAACTGAGAATAGAAGAAAGAATCAGAGAACTTGAAGACATAACAATAAAAATTATCCACTCTAAACAACAAAGAGAGAATAGATTGAAAACAAAATAAGAACACAACCTCAAGGGTATATGGCTCTATAATAAAGATGTAACATTAGTATTATTTGAGTTCCAGAAAGGGAGAAGAAAGACAGTGGAGCCGAAAAAGTATTTGAAGAAATAATGGCTTAAAATATCCCAAATTGACCAAAAAAGAAAAAAAAAATGGATGTAAGAAATCTACATCAAAACACATCATAGTGAAACTTCTAAAAACTAAATACAAAGAAAAATTTTTGAAAGCATTGAGAGAGAAATGACATATTGGTTATATGGGAAAAACAGTTTGGATAACAGTAGATTTCTCTTCAATAATCACAGAGCCCAGAAGAAAGTGCTGCAATATTTTTCAAATGTTGAAAGAAAAAAAAAAAAAAACAACCTATCAGCCCAGAATCCTATATCCAGAGAAAATATTCTTCAGGAATAGAGATAAAATAAAGACATAAGATAGAAGAGAACTAAGAGAATTTAAAACCCACAGACCTACCCTAAAAAATGACTCAAGAAAGTTCTCTAAACATAAAGAACAGAATAAAAGAAAGACTCAGTACATTAGAAAGGAAGAAATTATACATGAGCAAAAATATAAATAAGGACAATAGACTTTCTCCTCTTGAGTTTTCTATATGTTGACAGTTGAAGCACAAAGCTGTAACACTGTCTAATGAGGTTCTCAATCTATGTAGAGGAATTATTCAAGATAAGTATTCAGACATACATCAGAGATATTGTGGGTCTGGTTCTAGACCAGTGCAACAGAAATAGAATACTCATTCTTCTCAAGTGTTCAGGAAACATTCTTCAAAATAGATCACATGCTAGGCTACAAAACAAGTCTTAAGAATTTAAGATTGAAATTATTTCAAGTCTCTTTTCCAATCACAATGGAATGAAACGAGAAATAAAAAAATAGAATAAAAACAGAAAAATTTACAAATACATGAAAATTAAACAACACACTCTCAAACAACTATTGGGTCAAAAAAGAAGTCAAAAGAAAATTAGAAAATATTTTGAGACAACAAAAATGAGAACACAACAAAACAAAACTTATGAGATGCAACAAAAACAGTTCTAAGAGGGAAGTTTCCAGCAATAAACACCTACATTATAACAAAGAAAGATCCCAAGTAAGTAACCTAATTATATCTGAAGAACCAGAATATAAGAACAAACTAAATACAAAATTAGCAAAAATAAATAAATAAGTAAATAAAGATCAGAGCAGAAATAAATGAAATAGAAAATAGAAAACATTTTTAAAAAACTGACAAAACTATGAGCTGGTATTTTGAAAAAATAAATAAAACTAATAAAATTTTAACTAGATTGACTAAAGAAAAAAAGACTTAAAATATCAGAAACGAAAGAGGAAACATTACAAAAGATTTCATAGAAAAGAATCATAAGAAACCATTATACAAAATTATATGCTAACCAATTGGACAACCGAAAAGAAACGGAGAAATTCCTAGAAACATACACTTTTCCAAGAGTGAATAAAGAACAAATAGAAAACCTAAACAGTCCAATAAAAAACAAGGAGATTCGCCGGGCGTGGTGGCTCACGCTTGTAATCCCAGCACTTTGGGAGGCCGAGGCGGGCGGATCACGAGGTCAGGAGATCGAGACCATCCCGGCTAAAACGGTGAAACCCCATCTCTACTAAAAATACAAAAAATTAGCCGAGCATGGTGGCGGGCGCCTGTAGTCCCAGTGACTTGGGAGGCTGAGGCAGGAGAATGGTGTGAACCCGGGAGGCGGAGCTTGCAGTGAGCCGAGATTGCGCCACTGCACTCCAGCCTGGGCGACAGAGCGAGACTCCATCTCAAAAAACAAAACAAAACAAAATAACAAGGAGATTGAAGGAATAATAATAATGATAATAAACTGTCAACAAAGAAAAGTCCAAGACCAGTAAGCTTTGCAGTAAGCTTTGCAGGTGAATTTTACCAAAGAAAGAAAGAAGAATTAATACTATTGCTTCTTAAACTATTCCAAAAATAGAAGAAAAGGGAACACTTTTAAAGTTATTCTAGGAAGCCAGCATTACTCTGATATCAAAGCTAGATGAAGGCACCTCAAGAAAAAACAAACAAACAAACAAACTATAGGCCAATATCCCTGATAACAGACACAAAACCCCTCAACAGAATACAATCAAATTGAATATAACAGCACATTAAAAAAATTATACATCACAACCAAGTAAGATTTATCCCATGGATGTAAAAATGGCTCTACTTATGCAAATAAATCAATGTGATATACCACGTTAACAGAACGAAGGATAAAAATCGCATGATCATCTCAATAGACGCAGAAAAAAGTATTTGACACAATTGAACACTTCGTGATAAAAACTCTTAATAAGTTACATATAGGAGGAACTTACCTGCGCACAAGAAAGGCCACATATGACAAGCTCACAGCTGACAGCATATTCAAGGGTAAAAAGCTAATGTCTTTCACTCTAAGATCTGGAACAAGGCCAGGACAGCATATTCAAGGGTAAAAAGCTAATGTCTTTCACTCTAAGATCTGGAACAAGGCCAGGATAACCACTCTTGCCACTTCCGTTCAATTACATAGTACTAGAAGTCTTTACCAGCGAATTAGCCAAGAAAAAAAAAATAAAAGTCATCCAAACTGGAAAGGCAGAAGTAAAATGATTTCTGTTTGCAGATGACATAGTCATATATATATATATATATACACCCTAAAGTACACACACACACACACACACACACAGAGAGAGAGAGAGAAATTGTTAACTTATAGACATATTCAGTGAAGTGGAAGAATATAAAATCAACATACAAAAAATTAGTTTCATTTATACAGACTGAAAAAGAAATTAAGAAACAACTCCATTTACAAACGCATCAAAAAACCCAAAACACTTAGGAATAAACTTAACCAAGACAGTGAAAGACTTGTACACTCGAAACTACAAAACATGAACAAAATTTTTTTAAGACGCAAATGGAAATATTTTTCATGTTCATTGATTGGAGGAATTAATATTGTTAAAATGTTCTTCCTTCCTGTAGGAGATAGCTTAAAAAATTAAGAAAAGAAAATGTTCTTACTTCCCAAATCAATCAATAGATTCAATGCAATCTCCAACAAAATCCCAATGGCATTTTTGCAGAAATAGAAAAAAAATCCTATTATTCATTTGGAAACACTAAAGACCCTCAAAGCCTGCAGTAATCAAAACAGTGTGGTACTGACATCAAAACAGATATATAGACAAATGGGATAGAATACAGAACCCAGAACGGAACCCAGGCATATATGGTCAACTTATATTTACCAAGGGTGCCAAGAATATACTATGGAAAAAAGAATCTCTTTAATATATTGTGTTGGGAAAATGAGATATTCACATGGAAAAGAATGAAATCAGAGCACTATCTCATGACACATATAAAAATCCACTAAAATGGATTAAAGACTTAAATGTAAGACATGATAAATAAAATATTAAAATAAAACATGGGGGAAAAGCTTCTAGATGTTGGCCTGGGCAATAATTTCTTCTATAAGACACCAAGAGAGCACAGGCAAAAAAAAAAAAAAAAAAGCAAAAATAGATAAGTGGAATTATATTAACTAAAAAGCTTCTGTACAGCTAAGAAAACAATCAACAGAATGAAAAGGCAACCTGTGGAATGGAAGAAAATATTTGCAGACCATATATCTAATAAGGAGTTAATAGCCAAAATATGTAAGGAATTTCTACAACTCTATAGGAAAAACCCCAATAACTGATTCATGCTTTCTTGAATTATACTGAGAAAAAAATCATGTTTATTAAAATTTTCTTTATGTTTCTTATAGTTTATCTTCATTTATGTTTCAGAGTCGTTCCACAGGCCCCAGCTGGCTATTTTCTCTCTATTCACCTTTAAAGGAGAGTTTTATCCGTGTCTTGCATTCATATAATTGGCGAGTATCCTTTTTGATTTCTCTTATGTGTTAAATGAATTCCTTTTGAATTCTGCAGTCCAGCAGCCTGAGGAGGTGTGCAGTGAACTGTAGGTCAAGAACCTAGATCTGCATCATTTGTTTTCTGCTATGTGAGAAGCTGCCATGCTATCTACTGTATCTGGTCACTACACCCAGGACAAGCTCAGACCCCTTCCTGATGTGTCAGCCTCTTGTGTTTGGACAAGCCATCCCCTCCCTGCCTGATCTCTGCTTGGCTGCGTAAACAACTGGGAGTCCTATTTCAGCTGTTTTCCGGTCCCTCAGCAATGGGCATTTGCAATCTGAGTCCTACCTAATGTTGGAGTACCATTTGGCCCCGTTGGCCCCTCACTCTCTCCTTCTTGAAACTGTTTCCTTGCTTTCTGGGTCTCTGATATTCCTCTGACTTGCCTTCTATCTTCATGACTATTTTTCTCAGTATCATTTGACAGCCCCTCTTGTTCAACCTGACCAGTACGTGTTTTCTCCTCACAAATCTGTCTTGGTGTTCTTTTTATTCACACACTCTCAAAGGGTGACCAACTACTGCAGTTTGTTCAAGCCTGAGAATGTTCCCATGACATACGACTTTCAGTGCCAAAATCGAGAAAGTCTCAAAGAAGAATGATTTGCTTACCCTCCCATACAAATCTTTGTTCCATTGATTTCAAGTACCTTTTGGATGTCAAACGCTCTAAAATTTATTTATTCGGCCCAGACCTCTCTTCTGATCTCATTTCCAGCTATGTACTAGACATCTCTGTTTGAATGTTCCCTCCCACTCCAAAATATCTTCTACATTCTCTAACTCAGGACACTTTACAGCATTTATCCAGTTGTCCTTTCCATCACAGGGAAATGATCCCTGACTCTTCCATCTCCCTCCATTCTCACATCCAATTAATCGACAAATTGTAATAATTGTATTTGATTTAAAAATGCTTTCATAAATGCCTCTCCATGATCTCTTACCCAGAATACTGTTGCATCTTGTTAAACGGTGTGTAGTCCACAGGATGTTTACGACTCTCTTGGTTCTACTCCGTCCAGACAAATGTCCGAATTTCACCTCTCAGCTCCTTGGAGATAGTCATGTACTTTGGCCATAACATATCAGCAGATATGACGTGGGACACTCTTCTGTATGACGAGCTGGTGACTGATTTGCTCCATTTTCCTCTCCCTGCTATGGCAAATGACAACCCTTCATGGTGGAAGCTTGTCAGTCTGCATCCCCGCGTGAGGACGAGGTGGACCAGAATCCATGAAAGATGTGCAGCCTGAGTGAGAAAAACATTTTTATTGTGTGAGCCACTGAGATTTGGGGGATATTTATTACCATAGGACAACAAAACTTACACTGACAAATACATGTGGCCTCCGCAGCTTCCATGTTCGGCTGCTCCAAACAATTTCCACACAATAACCAGAACAATCTTTCAAATTATATGAAAAATGGATTAGTCAATCCGTGTTCAATGATTTCTTATGGACTTAGGAAATACAATTGTTTTTCTTTCTTTTTTTTTTTGAGACGGAGTCTTGCTGTGTCGCCAGGCTGGAGTGCAGTGGCACAATCTCGGCTCACTGCAACCTCTGCCTCCCGGTTCAAGCAATTCTGCCTCAGCCTCCCGAGTAGCTGGGATTACAGGTGCCTGCCACCACGCCTGGCTAATTTTATATTTTTAGTACAGATGGGGTTTCACCATGTTTGTCAGACTGATCTCGAACTTCTGGCCTCGTGATCTGCCCGCCTCAGCCTCCCAAAGTGCTGGGATTACAAGCATGAGCCACTGCGCCCAACCGGAAATACAATCCTTAATGCAGGCTATCATGCCTTGTCTCTCTCTCCAGCTTCTCTCTGCTTGCACCTCTCTCTCTCACACTCTTTTGCTCTCCTCTCTCTCTCTCTCTGCTTCTCTTTGTTTCAGACATAATGCATTTCTTTCAAATGCTCAACTGCTACACTTTCTTTTACCTCGGTACCTTCACGAACGTTTTGTTCATTCCTCCTCACTCGCCTTAAGAGCAATTAATTTTCTTTTGAGTGGTCTCCTAAAAGTTACGCTTTCTAGGATAATTTTTGGACCCCAGAATTAGATTAGGTTTACCTGCTATATGCTTCTGTGGCACTCTGCTATTTTTCATAGTAAAACCCAGGGTACTTTTCATCTATTTTTAAAAATTTCCCACTGGAAGCTCCGTGAGGCCAAGGGGCTCTGCATACCTTGGTACTATTCCCAGCAACTGATTTAGAGTGCCTGGCACATAAGAGCTTACGTAAGTATTTGTTAAGTCAATTGAATAAATTAACAACAAAAATTCCCATTGCAGTATCTGTTAACTAAAGTGTGTGTTACGGGGATGAGACTTTTTCCCAAGGCTGGGGTATTTGGCACTTCTCTGCAATGTATTCCGCTCACATGTGCTGTTGCTGATGCCTAGAATGCTATTCCTCTCCTTCCCTACCACATACACAAATTTCGTTTTCCATTTTCTCCACCCACTAGTTCCCATCTATCCTTAGGTCTCAGCTTAAATATAATTTCCTTGGAGAATATTTCTCACAGTCTCCAGACCACAACAGACTCACTCTTTTATACTGTCATGATAACTGATTCTTTTCCTTTCTTTATTTAACTTTTATTTTGAGTTCAGGGGTACATGTGCAGGTTTGTTACATAGGTAAACTTGTATCATGGACATTTGTTGTATAGATTATTTCATCACTCAGTATTAAACCTAGTACCCATTAGTTATTTTTCCTGCTCCTCTCCCTCCTCCCTTCCTCCACCCTTGTGTAGGCCCCAGTGTATGCTGTTCCCCTCTATGTATCCATGTTTTTCATCATTCAGCGCCCACTTATAAGTGAGAACATGCGGTACTTGGTTTTCTGTTCCAACGTTAGTTTGCTAAGGATAATGGCCTCCAGCTCCACCCTTGTTCCTGCCAATGATATGACCTCATTCTTTTTCATGGCTTCATAGTATTCCACTGTGTATATGTACCACATTTTCTTTATCCAGTCTACCATCAATAGGCATTTAGGTTGATTCTATGTCTTTGCTATTGTGAATCGTGCTGCAATGAACATACACGTGCATGTGTCTTTATGATAGAATCATTTACATTCCTTTGGGTATATACCCAGTAATGGAATTGCTGGGTTGAATGGTGTTTCTGTTTTTAGATCTTTGAGGAATCACAACACTGTCTTGTTTCCACAATGGTTGAACTGATTTACACTCGCACCACCAGTGTATAAGTGTTCCTTTTTCTCTGCAACTTGGCCAGCATTTTTTTTCTTTTTACTTTTTAATAATAGCCATTCTGATTGACACTGATTCTTTTCATTGCAGTCTTACAAAGTCATTTGGTTTGAGTTACCACTGCTGTCACCAATATTACAACCAAGCTCACTTCTGCTTTTACCATTGCCCACTAATAGTTACTGACTGTGCACCATGTACTGGGCACTCTTGTGTGTCTTACTTTACATAGATGATCTGCCTATAGCCTCAGAATGTCATCTTAAAAGAGGATTGATAAGACCTTGATTTGGAAATCAAATTTGCATTTTTACTTCAGAGCTTACATATTTTAACCAGTATATTTTATTTGGTTAATGTTTTTGACCCATACTCTGATTATTCTCCTTTGGATAGCTGAATTTATTTTATTCACATTTATTGTTATGTTATCTTTGTTTGGCTTCGTTTCTGTAGTTTCCTTTTGTATCATGTTCTCTGTTTTTACTCATACATTTCTTTAAAAAAGTATTTATTGAGCATTGACAGTATACTAAGTACGATGTTAGATGCTGGGATACAGCAGTGAACCAAATAGAATTTCTGCCTTCGTAGAATTGATTTCTAGTTAGGAGAGGCAAAAAATTATGATAATAACAACAAATAAATATGCAGTGGTGGTGATAAGCGCTGTGGAAAAAAAATAAAGTAGGAAAATAGGAATAAGAAGCATGGTTATGGGAAGGAGTGCTATTTATTTAGGGAGGTCACTCGGGGAGTCACGTTGATGTTTATTTTGAATGACTTCATTATATATACTTCCTTTGTTTTCTTCTTTTGTGATGGGTATTTGTTTTGCTGTGTGTGTTTTCCATCTGATACATATGTTCATACAATTGTCTAACCATACGCATATATCTTTATTTTTATCATCTTCAGACAGTAGCTGTTGATGGTTTCTATGAAAGGTAAGGAAATCAAAGAAAGGATACTTTCTTTAGCTTCTCTCCTGCCCACGTCTATCTGATTTTGTTAAAGTTATGGCCTAAGATGGTCCCGTGAGACTCATGGGAATTATGATATGTGAGAAATTCAGATTATGAGACATCTCCTGGCAAGCACATTTAAGAGCAACTCAGCCATAGTGAGCGCCACTATGCAGCCACGTTCTCAGTAGTATAGTTTGCACAGGTTTTAGTAAGCCCTGGCAGGTCCATGATTTGCTAGTTTGTAGTGGTGATGATCCTGTGAATTATTTGCATTGTTTGTACTGATTTTGAGGGTCATTTACTATTTATTTATTTATTTATTTAGAGACAGAGTCTCGCTCTGTCGCCCAGGCTGGAGTGCAGTGGTGCGATCTCGGCTCACCACAAGCTCTGCCTCCCGGGTTCACGCCATTCTCCTGTCTCAGCCTCCCGAGTAGCTGGGACTACTCGGCCACCCGCCACCATGCCTGGCTAATTTTTTGTATTTTTAGTAGAGACGGGGTTTCACCATGTTAGCCAGGATGGTCTCGATCTCCTGACCTCGTGATCCGCCTGCCTCAGCCTCCCAAAGTGCTGGGATTACAGGTGTGAGCCACCACGCCCTGCCTACTATTTATTTTTAATTTTTAACTATTTTCATGTTTTTAGAAACAGGATCTCGCACCTCCATCACCCAGGCTAGAGTTCAGTAATGCAATCACAGCTCACTGCAGCCGTGAATGCCAAGGGCTCAAGCGATCCTCCCGCCTCCCAAAGCACTATGATTATAGGCATGAACCACTGTGCCGGGCCTTATTTTTATTTAAATTAAAGATTCAATTACTCAAACATTGAGTAGATATGTTTTATTTGTAACTGAATGAAGTACAATTATAATTATGTTTTTATTTTGATAATTCACCTTACAAGGAATTTTTTTTTTTTTCAGATGGAGTTTCACTCTTGTTACCCAGGCTACAGTGCAATGATGCTATCTCAGCTCACCATAACCTCCACCTCCCAGGTTCAAGCAATTCCCCTGCCTCAGTCTCCCGAGTAGCTGGGATTACAGGCATGCAGCACCATGCCCAGCTAATTTTATATTTTCAGTAGAGATGGGGTTTCTCCATATTGGTCAGACTGGTCTTGAACTCCCGACCTCAGGTGATCCACCTGCCTCGGCCTCCCAAAGTGCTGGGATTACAGGTGTGAGCCACCGGACCCGGCCTACAAGGATTTTTTAAGGAAAAGATTACCCTCCAAATAGAAAATTTCATTATGTTTTCTACTTTTTCAGCATTAATAAAAATTTACATTGTTTTCTGTGGCTATAGTTTTCAAAATTCTTTGTTTAAGTTGGTTTAACAAACATTTTCAATCTTTTATCATGTCTTTTCATTTGCCTCTTGAAAATCTCAATTAAGTTATCAGATACTTTGTTTTCTTCCCACAAGAACTTAAGGATGTTATGTTTATTTTGTTCCTGCATATTTAAATATGTCCGTCTTGCTGTAAAACATTTGGTCCCATTCCTTAACTGAGGAGTTGTAGACATTGCTATAGAGAACTTTGAACCTAGTTTGATTCTTTCTTTTGCCCCATAGGTAGTTTGAAAAATATATGTGATTATTTTGCTTGGTTATTTATTTATTGAGAGGCTGGGGAGACTATACAGAGGAGTTGCTGGATGTTATAGGATACGTAATCATGGAAACCAAAAAATTTAATGGCTATGTTTTGGTTGATCAGTTTTTCTTGGGACACAGTGTGATCTTTCAATCATAAGACATGTATCTACCTTTGTTTTATAAAATGTCTTCTCTCATATGTTTGGATATTTTATTTCTGCCACATTTGTTCAGTTTCCTTTGGGGAGGCGTTCACAAATTACATGCATATTTATTCACTATGTCTTATTTTCTCTGTAACTCTTTGGCTTTTCCACATATTTTGTTCATTTCTTTCTAACTCAGCCTGTCCTCCATGTTTCCCTTTCTCAGCAATATTTATTTTAATTTCAGCATGGCTTTAGCTTTAAATTATTTTTCTCTTCTGCATTTTCGCCAGATCTCTCTCAGCTCACATTTATTTCTTTGTATTGCCTTATCATATCTTCTTTGATCCCTATATCTCTTTTCTGAGCTCTGATTTCCCAGGCACCATGATCAGTTCTTTGACTCTGGATAAATGTTTGTGTGTACTGTTGTTCTGCTTGCAGAGTAATTCTTCTGAGGTCTAGCCTCCATCTGGCTTTGTTTGGCATGTTCCTTTCTTCCAGCCAGTTATATCCATGCATATTTCTCAGGCTGGCTCTTTTCTGATTATTACTTATCTCTAAATGGGAGCAATTTTTTCCTGGGTCAAGCATTTGCTAAAAAATTGGAGGAGGAGTAGTACAGGAGGACATTTTACAGGGGACAAGGCACTCTTCCTCGAACTTTGGAGTGGGTTTCTGCTAAGAGCTCAATTTCCTCCCCCTTTCTCCGCTAAGAATGACTACATAGTTCGCCTGTGTGTAACAGGTAGTCATACTTACGGAACGGGATTTAGTGTGTATCGCATTTCAGCAGATGGTGACTGCCACCTCTCTACCTTGCCATACAGAGCACTGGCTTTTCACAAAGATACTGTGTCTGTGTAATTTATCATCCAGCGCCAGCTCTCCCTGTCACTAGATAACATGGAATGGGACTTGGAGATGTTTCTAGTGCCCAAGCAGTCCCCACATCCAGACATTCCAGCAAGGAGCCATTGGCTGGCCTTTTTAAGGTGATGGAACTTACATTTGCAGTACTCTGCCGTGGAGTATATTCACTCTTGATATTTGCCACCACTTTGATCCAACTTTCATTTTGTTTAGCAGCTACATTTTGTAGTTTGTGGTTGCAGATGCTTCTCAGTTTCACGAGGCTTTCTCTTCTACGTTTTTTCATTCTTCTTGTTGCCTTTAATTGATTTTAGGAAGGAGAGTGGGAAAACATGGTTTTACTCCATTGTTAATTGGACAGCCTGGTATCCTTTTTATCCCCCTCTGTATACTTTCGTGGTTTTTGCTAACAGGAGCTGGAAATATGAGGGTCATTGCCTCCCATCTGCACATTTGTTTCCTCTCTTGTGTATTCTTGCAACTTACTGGCTTTGGACTTGATTCATGACATTCTTTCATGCCCAAAATATGTATGGAACACCCTTTCAGTGCCAGAGCCCTGATCAATATTTTGTAATTCTTGCACGCATAAAATATACAGTCCAGAAGCAGGTAAGCATCAACCGACCGAACAAA
Organism: Homo sapiens; assembly: GCF_000001405.40. Classification (NCBI taxonomy): domain Eukaryota; kingdom Metazoa; phylum Chordata; class Mammalia; order Primates; family Hominidae; genus Homo; species Homo sapiens. Next base: position 12,584,221 of record NC_000017.11, on the reverse strand, counting down.
AACATCTCACAAAATTTATGTAAAATTAGGAACTATACTAAATGATCTAGATGGACTACTCTCCAGTGCAAACTTCTGTGAGAATGGAAATCTTCTGTACCTACATGTCCAATATGGTAGCCACTAATTGCATATGATTATTGAGCACTTTAGATGCAGGCAATGTGCTGAGAAACTGAATTTCAAATGTTATTTAATTAATTTACATTTAAACACACACGTGCAGGTAGTGACTACTTACTGGATGGTGCAATTCTAGAGGGAAAGGACAAGGGGTATGAGATAGAACAACAGGGAGGAAGTTTAGTTAAGGGTGTTGCACAAGAAAGATGTTACATTTTATTTGAGACATAAAAGGTAAGAAGAGGATATCTAGGTAAAGGACATGGAAGAACATCATTAGAAACTGAAAGGAAAAAATGCATAGGCCTTGAGGGAGGAGAATACGTGACATGTACAGGAACTGAAAGAGAACCAGTGAGGGGGCAAATTGATGGAGGGGGAGGGCAGTGGCATGGTTCAGGCACTCCAAATCCTATAACCCAGCATTAACTTTCTGCTGGGTTATCAGGGTTTCGAATGCCTGAAATCAGATTGAGCTCAAACTACCCCAAAATATTTGAACTGTCTTATGGTCTACATGTATGTAAAAATGGATTATATGTACAATTAGCTTTGAAATAATGATATTTTCCCCACACTATGCAGTGTGCTGCTAATGAAAAAAATTTAAAATATTGACAGGCTGTATTAGAAAGTAAAAACTTTATAAATAGAGTAAGAAAGAAAGGGGGAGGCTAAGGAATCAACAATGAACTTCAGAATGAAAAAGAGATTTGGATTCAGGTCATCTTTTTTCTATTTTTACATCCTCTCCAGTGATTGACAGTGTTGCCTACTTTGTCAAATCAAAACCAGGCAACATTTTACTAAAAAGTGATCTGTGCTCCACTTATCCTATTCATTTGCACAGAGGACTTTTAGGGCAGAAAACTATTCTGCATGATACTATACTGGTGTATGCCATTTGCCCAAAGTCATAGAATGTGTGACAGCAAGAGTGAACCCTAATTAAACTATGGACCTGGGTGATAGGGATGTGCCAAAGTAGGTTCATCAGCGGTAACTAATGTGCCATTCCAGCGGAGAATGACGACAAGGGGTCAGGCTGTGCATGTGTGGACACGATGATGTAAGAGAAATTTGTATTTGCCTCTCAATTTTGTTGTGAACTTACAACTGCCCTAAAAATAAAGTCTATTAAAAAAGCCCAAAACAAACAGAAAAACCAACTTTATGGGTGATGGATACATTTATTATCTTAATTGTATAAGATACATTTTGTGATGGTTTTACAGTATATACCCACGTCAAAACTTATCCAATAGTATACTTTAAATATGGACAGTTTATCATGTTTCAATTATATCTCAATCAAAGTGTTGTTTAAAAGTGATCTGTCATCAAAATGGGCTTATACATATGTTCATTTATGAGGCTTTCATAAGCTGATCTCTGGATGTAAAGTGATAAAGGCAGGTGAAGACGCTGAAGCTCTCGTCCTGTTCAAAATATCCGTGAACTGCTATGACTTGGGCTGGGCAAGGACAGGGAAGAAGGACAAGGAAGAAGCTGTGGTCATCAGCTTGTTCAGCTTCGAGCTGCACAGTAAATTTCAGACTGGATCACCAATGCAGAGTTCCAAGGGGCTGGCAGAGGTATACTTGGGGCCAGATTGGGGGAGGGAATCTAAGAGCCCTGGGAGGAGAGGGCTTCTGTCAATGAAGTGTCTGGGTGCTGTGGCTCGCTCTCTCTTGGCTGGGAAGGCCTAGCCTTGAACCCCTATTTCCTGCTCTTTCTACTCCCTCTTCTTCCATTTAACTTAGTGGTTTTTCAAACCAAACTTGGTGCTTGTGAAGCAGGATATTTCCCAGACCCCATTCTTGGGTGGAAACTGGAGTGCATGGGTGCCAGCAGGGACAAACTCCACTCACTCACTGCTTCACTCCTTGCAGGAGGGGGAGCACGGGTGATCAGGTGCAGGAGCCAGGGTAAGCACTTTTGGGTGCTGGCAAGAACGAACTCCATAATGGCCCCATGCCAGCATCTAGGGGAGGGTGCCCACAACCCCCAAAGCCCGAGAAAAAGTGTTAGCGTACCCTTTTAGCTTTGTTGTCTGCAGACAGCTTAAGTATTAACAGCTCAGTGGAGGGTCAGTGTGACAGCCTTTTGCACCCACACTTGTGGCACCGAGTTCTTGTCCAGGCTCCAGAAGGAATGAGGTCACAAGAACAAATTGAAGGTAGTAAATGCAGGAAATTTTATTGTTGATGACAGTGGCTCTCGGTGGGAAGGGGAGCTGAAAAGGGGATGGAGTGGGAAGGTAATCTTCCCCTGAAATCCAGCTGTCCCTGGCCAGACTCCTCTCTGAAGCTATACCATCAAGCTGTCCCTCTGAAGTCAAGCCACCTCTCTCCAACATCCAAAAGTAGTCTCTGATGTCCAACTGCTTCTCCTATCTGTGCTGGCTGAGCCTGGGGTTTTTTATTGACACAGGATGGGGGTGGGGAGGGGCACAGGTGGTCTTGGGAAAGGAAACATTCGAGCAGGAAAACAGGAATGTAAGTTCTCACTTTGGGCCACACTTCCAGGCTTGAGGGTGGGGCCCTCGCCAGAGACTGGCCCACTTCTGCCCAGAATTTCCCTGCCTTGTGTCCCTATCACTTGGGCTGTCACTTCTGTTGGACTCATTGAGAGTCCTGTTTGTCTCATGTATTCTCTAGAGAAACCAATTCCCATTGTAGCAAATGCATGGTGGGCTTATTAGAGACCAACAGGAGGGTGAGTGTTTGCATCTTGAATTCCTAGAGGGTGGGAAATCCCACTCTCAGAAAACTTCCCAAAATAAGGTACATCCATTCTAAGGTGTTCTAAGTGGCCATTATTAATGATAAAGAAGGCTCAAATATAGTGAAAGAGAAAGAGTTCTTAGATTTCTCCACTTTGGCTTCAAGGCGCCTCTGTACATCTATTTTTAGTGTATCTAATTTTATAGAGATCAATGGCAGATCCAAACCTTAAACAGTGATGCAGACAGTTCTAAGGTAGGAAGGAAGAAAGGAGAGAAAAGAATTGTTATGGGGCACAGAAAAGAGGAGAGAGGGCGGGAACAGCTGAAAGAAAGGAAGGGAGGGAGAGTCAGATACTAGGTAAGAAAGTGGGGAGATGTCAGTGAGAGAAGAGGAAGAGACCGTGGGATACAGGCAGGGACGGAGGTTGGGGTGGGACTGGGAGCCAGACAGAAAGAGTCAGCAAGGACAGAGAGTGGATTTGAGCTGATTCCTGCTGTCTGGCGTGAACTGCTCCTGTCTGCTGATGATGTGAAGTGGTTGTGGGTTCTTATCTCGGCTCTTTGAACAGCAATCACTTCTGGAGCCACTTAGAACAAATCTTTTCTTGCTTTGAGAAACGGCAATGTGCTTTTGTTTTCAAGCCTTGGAATATAAATTTTGAAGTACAGGTTTATTTTCTTAAGGAAGTTCGTACATCATAGAAAGAACAGAGACTTTTTTTCAGGATCTCTGCACTGGCAGTTATTATATAAACGATGGTGGACAAATTCCCTGGACCCTGAGGAGCTGCTTCATAGTTATTCTTTGAGAGAGGTAGACAGACTGTTCTAGAATGCCTGCAGGCTGTCTGTAATTCAGTATTTTATTTTCAGTGTTCCAAGCTCTGTAGGTACAAACTAAATCTAAAATTTGGGGAGCAATTAGGTTTTCATTGTGTTAAAATGATGAAGGCAGAAAGGACAGAGAGAAGTCTTTTGGGAATAAGCCATTCACTGCTCCTGCTCTTCAACCCTCGGAAGGCCATCCCCTCCCCACCATGGCCCGGGGTGTAACTGTCTACACAGAGCTTCTAGACCCCACCTGCCCAGGGGTTGGGGCTGAGGCTGGGAATTCCACGTTCTCACAGTAAACTGTCAAGTCAGTGTTTCCTAAGCACACACATGTATCACTCTGAAGAAAAAAAGAAAAAGAAAAAGAAAAAGAAAATCCTAGCATTCTTCTCTGTAAGTAAGAAATGAAGACACCGAGGAGGGAAAACACCAATATGGAAAAACAAACTTTGTTTTCCTCAGGTTACAAGGCATCTCTGTGTATGAAACAGAAATAAAAAATGTCAGAAAACACTTTCTGCTAGTTCAATTCAATTTTTGGAATTATCCTGACAATAATGACATTCATCAAACGGGAGGATACTTTTTGGTTTTAGGCACTAATACTCAGTTTAAATCTGTCCTTTCTGAATAGGCGATGACATAATGGTCATAAATAACATCATATTTCTTTGCAAATGCAGTTGTTTTTTGTTCAAAGGGATTCTGCTCATTTAAAAACATAAATCGAATGAGTACTTGGCTTCTGTCGGTAGGCTCAGTAAAGTACTACTGATAACACTATGTAGTTCAGATAATAGTAATCATTTATTGTTTCAATATGTACCGTTTAAACATAACTATGTTTATAGGGTTGAAAGGAAACTTGGAAGCGAAATAATCCTCAAGCGTTTGAAATCCAGTTGAAAAGACAACATAAGATAGTAATTAATTAGTCGGGTAATTAATCAATTAATTCATTTGTGCACCAAATGTTTATTGCCAGACACTTTGTAAAGTAATGTGGATATGAGCAAAAATAGACTTGATCTTTGACCTTGGGAAATCTTTAGTCTAGTGTGGGAGAGAGACGGGAATCAAATAACCATAGCAACAGATACAAAATTAAACTGAGAGAAGGGCCTTAGCCTGTGTTATGAGAGTGTAAACTTGTAATTACTGCCTCATATTTGTATGAGGGTTTGTAAAGCTTTAAGGCATGAGAGTAGCGTTTTAACTGTTTCAGATGTGTCACAATGAAGGGGTGAGTTAATTCCTTTAGTAAACAAACGTATTATTTTTAAAAATGCCCGTGAGATTAGAAGTCTAAGAGGTCATTGGAAAAGCCGGAGTCTGCATTTAGAGCAAAGGTTTGAAAGTGAGAGGGATCAGCACATCCTCAAGGATCAGTTTTGCAGACGAAGGGGCAAGGCAGCAACATGAGTGGCAAGAGAGGAGAAGGAACACACGTGTGATGGGGCTAGATCGTCAGAGGCCATGAAGGCCAGGCTCAACTCTTGTGCCTAGAGTCTAAAGGTTCGTGGTCCCCAAATCCAATGATCTCACATCACTTAGATAATTTTTTTTTAAGATACAGATTTCCAGGTTTCAGATTAACCTAGTCATTCTCAATCTGGAGCAAGACAGTTGGCAATTGCTTTAAAACATAGTGGATTGGCCAGGCGAGGTGGCTCACGCCTGTAATCCTAGCACTCTGGGAGGCTGAGGTGGGTGGATCACAAGGTCAGGAGATCGAGACCATCCCGGTCAACATGGTGAAACCCCATCTCTACTAAAAATACAAAAATTAGCTGGGCGTGGTGGTGCACACCTGTACTCCCAGCTACTCAGGAGGCTGAGGCACGAGAGTCACTTGAACCCAGGAGGCAGAGGTTGCAGTGAGCTGAGATTGCACCACTGCACTCCAGCCTGGCGACAGAGCGAGACTCTGTCTCAAAAAATAAAATAAGATAAGATAAAATAAAATACCGGGGATTGAAGAAAATTTGAGATGTAATAAGGCCAAAAGATCAGAAGGCAGCTGCCAGTGACAACAAAGTTGTTGCTGACAGTGAAGGCAGGCCACACCACACAGGGCCAAGTGTGGAAACACCTCAATCGATCAGGAGTCAGGGGAGTGCGGACTGTGGGCCAAAAGCTTTCTTGGGGTTCCTGCAACAAGGAACAGGTGAGGCGAGTAAGCAGATTCATGATTGGCTAGTTTGGATAATTTCAGTGGCTCTGGGGCATGGGGCTGTCCCTAGTTGTCTGGTCCTGGCCCTGAGGTTATTAGGTCAGGTGGAGAGTGGCCTGCAGTGTGAAAGCCCAATAGAGGAGGTGGTTGGTGTGTGGGCTCCAGATGGATTGGTTTGTATTTGAAAATCATATTTATTATACCTAGGAACTGGCTAACTCTGGGAAGAGCAGCCTTTCAGGGTGAGCCAGGCTCTAGGTCTCAAAGCCTCAGAATACAGAAAATAAAAGGCAGGGCTAATACCACAGTTTCTGGGGATATTTTTGGTTCTTACAACTAGTGGGGGAGCTACAGACCCCTAATGAGTGAAGGCCAGGACACTGCTAAACATCCCACCAGACATAGAACAAGCCCTGCCATGAGGAATTATGTAGCCCCTAGTCTCAACAGGATGAAAGTTGAGAAACCCTGAAAATTTGCAAAGTCCCCAAGGACAACCCAAGAATCTATATAATTTTGAAACTCCCGAGAAGATTCAGAAGATAACTTGATTTGCGGATCATTGGTGTAGACAGTTGGGAGCCACTGAAGGGTTTTGAGCAAGAAGGTGGTTTGGGGTTAAAGTTTCTGGAAAAAAAAAATTCAGATGTATTGATGCAGTAAATATACAAGAACATGGATGAAAAAGAGTGACATCAACTTTAGGGCCACACAAACTCTGAGGCAGGAAGAAGAATGGGATCAGTAGGGTGACAAATGAGGTTTCAACTTCATCTTTAAAATTTTGCTTCTTAATTAGAGATCTAAAGCAGATTTGGATAAATGTTATCGCTTAATGATGTTGGAGATTGGGTACATGGATAATTATGATATTATTTTTAGCACCCCTCTGAATATTTGAAAATTCCTATAATAAACACTTTAAAAAGTCACGCATATGGGACATCTAGCATTGACATAATAGGAGATAAAGAAGTTGAAAGTCCACACACCGGTGGGAGAAAAACATATTTTCTCATCAGAAAACTCATTCCATCTTTACACAGTTCTGACTGCGGAAAAGATATAGCTTTTCTGTATTTCAATATATGGAGAGGGCTACAATTGTCCCCAACTACTGTCCAATTTCTGAGTCTTCTGTGTTCCATGGTCCTCACTATGGAACTTCTCATATAGGTAGCTTGGTCCATGAGACAGGAACTATGTCTTATTTTCATTGTATCTACACAGCTTAGCACAGTTCTTAGTCAATAGAAGACAGGTAATACATATTTATTGAACATCTAATCGCTCGGTAGTTCCACCCCCCACCCCCAAAGTGGTAGAGTTGCAGCCCGCATTCTTGGTTGTTTTACCTAAGAAATGGAATGTTCTATTGCCTTTCTCCCATGAAAATGTTGAATCCCATTAGTGGGCAAAATTTCTCTGTATTCTCAGAATGACAGATTCTGAGAGTGAGTGGTACATGACATTTGGTACAAGAAATGTGTGTTTTGAAAGAATTAACCATCTACCCTTTAATCATGTAGGGTCAAGGGATACATCTTCTATGGCTGTAATTTATCTCACAGGACATAATGTATGAAAAGTGCTTTGTAAATGTTATATGAATCTAAGGTGACAGTTGCAAGTCTACTCTCATGTATCCCAAAGCATGTATCATGGTTGTAATTTCACATGATTGTTTGAGTGATGATTTGACTTGAGTCTGCCTTTCCTTCTACAATGTAAGCCCTGAGGTTTGCTCACTGCAGCATCCATCACATTTAGCACAGGGCCTGAGGAAGTAAAGTAGACTTAACAAGAAAGAACCAGGAAAAGCAAATGAAAACTAGAAAGGATGAGAGCAGATGTCAAGAAGAATGCCTAAAATAAAATATGTAACAATAAAGACTATAGTCTTGAATTATAATTCTTAAATTTCAATTTTGCTTTAAAAATTCAATGCCATGCCTGTAATCCCAGCACTTTGGGAGGCCGAGGTGGGCAGATCACCTGAGGTCAGGAGTTCGAGTCTAGCCTGGCCAACATGGTGAAACCCCATCTCTACTAAAAATACAAAAAATTAGACAGGCATGGTGGTGGGCACCTGTAATCCCAGCTACTCGGGAGGCTGAGGCAGGAGAATCACTTGAACCCGGGAGGTGGAGGTTGCAGTGAGCTGAGATTGCTCCACTGTACTCCAGCTTGGGTCACAGAACAAGACTCCATCTCAAAAAAAAAAAAAAAATTGAATGCATGCTTTTCACGCAATTATTAGTTGGTATTCATTGAGCATTTTCTATATGTCAAATACTACACTATTTGTTTTAATTGTATTATTATATTTAATCTTTGAAACAACTATTAGAAGCACATATTAATATTATTTTTCTTTAAAGAAAACACATCTTAATCAAAATGACTCAGGAAAGTTAAAAGTAACATTGATAGTTAAAGCCTTACTCATAAACACTCAAAGAAAGATGGGTGCAAATATTTATACTGGATCAAAATGCAAGACACAAAATGTTACTTTAAAAAAGGGAGTCATATTTCAAAAGGCACACTTCACTATGCAGATATAACTCATACACATAACTAAACAACATTACCTCAAAGTACACAAAGAACACCAATTAAAAATACAAGGAGAAATGAATAGAATCCCAATAAAATAATTTACCACTCTTGGTTTTTAAAAGATACAAAAAGTCACAAATAATGAAGATTATAATGAATTTAAGTAAGAAAGCTAATGAAAGTACTATAATAGACATTGGTAGTACAGACTTGAGCCCTAAAAATGGAATTCATTTTATTTAAAAATACACATTAAACATTAATATAAACTGATCACATATTTATTTACAAAATAAACCTTCTATTTCCCAAAGCAGAAATTTTATAATAGCAGGATCTAAACATACTGTGGTAAAAATATATATAAATTACTGATGCCAGTTTAAATAAAACAAACCCAACCTCATAAAATAAAGACGATGTCCTAAATAAATAGCTTTTGTATCTATGAGAAGAAAAACTGTAATTCAGAATCACTTTGAAAATATTGATGAGAAGGCTGCTTATGAAAAACTATGCAATGTTGCCACAGTTGTACTCACGGGCAATTGCACAGTTTTAAATATCTTATTATCAATAAGAAAAGATGAATATTAAATAACTATTTAACTAAGATATGAGGAAAGAATGGCATAATAAGTGCTTTAGGAAAGCAGGAAAGAGAAAATGAAGAAAGCAGCAGAAACTCATTGGCAAAGAAGGAAATCTTAAAATTTATTTAAAAAATCTGAGATCTGGACCTTTGTAGTATCATATCTGAACCAATAGTATAAGCAAACTTTACAAGTCTGACTAAAAATAAAAAAAGAAAACACAAATATACGAAATTAGTTACAAGAGAATGATGCTATTGATAAGAGTGTAAAAGTACTGCGAGAGAATACTGCATGCCGCCCTGTGCTAATAAACCTGAACATCTCAATGGAAGGGATGATTTTCTAGGAAAATACAAATGACCAAAATTGACTCAGGATGGAGCAGTAAACCTGAATAGAAAAAATAACTAGGGAAGACATTGAAAGTGTTGTCAAAGGCTTACCTCCAAAAATGGCTCTGGCTCAAATGTTTTTATGAACGTTTTTCCAAGTTGGAAGAACAAATCATTCTTCTGCTCTATAAAACTGAGAGGATAGAAGATCCAAAGCTTCCTCATTGGTTTTATGAAGCTATCCTAATTCTGGCTCTAAAATGACAACACTAGCACAAGAGAAGGAAAACACAAACTATCTTCCCATTTGTATAATCAGAAAGAAGATAGAAAGAAGCTGAATCTGATATCATGTCAAAAACATCATGTCCCATGGCCAAGTTGCATTTTTTCTAAAGAAAGAAAATTAGGAGAGCTGTTATTAAAATATATAACATAAATAGGCCAGAGAAAAATATTATATAATCACCATAATAAAAATGTATTAGATAAAAATCAAATATTAATATTAGAAAATTGGGAAAAAGGTAATTCTTGACATGAGATAAAAAATCTATTTATTTTAAACCAGTGAAGAGAACTGTTTCACAGAAGTGTCAGATACATATCTTCCATCACTACAATTATGCAACATTTCTTGGAAGTTCCAGTCAACGCAATAAAACAAACTACTCTAACAAGAGACCCCTCTTGTTAGGGGTCAATGGCGAAAAGACAAAGTTGTCATTTTCAGGTGATATATGATTTTTTTTTTCATTTTTTTCCCTTGGAAAATCAAGATAGGCAGTAAAAATATATTCAGACTAGTGAGTTACACAGAAAGCTGGCTAAAAACAAAGTAAACAAGCACCAGCCACCACACCAAAAGCCACAATAACTCTTTTAGACATTTCAAAAACCAAAGAACATTTTTAAAGAGATTTTATTCAAGAAAATATACATAATAACTAGGAACAAGCTTAAAAATCAGGATCTGTGTAAAAAATGCTCCAATATATTATCAAGATATATTAAAAATGGCACAAAAGTGAAATAAATTTTATTTCTAGAAGGAAAGACATTAGTTATAAATGTAATTCTTTCCTAAATAAGATGTAAGTTTAAGATATTTCCCAATCAATTTCCTAATGATGTTATTTGGTAACTTGAAAAAGTGATTTTGAGGAGTATTCAAAAACATAGAGGAATGAAGATGGATAATTGCAGGATTTAAAAGAAGGGTTCTGTAGAGACACTGCTAACATGTTTATAAAATTGCAATAATCAGAACAATACGATAGTGTCTAAGACAGATAAAGGAATGAAAGAAGTGGCAACCAAAACATATATGACAGAAGAAACTTTTTAAATAATTGGAGAAATGATGAATTCATTAGTAAATATTACTGAGAAAATTGGTTAGTTCTAAAAACCAGTTATGTATGTTATAATGACAAAAATTACGCTTACAAAATAAACCCCAGATGGATCAAATATTTGAATGAAAAAATTACTACAATTATGACAGGCTAAAAGAAAATATGAGTATTAAAGACAGAAGCAAGTCTTAAGTAAAACTCTTTAAAGTAACAGACAATTAAAAAATTAGTTTAGGTGTAGAAAAATGAAAGACATCAAAACCACTATAGAATTAAATGCCAAGGACACATTGGGAATAACAGAATATTTATGATAGCCAAAGCGTTACTGTTCTCACTATAGAAAGTATGTATGTATGTAAGCATGCGTGTGTATTTATATGCTATTTATATATATTTATACACACATACCAAAGAGTAAAGGGCAATCACTGCTAACCAAAAATTGCCAGTTTACAAAAAAGCAAAGTTTTAATATGAAAAAATTCAATCTCTATAGTTATTAAAAATACAAATGAAACAACCTATGTTGTCAATATACCAAAGGTAAAGATAAAATATTTCACCTGTATTTCTCAGAGTATGAGATGAGCATTCATAAACTATCCGTGGGTAAAGCAACAGTGGGAAAGTGGGTAAAGCCACAGTCAAGGGTAATTAGACAGCTTCACTGGAGTTTGACTGGGTTGGTCCCTCCTTTTTATTTTCTGAGGGTGAAACTTTATTACTTAATTTTTCTGTGCTGCAATTTTCTCCTCTCTACTACGAGGAAAACAATAGTAGTGACCTTTAATACAAGAATCCAGTCAGTCACAGGGCTCCCTCTGACCCAGCATCCTCACTTCCAGATGCTCTGAGAACTCCTGTGCTTGCTTGTCTAATTCACAGAGATCATTAACCAGAGGTGACCCCACTCCAGAAGCAAAACAAAACAAAAAGCAACATGAAATTTCAACTCATTAAAATATTAAACACATGTAAATACAAAAGTAAATGAGGCCCCAAATGAGATAGGCTCTGAATGCAATTAGGCTAAAAGCTAGAGGTTAGGTTCAAATTCAGGCTCCACTAATTAGGTATGAGAATTCAGCAAGTCACAAGACCTCACTAAGCCTCAGTTTCCTCATCTGTGAGATGGGGCTGGGAGCAGGAGATGAAGATAATAACTAACTAATAATTAGTAGTTAAGTAATTAATAATTAAGTCATTAACATAATAATGTTAAATATTTAAAATAGTGAAAGGGATAGAGTAAGTGCTCAGTAAATGTTAATACTTAAACAAAAATCTTAACCACTTTGAAGAGCAGTTTGGACGTTCCTCAAAAAACTAAAAATAGAGCTACTACATGATCCAGCAATCCCACTGCTGGGTATATACCCCAAAGAAAGGAGATCAGTTTATCAAAGGAATTTCTACATTCCCATGTTTATTGCAACACTGTTCACAGTAGCCAAGATCTGCAAGCAACCCGTGTCCATCAACAGATGAATAGATAAAGAGATTATGGTACTCATACACAGTGGAGTACTATTCAGTCATAAAGAAGAATGAGATCCCGTCATTTGCAACCACATGGGTAGAAATGGAAGTCATTATATCAAGTGAAATAAGCCAGGCACAGAAAGACAAACTTTTCATGTTCTCACTCATTGTGGGAACTAAAAATGAAAACAATTGAACTCATGAAGATAGAGAATAGCAGGGTGGTTACTGAAGGCTGGGGAGGGCAGTGGCAGGGTGGGAGGAAGTGGGGATGGTTAATGAGTAAAAAATGTAGTTAGAAAGAATAAAACCTAGTATTTGATAGCGCAACAGGATGACTATAGTCAATAACAATTTAACGATACCTTTAAAAATAACTAAAAGATTATATAATTGGATTGTTTGTAATACAAAAGATAAATGCTTGAGGTGATACCCCATTTACCATGATGTAATTATTATGCATTACATGCCTGTATCAAAGTATCTCCTGTAACCCACAAATATATACACTTACTATGTACCCATAAAAATAAATGAAAATCTCATGTGCATAATCTTTGATCCAGTAATTCCACTGCAGTGCCTTGAGGAAATAATTTGGGATGTGTATATAGGTGTGTACAATTTAATTATTATAACAGTTTTCTTTTTTCTTTTTTCTTCTTTTTGAGATGGAGTCTCGCTCTGTCGCCCAGGCTGGAGTGCAGTGGCACGATCTCGGCTCACTGCAAGCTCCACCTCCCGGGTTCACGCCATTCTCCTGCCTCAGCCTCCCAAGTAGCTGGGACTACAGGCGCCCGCCACCACGCCCGGCTAATTTTTTGTATTTTTTTAGTAGAGACGGGGTTTCACTGTGTTAGCCAGGATGGTCTCGATCTCCTGACCTCGTGATCCGCCTGCCTCGGCCTCCCAAAGTGCTGGGATTACAGGCGTGAGCCACCACGCCCGGCCGATTATAACAGTTTTATTTACAATGGGAAGACAGTAAAAACAGCTTGAATTTCCAATGTTTAGGGCTTGGTTTAATAGATTAGGGCCCATCTAGAAACTGATAATAGGAAACTATTAGAATTATGCACTCAAAGAATTTAAAGGACATAGAGTAATGCTCACAATAAAGTGTTAATTTGAAAGAGCTAAATTATATATAAAGTATAGGCCAGGCGCAGTGGCTCATGTCTGTAATCCCAGTACTTTGGGAGGCCGAGGCGGGTGGATCATGAGGTCAAGAGATCGAGACAATTTTGGCCAACATGGTGAAACCCTGCCTTTACTAAAAATACAAAAATTAGCCGAGCGTGGTGGCGCGCACCTGTAGTCTCAGCTACTCGGGAGGCTGAGGCAGGAGAATGGCGTGAACCTGGGAGGCGGAGGTCGCAGTGAGCTGAAATCGCGCCACTGCACTCTAGCCTGGTGACAGAGCGAGACTCCGTCTCAAGAAAAAAAAGAAAAAAGTATAGTATGGACTTTATTTTCTGAATTCATAGACCTATATTTAAGATATATGTATGTATCTTAACAAAAATGCTATAAGTATAGAATTAAATATTAATTGTGGTTAGCTCTGGGTTGCAAGGTTATGGATTCAATTTTCTTAATATTTTCTGCATTTTTTCCAGTTTTCAAATGCGCATAAATTATTTTTATAATCTGGGGAAAATGTGCATCCGTGATGTAGTAACATTGTCACTTAGCCACTAACTCACTACCAGGAATGTTCTCCCTCTCTCTGCTCCGACCCCTTTCAGACTCAATTTCACTGCTATACGGCTTCCTTCTCCGCCCAGTTGGGTGGTGGTGCCCAGGTTCTGCCATTCACTTCTGTTGTCAGCAGACAGCAGCCCAGAGCAACAGTCAGGCTGCAGTTGCTGTGGGTTCTTTGCAATATCCTCTTTAGCCACCTTTCCCATCAGCTGATCTGCCAAAAAGAATACCTAAATGTCATTTAATCATGATACCTAGCTCACTTACCTTATGTGGAAACTATGGAGTTACAGTTTGGTAATACACAGCCCTGCCTCCAGGAGCTGGCAAGCAAATGGAAGAGACTCGCCCAGAGTACCAGACAATGTTATATCACAGTTTACAAAGATGACGCCCACATCGTCTACCTCGTGGCAGGTGAATGTCGACAGCACAGGGCCACCAGATTTCACAAGTAAAAATACTGCATGGCACAAAAATGGCATGAGGCATACTTAAAAAATTATTCGGCCGGGTGTGGTGGCTCACGCCTGTAATCCCAGCACTTTGGGAGGCCGAGGCAGGCAGATCAACTGAGGTCAGGAGTTCGAGACCAGCCTGGCCAACATGGCGAAACTCCATCTCTACTAAAAGTACAAAAATTAGCTGGGCATGGTGGTGGGCACTTGTAATCCCAGCTACTCAGGAGGCTGAGGGAGGAGAATCGCTTGAACCCAGGAGGCAGAGGTTGCAGTGAGCTGAGATTACACCACTGCACTCCAGCCTGGGCGAAAAGAGCGAGACTCCCGTCTCAAAAACAAAAACAAAACAAAACAAAAAAATTCAAATGTATCTAAAATTCAAGTTTAACTGGGTTTCCTGTATTTTATCTAGCAACCCTAGGCAGAAATTATTTCCTCCATCTCCTCTCCCTATCCGCATTTCACAGATGAGGAAACTGAGACCAGTGAGGTCTTGTGACTTGCTGTATTCTCATATTTAATCAGTGAAGCCTGAATTAGAACCTAATCTCTAGCTTTTAGCTTAATTGTACTCAGAGTTTGGCTCACATGTGGTCTCATTTACTTTTGCATTTGCGTGTGTCTCAATATTTGAATGGGCTCAGTGCAAGTGAATTTCTGTTTTGCTTCTGGAGTGTTGTCATCTCTGGTTAGTGGTCCTCCGTCAATTAGACAAGCAACCACAGGGCCTCTCAGAGGATCTGGAAGTGAGGATGCTGGGTAGAGGGAGCCCTGTTGCTGAGTCGGCCCCTATAGATGGGTAGCACGCCTGCCCTGCTGCTGTTGAGAGAGCTCTTCACCACAGGTGGCTGTGCTGTGCACCCCACGGGAAAGCAGCAATTTGTGTGCAAATAAGCCTCACAGTCTAAGCCCAACGGCTTAGGGTGCATGGACAGAGACACCCAGGGCTCCCTGAGCAGTACCCCTTCACTCATACCTCCTCTCCAGAGCCTAGGGGGGTACCTCCCCCAGCATAGGTGCCTGATTCACAAGCATCGAATGAGTAAATCAGTGCTTCCTGTTTCGCCAGAGATCTGGTTCCTGCAGTGGGCTCTACCCTCCAGCACTCCTGGTTGGCCTGTGGCAGGGAGCAGGAGACACTTATTTACTGCTCCAGGATGAATCGCTTCACGGAGGGGCCTGAAGTGGCAGTCGGGGGGACTCCACCTTCCATAGAGACTCTGGCTGAATTCCAGATTTAACTCTGAAGAACTGAGTTTTAGGCATTTGTGCTTACACCACTTGACACATACGGGGTAGAGCTATTTCATCACACCCTGTGTACTTATCGTCAGACACCACATTATGGAAATCTACCAGACAGGAACCCACTCCCTTTCTCTGCTTTTCTCTCTGCTTTCTGGTTTTGTGGAGAGACCAGGCTCTGGAGTGCAGCGAGATCTCCACAGGTGCATCTGATCCAGCTGGACACCAGGAGATGGTTTTGGTTGTACCTTTTCAAGTTCCCTGCCAGAGACGGCACTGGCTTTTCTTCGCTGGCTGCCCAGCTGACATGCTAGGCTTCTCTGGTGAAAAACAAGCATTTCAGAGTTGCCCAGAGAGGACTGAGTGTGGAGGTCATGGCCTTGTGTCAACCTGGCATGCTGGTTCAGGACCCACTCACCACGGAGGTCCTCTGGGGGTTTCAGACACCTGCTCTTCTACCTTCCCGCCCCTGCCTATTCCTTCTTGCATTGGAAGAAGGGATTAAATGTCTGCCATACTTCAGTGGACAGAGCAAGGGTCTCCAGGCCCTGCTGTGCCTTGGCTGGTGTTATCTCCTCTGAATTCAAGTCCTGGCAGACAAGCACCACGTCTTTGAGAGTTGTGTGTCATTTCTGGTACACAGACAAGGCTCTGGGACAGAACACTTTTGCTGCAGGGATCCAAAGCAAATGAGAGGAAATCGAAGCTCCCTGGTCAGCAAGGCCCATCTGTTTGTCCGTCTGTCTGTCTGAGCTCAGTGGTGGTGAACAGCAACCTCAGGGAGGCATCCAGGCTAGGGAGGGGACGGGTCAGATCTTGCTAAAATTTCATAAGACGAGCTTTGAGAGATTCAGAAAACAGCTGAATAAAACCCCCAAACCTATCGAGAGCTTTATGTTCATTAAAAAAGAGTTGTTTCTGTTCCTATCAAAACAAACAGTCGCTCCGGGCTGGGGCTCTCTTATGTTATTGTTAAGTGCCAGGATACTGTGACTTTTTGAGTAAAGAATTATTTTAAGATCAGCCCAAGGAGGTGTGGCTGACTTCAGTTGCAAACACAAATTAAAACAGTGGGGTTCTTAGAGGATTTATGTTTGACTTTCTGCAGTTCTTAAACCGCTACCCTTAATAAGTACTATGATGAGGTATCAGTTGTATGTTTCTCAAAACTGTGTTCACTGATCTGACTCTATCTCATATTAAACAAACAGTAATAGCTTTCAATAGTGTGGCTCAAAAAACAAAATAACAGCAACAACAAAAGTTCCACTTTGAGCCTAACACATGTTAAACTATCCCTCTCTCTCTCTTTGATTCATCCCATGATTTAATTAGCACCTTCCATGTGGTGTATTAGGCACCAGGATATAAACCCAGATAAGCTATGCTGTCAACCTCAGAGTAACTTCTGAAGGGAGACAGACACATAAACAAACACAGGGAGTGAAGTGTCAGAAATGCAATCCTGAAAAATCTGCCTGGGAACCATGGAACTTGTGGTGACTTACCGATATGAATGTTCTTCCTTGAGTAGAAGCATTAGAAATAATGCATAGAATATAAAAAAAATTTCACATGCATAGAAGAACTCATAAAAAATAAAGGAAATCACTAGATGCCAAAAGAAAAAAGAAGAAATTTAATATCCAAATGGTAAGAGTAACTGGAAAGCTCAGATCCGAATGCAGAGCTTAGGGGCCGGGACCCTGGGATCCTAGCATGAGCTGGGGAAAGAAGGCACAGCTTTATTCATTGCCAAGGCAAGGAAGCTAGAACTAGACCCCTCCATAAAGTGTGGAGTCTCTAGGAGGGCCCTGCCAGATAAAGGCTGTGGCTCACTGGTCCAGCAAAGTGAAGAGAGGGCTCGCCTTCCATGTGATGCCTTGGATGGAAAAAAAAACAACAACAAAAAAACAGCTCTTATAAGAAGTTGAAAGCCCTGTTCAACTTGTTATTATAGATTCAGGGTCCAAATTTACAGAAACTGTGCAGAAAATAAAAAGTATAAAAACCTGCCACCTGAGGAATGGAGCATAGAAACTGGTTCAGCACCCATGAATGACAGAGGAGCCGCTGCCCAAAGGGACCGAGGATGGGTGGAGGGGTTCTGTAATGTGATCTGTCTCACACACAAGAATGATCCCTCTGGGGGTAGTGAGAGGGAGGGAGCAAGGACAGATGGAGAGAGCTGCCAGGAGACCAACACACAGTTCCAAGTAAATGCGGGCGACAGCCCAATCTAGGCACTGCAAAGGACCAGCAAGGATTCCTGCTTTTAGGTTTTGCCCCTGCTTCTTTACTCCCATCTTGAACATCAGATATCTTCACTCCCACTTTTGTCTGTGTCCCTGGGTGTAAGAGAAAAGCATTTTCTGCCCCACCCCCCAGGCCCATCCATCTTGTGTAAGCTGAGGCCCTTCTGCCCCATGCCAGGGCCACAGCTAGTCTGAATGTCCCACCATCCAGGGGAACCCTTAGGCTCTTGAGTCCAGCCATGCCCACCACACCCTCTGGCCATCTGTAGACTTCTTTTCACTTGCTCTGTGCTTCCTCCCTCCTGAGCCAGTCTCCCATCTCTCTCTCCCCAAAACCTTTTCACCCTACCATTTGGGGATAAAAAACACAAAACAATACTTTTCCTGACTACCAAGCTCCTCCACATCACCACATTCTTCAGTAAATATTTTCTCATGTCCGTGTCTTAATTAAGACCGGGCTCTCCCCTACACACAATTTCCCTCTGATGCTCTTTCATTCTCCCACACCCCACACAGCTCAAGACCCAAAGGTGCAGTGTGTGTCTTCAATATGTGTATTACAAATATTTTAATTGCCTTAAAAAAGAAACAGACAGTCTTGTGTGAGGCAGGTGCAGAAACACACTTCAGCAGCCTGCACAGACAGGCCGGGGTTTCTTGTCAAACTGTGTGGCCACTCTCCAGATGAATTATAGTCAATATGAGTTCTCAAAGACCATTCAATTGCAGGAAGTGCTTGTATCATGAAATTTCTCTTTCAGATTTAATAAGCATATAGAATCAATTTCATGCACACTTAAGAAAGATGGAAAGAAGGAAGGCTTTCATTTTTCCTGGTAGGAAGGTTTTCAGGGTATCCTACAATTAAGTAAGTGAAGCAATTTTTCTCTCTCTTCCTAAAAGTTACAAGGTAGGGGAACTATTTCTGCAGGTGATTTCTGCCTCCCACTCAGCTGACATGTTCCTGTGTAGCGAGTTAATCACAGCTAAGGGCAACATAAAAGTCTCTATTGGAAATATAAAAGCACGGTTGTCTTGGGATGACATGAGGATGATGATGATGATGTAGTTTATTGAGCCAGCACCTATTAGGAGTTATTCCAAGTGCTTTATAACTATTAAACCATGTAGTAAGTATTATTATGGCCATTTTACAGTGGAGGAAACTGAGGAAAAGTCAAGTCACTTGCCCAAGAAAAGTCAAGGTCACATTATTGGGAAGTGATAGAGTTGATATTCCATTCCAGGCTACCTGATTCCTGAGAATTCACTCTTTACTACACTATTGAAAGTTAGCATAAAACATAGCATTGTATAAAAACATAGCAATCCAGATATTGTGATAGGTAATTATTTGTATCATTTTTCTAAGGGGTTTATGACTATGCATATTCCTACACTGGTAGGTTTATACAGGTACAAAACTAACTTTTTTTTTTTTTTTTTGAGACAGACTCTCGCTCTGTTGCCCAGGCTGGAGTGCAGTGGTTCGATCTCCGCTCACTGCAGGCTCCACCTCCCGGGTTCACACCATTCTCCTGCCTCAGCCTCCCAAGTAGCTGGGACTACAGGTGCCCACCACCGTGCCCGGCTAACTTTCTGTATTTTTAGTAGGGACGGGGTTTCACCGTGTTAGCCAGGATGGTCTCGATCTCCTGACCTCGTGATCTGCCCGCCTCAGCCTCCCAAAGTGCTGGGATTACACGTGTGAGCCACTGCGCCCGGCCCAAAACTTCTAACTTTCTTGAGGAAGATAGCTGAGAAAATGGAGACTGTATTCAAAAATGTCTTTACAAATCACAAGCTCTCTTGCGTCTACTTTTTTCTTTTTTCCAACTTTCTATACCTGGATTCTCAGCCATGCAATTGATGTGTCAGAGTTTATAGGGGTCTCCATTTGTCAGTTGGTTGCCTCCTTCAGATAGCTGCATCTATTTGCTCCTATGTATGTGTAGCTCAAGTCACCTATCCTGTGAGACCCTAGAAGACATCTCCCGAGAACTTGGTTTTAGAAGGTGACAGAATTTTATAATAAAATTGATTTTTGTTGGAAGAGCTCTTTGACTAGTACTAGTGCACTTGCTTAGATGCCGAATCCTAGTTTTTCAGGTGTTTTGGCTTGGGTCCAAATCAGACCTTCTGGGCTTTATTCTCCAGAGTAAAAGAAGCTGCCAGCACCAGCCTCTCTTCCCTCTTTGAGTAACCAATTTTGAATTTGTGTTTCTACTCTCTGTTAACAACTTTTCTGATGGCGCAAGTTTAATATTTCAATACCTGTTGATAATAATGATTTCCTCCATAAGTGAAATTCTAATGTGGTAAAGCATCTGAATCCAAATGCTCTGGTTTCCAGTGGGAATTGTCCTAATGGCAAATGATGTTGAATATCTTCCCATGTGCTTATTTCTTCCTTCTGTACACTCGCTTTGGTGAGGTGTCTATTCAAATATTTTGCCCATGTTTTGCTTCAGTTAGATGTTTTCTTACTACTGAATTTTGAGAGTTCTTTATACGGTTGGGATACAAGTTCTTTGTCAGGTATGTGATTTTAAAACATTCTTTTCAAGTCTGTAGATTGTCTATTCATCTCTTAGTGTCTGTCTCAGAGCAAAATTTTAATTTTAATGAATTCCAGTATATCATTTTTTTTCTTTTAGGGATTATGGTTTTGGTGTTGTATCTAAGAACTCTTCATCTAACCAAAAGTCATGAAGATTTTTTTTCTGTTTTCTTCTAAAAGTTTTATAGTTTTACATTTAACATTCACATCTATGATACATTTTCAGTTAGTTTTTGAATAAGGTGTGAGATTTAGTTAGACGTTTATTTTCTTGTATATGAATGCTAAATTGTTTCACCACCATTTGTTGACAATACTGTCCTTTTTCTGTTGAATTGTCTTCACATCTTTGTGAAAAATCATTTGTCCATATTTGCGTGGATCTGTTTCTAGACTTTTATTCTATTGCATTGATCATTGTATCTATCTTTTCTCTAATACTACTGTCTTGATTACTGTAGATTTATAACAAAATTTTTGAAATTGAAAAAACAATTTCTTTAACTTTAGTTTTCTTTTTTCAATACTGTTTGGTTATTCCAGTTCCTGTTCCTTCACCTTTTCATATAAATTTTAAAAATCAGCCTGTCTATCAATTGGGATTTTTATCACCATCTCATGAAATCTAAGGATACCTTTACTTAGAAAAAAAAGATAGAGCTAAATCAATAAACACAATCTAAGCTGAGTGAGAGAGAGAAAAAAAGATTGGAAAAATAGAACAGACTCTCAGGGCCTGTGGGACAATAACGAAAATCTCATGTTCATGTCATTGTAGTCCTAGAAGGAGAAGGAGTATGGCGTGGAAAAAAAACTGAAGAAGCAATGGCTGAAAACTTCCCAAGTTTGGAAAAAAAGAAATAAACCTAGAGATATAAGTGTAGAGAACCCCAAACAGAATTAATTAAAGAAATGAGCACTTAGGGGTATCTCAAGTTTCTGAAAACTAAAAACAAAGAAAAAATCTTGAAAGCAACCAGAGAAAAATGGCATACTACTTCTAACTAGAGGAACAAAGATTCAAATAAGAATATATTTCTCTTTAGAAACTATGTAAGCCAAATGGTAGTGGAAATTTTTAAGTGTTAAAGAAAAGAACTATCAACTAAGAAGTCTAGGTCCAGAAAAATTTTCTTCAGAAATGAAGGTGAAAGTAAAACATTCTTACATGAAGAAAAGTTGAGATAAAATTGTCAGGAGATCTACTCTAAACAAATTGCTAAATGAAGCCATTGCAACTGAAGAAAAGAGATACTAGGAAGAAATTTCAAAATATCAAGGATTAAAAGAAGAGGAACAGAAATGGTAAATAACTAGATAAATAAAAGAGATTATTTTTCCTCTTGAGTTTAAAATATATTAAATGGCTAAAAGAAAACAATGACAATATTGTCAGCTGGAGTATTCAATGTATGTAGATATAATATACAAGACAGTTACAACATAAAAGGACCTACATAATGGTAAAGTTTTTACATTCCACTATAAAACTGGACAGTGAGAAAAGGTAAATATGTAGTAATCACACACACACACACACAAAGAAAGAAATATATGTGTAAAATAGAGTAAAAAATACAGTAGATAAGTTAAAATGGAATGCTAAATAATGTAAAAAAAAAAAAAACCCAAAAGAAGATAGGAAAGAGAAAATGAGAAAATAGAGGAACAAAAACCAGAGACTAAACAGAAAACAAATAGTAAAATAATAGATCTAACTTTAAACATAAAGAATTACACTAAATGTACATGATCTAAACATACAAACTAAATAACAGAAATTGTCAAAATATATTTTTTGAATGATCCAATGACATGCTATTTACAAGACTCATTTGCAAAATAATAAGTAAATTAGGCCTTAATAAATAAAAAAGACATACCATAGACTTAAATCTAAGACCTGAAACCTTAAAAATTATAGAAGATAACATTGGAAAAACCCTTCTAGACATTGGCTTAGGCAAAGACTTCATGACCAAGAACCCAAAGCAAATGCAACAAAAACAAATATAAATAGATGGGACTTAATTAAACTAAAAAGCTGCACAGCAAAATAAATAATCAGCAGAGTTAACAGACAACACACAGAATGGGAGAAAATCTTTGCAATCTACACATCCAACAAAGAACTAATATCCAGAATATACAAAGAACTCAAACAGATCAGCAAGAAAAAAACAAACAATTCTATCAAAAAGTAGGCTAAGGACATGAATAGACAATTTTCAAAAGAAAAGATACAAATGGCCAACATGCATATGGAAAATGCTCAACTTACTAATAGTCAGGGAAAATGCAAATCAAAACCAAAATGTGATACCATCTCACTCCTGCAAGAATGGCCACAATAAAAAAATAAAAATGTATATATGTTGGCATGCATGTGGTGAAAAGGGAACACTTTTACACTGTTGGTGGGAATGTAAACTAGTACAACCAGTAAGGAAAAGAGTGTGGAGATTTCTTAAAGAACTAAAAGTAGATCTACTGTATGATCCAGCAATCCCACTAATAGATACCTACCCAGAGGAAAGGAAGTCATTATATGAAAAAGATACTTCCAAACACATGTTTATAGCAGCACAATTTGCAGTTGCAAAAATATGGAACCAGCCCAAATGCCCATCAATCAACAAGTGGATAAAAAAATGTGGTATATATATATACACCATGGAATATTACTCAGCCATAAAAAGAAATAAAATAATAGCATTCACAGCAACCTGGATGAAATTGGAGACCATCATTCTAAGTGAGGTAACTCAGGAATGGAAAACCAAGCATCATATGTTCTCACTCATAAGTGGGAGCTAAGCTATGAGGAGGCAAAGGCATCAGGATGATACAATGGACTTTGGGGCCTCAGGGGAAATGGTGGGAGGGGGATAAAAGACTGCATGTGGGGTACAGTTTACACTGCCTGGGTGATGGGTGCATCAAATCTCAGAAATCACCACTAAAGAACTTATCCATGTAACCAAACACCACCTGTTCCCCAAAAACCTACTAAAATAAAAAAAAATAAAAATAACCCAAACATTAAAACAGAGATCATAAAACAAAAAAAGAAAGAAAGAAAGAAAGGAAGGAAGGAGAGAAAGAAAGAAACGGTATACCGTGGAAACACTGATCAAAAGAAAACTGATCAGACATAGATTTCAGAGTGAATAAGATGACCAGGGATAAAGAGAGACATTATATGATGATATAAGGGTCAGTTCATCATGAAGAAATAATAATCCAATGTATGTGTGTACCTACTGACAACGCTTTCAAAAACATGATGCAAAATTCATGAAAGTGAAAGGAGAAATTTTAAAAATCCACAATTATATTTGGAGAGTTCAACACTCCTCTCTCAGTAATATGCAGAACTTATAAAAAACCAACAAGGATACAGAAGAATTGAGCTGATCATCAACTAAGTAAATCTAAATAGTATTAAAAAATCATTCTACCCATAACAGTGGAACACACAATCTTTTCAGAAGTACATGGAATAGTCAAGGTAGACCATATCTTGTTCATAAAAGAAACATTAACAAAAAGTTAGAATTATGTAAAAAATAAAATCTAAAATCAGACAAAGTATTTTCCTTGAATCATAATAAAAATAAACTAGAAATCAGGAACAGGATAACAGGAAGCATAAGAGAAAAATATCCAAACACTTGGAAATTAAATAACATGCTTCTAAATAATCTGAGTCAAAAAGAAAAAATTAGAAAATAATTTCTATTAAACAAAAATGAAAATAAAATATACCAAAATTTGTGAGCTACAACTAAAGCAGGGCTTAGAGAAAAATTTATAACATTAAAAGCTTATATTAGAAAAGAGATGCCTTATACAAGTTATCTAAGCTTCCATCTTAAGAAGAGCAAAATAAACTCAAACAAAAATAAGAAAATAAATAATATAGTGGTAGAAATAGAGAAAATTGAAAACAGAAAAATAATAGAGAAATTCAAAGAAACCCAAATCTGGTTCTTTAAAAAGATCAATAAAATCCATAAACTTTCAGCAAGGACAAAGACAAAAAGAAGGCAAGAATAAATTGCCAGTATCAGGACTGAAAGAGGTTATCCCTACAGACCCCACTGGCATTTAATAATAATAGGGGAATATAGGGGATACTGTGAATAATTATATACACACATTTTTGACAAGTTAGGCAAAAGGGATCAATTCCTTGAAAAACACAAATTACCTAAACTCACTCAAAATGTAATAGACAACTTAAATAGCCCTATAACTGAATTTGCAGTTTAAGACTATCTGACAAAATTCTCCAGGCCCATGTTATTTATGAATAATTTTATTAAACATTTTAAAAGAACATCAATTCTACAATATCTCTTCTAAAATGTAGAAGAGAAAACACTTCCCAACTCAATTTATGAGATCATCATAACTCTGATTCTAAAACCAGACAAGTAGAAGAAGGAAAGAGAGGAAGGAAGAAAAGGAGGAAGGGAGGAAGAGAGGAAGGAAGGAAGGAAGGAATGCGGGTGGGGAAGGGAGGGAGGGAGAGAGGGAAGAAGGGAGGGAGGGAGGGAGGGAGGGAGGGAGGAAGGAAGGAAGGAAGGAAGGAAGGAAGGAAGGAAGGAAGGAAGGAAGGAGAATCTATAGACTGGGCCAGGCGTGGTGGCTCATGCCTCTAATCCCAGCACTTTGGGATGCTGAGTTGCACAGTCACTTGAGCTCAGGAGTTTGACACCAGCCTGGGTAACATGGCAAAACTCTGTCTCTGCGAAAATTACAAAAATTAGCTGGGCATGGTAGTGCGTGCTTGTAGTCCTAGCTACTCAGGAGGCTGAGGTGGGGGGAGTGCTTGAGCCTGGGAGGTTGAGGCTGCAGTGAGCTGTGATTGTGCCACTGCACTCCACTCCAGCTTAGGTGACAGTGTGAGACTCTGTCTGAAAAAAAAAAAAAAAAAAAAGGAAACTATTGACTAATATCCCTCATAAGCATAGATGCACAAATTCTGAATTTTTTAAAAAAGCGGATTTGTTCAACAATGTGTAAAAAAATAAAGAATGCACTGCAACTATATGAAGTTTATCTTGGAAATGTAAGTATAAGTCGATATTCAAAAATCAGTCAATGTAATCCACCACAATAGCAGTCTCAAGAAGGAAAATCATATGATCATTTCAATTGATATAGAAAAGCCATTTAACAAAATTCGACATCCCTTCATGATATTAACTATCGGCAAGCTAGGAACAGAAAAGAACTTTCTCAGTCTGATAAAGAACATCTAAAAAAATTCACTAAACTAACATAATAAGTAATGGTTGAAACACTTAATGCTTTTCCCAGAAGATCTGGAGTAAGGAAAGTGATGTCCTCTTCCTTTCGCAGTACACTGCATGTCCTCACTAGTGCAATGGCAAATAACGAACAGGAAACATGGGAGCTTTAGGTCTCAAATGACATAGAGACATAATGAAGTAAAGCAACTGATCAATGGAGGAAATTCTTCTGAATGAAAGGAAAATAATGAAAATATGCAAGGCATTTGAATGTGCTCTGATTATTTTTTTCCTGCGGAAGAAAAAATTTTATAGGGTATTCCATATTTAAGAGGTTATTGATAGAAAGTAGAAATAAAGGAGTTAAATTCTTTTCTGTGATTTTCAGAAATGTAATGCTATAAGTTTCATGAAGTAAACGTCTAAGGAATGAAAGAATTAAAAAGTACCATAAATAGGAAATAAAAGGAACAAAAAGTTCTTGTTTTAAATCAGTATAAACTACAGAAGGAAAGGATTAAGATTTCTTGTTAGGATTGGTGGGAAAGGTGATTACTTGTATCTAGAAAATTAGATTTGTATATCTTGCTCTAAACTTTTAAAAATGTAATGCTATGGTAACACTAGTGTTATGCTTTGCTGATTAGATAAACTCAAAAGCTCTATTTTTGATAGAAAAAAATAATTGAGTACAAAATCACGATTGTCTATGTTCCTTTCTTAAATACTCTTAGGGGATGTTCAGCTTTTGGCACCAAAGTGGTTGAATGCAGTGGTTAAGACCTAGTTCTTTTTTTGGTTGGAATTCTGGCCCCAGTGATGACTGTGTGACCTTGGACAAGTTACCTAACCTTGTGTTTCAATTTCCAAAGCTGTAAGCTGCAGAAAATAGTAATAAGGCCTACCTTATAGGTTGTTAGAGGAATGAAGTAGGTAACTGTAAAATGTCTAGAATAGTTTCTGGCATAAAATAAAGGTAGATGCTGGCTATCAACTGTCACCATTATCGTCCACCTGGTGACACATTATCTGAATTGAAGACATAGTCCCTAGGGAAGAAAATAACAAAATTGTACTTTGAAAACCCATAGTTTTATTATGATGGTATATATACCATAGATAATATTTCTCGCTTCTAGAACTGTGCCTGAGTATTCAATGGGAAGCCAAATTAGAAATAGGGAGAAATTACATTAAGAACACAGATTTTGAGGGAAACCAAGCATTTTCTGCTAGCTGAAGAAAGGACTTATCTGCCCCATACCCACAAGCTCTTAATTCTGTTACTCTTTTGAAAAAATAGAATATTGATCTAATAATTCAGATCCCAGAATACTGGGGTTGGCCACTTTTACTAGGACTGAAAGTTCAGGATGTGTGGGAATCCGTTTTCTCTGTCTTCTTCCAAACACTGCCTTTTATTTTCCCTTTTGCAGACACCACACTTTCTACAACAACCTTGAGTACGTGGTTGGGTCAGCTACTCTATAGGTTTGGGGCACATGTACTCACTGTCTGTAACAGAGACTGGCTAAGAGTTCTCCAAGACACTTCTCTTTCTCTCCTGTGCACATAGCGAGGTGCCTCTCTTATAACAAAGGGTTGTCCTGTGGCTGGATTCTTGAATGTGGTCTCAAGTGATCTATACTATCTCAACCCCAGCATTGCTCCATGATACATCTTTCCTTCCATTCATGGGTGGCCTCCAGAACCTTAAAAGATGGGGGAGTCACTAGAAGAATTATAGATCCCTGAAACACTGCATGGAGAAGAGTCCTCTTCTACCAACTCATACATCGTATTTTGATGTGAGAAATCAGCCTTAATCCTGCTTAGCTGTAACTCTTTGATATAGAGCCGCCCTATCCTAAGTAAAAGACACTGTTATTCTCTGTCTTTCTGGGGGCTTTTTCTTTGGCACTACAGAATGTAATTTTTACTTAACGGGAGTAGCAAGTTTTGAGACCTTAGGTTGTGCTTTGGTGGTAAGACATATGGTAGCTGGGGCTAGGTAAAGCATTTTACATAATCCAGCCCAGCTTCTGGGAGCTCTAGATAAATATTTTGGGCCAGAGGACAAGCTAAAAATAGTTGCTTTGTTTTTCCTCGCCACTGTTCCCTATTCATTTTTTCCCCTTAAAAGATGGCACCCCTGAGATGAAGGAAATTCAATTATTTAAAGGCCCTTTGGACTAGATGCCATCTTAATGTAGCATCCCCTTAGAGCAATCTACTGTTGTTATTATTTTAACAACAAATATGTAAAGAAGTAGAAAAACAACAGTCAGGTGCTTTAGGCAGGTACACTCAAAATAAAGAAGTTTAAATTAAGACACCTTATAGTTGGATACAATTGAATCTTTTCACTGATACTAGAAAGAAAGTCTATGCTAGACACTGGAGTAAGTACAATGAATAACACGATTTGGTTTCTTCTTCGTAGGAGTCAGGTGTAAGGATTGGGGGAAAAAAAAACAAGAAAACAACATCGCATAAAATAGAAAATAAAATAAGTGTAACTGATCGTAAGGAGTTTTGAGAACCATTAAAGCAATCAGATACAGATAGGAGTTTATAAAAAGCATTGCCCTGGCTGTCTAAGAATGGATACATGGTAGTTTCAGTAGTTAAAAGGGGCAGAAGCCCCTACGTGAAAGTACTGGACAATGAGATTTTTCAGTCCCTTTAAGGAGTGGTCCTGTGATTCTTTCCTTCTTTGGGGTGCCCCAGTCAAAACGTGGTAATTAGCACTGCGTAGACTCCTCTGTGTTCATCCCCAGGGTAAAAATGGAAATGAATCATGGATTAGATTTATAGCCACTGAATTTATTGAGCAAGGCCCAAGTTCTTGTTCTAAGTTAAGATCCCTCCTCACCTAAATAAGAGTAAAATGGAAATAATCGCCTTGAGATTCAAATCGGGAGTGAGTTGGAGTTGGTTACCTGTCTACTGGTTCTACAAACAGTGAAAATAACTTCGTATCAGACCAAAGTCAAGATAACTGATTCAATGATGCTTATAGAATCTGTTATTGTTGCTGAATCTTTTCCCTAACATTATCTTCAATTCCTGGTGGTGGTGGTGGTGATGATGATGATAATGATAAGTTAATGATGATGAAGGTAGCATAATAAAAATAACTACTCTTTATTGAGCTATTACTATTGCTACAGCATTGCTTCCCGAATTTGCCTGAAAACAAGAACTTCTTAACTATGCTTGCTGAACACATGGACTCCCAGGCTGCAACTCAAATCTACTCTATTACAATTCCTAGTGGATAAATTTGGGAAGGTTGGGGAACAGTATGCCAGGCTGGCTAGGTGCTCAGTACTTTTCATTGATTATGATAGTTGATTCCCACAACAATTTTATGAGGTAGATTCTATGATTAATCCTATCACATAGATGAGAACCCTGAGGCATAGAGAAGTTAAGTGACTTGCTTATGCCAAAAACTTTGGATAGGATTTTCTTCAGGCACATTCACTAGAGTTCTATGCCTGACGCTGAATTCCAACAGAAGCCCTTACAGGCTTAGCTGGCTTCCAGTGAAGCTTACAGGAAATTCCCAATTGCTTGGTGTTCCTATGCAGGGAAGACTATTCCAGTTTGGAACCTTGTTCCATCCTTCTTGGTTCCTGAAGGATTCGCTCCTGTGCTTCTTCTTTCCTTTCCAGCATTTCAAGTCACTCCCTGTCCACAGGGTCCTTCCTCTCCACCTTGAGTAATTACTAAGATTTCAGAGAGTTTGCACTTTAGGAAGGGACATAAGTCTCACAATAAGTGCCACTGAAGAGGTGCAGAGACAGAAAGTGCTGTGAAAATTTGGAAAAGATAAACAATTCCTGCTCTGGAATATCAGAGATGGCGTGGCATGGCCCAATTCACTCGTGCAAATTCTGAGATATTGGTAGGTTTTCCACTGGCAGAGGTGAGGTGAGCTCACCAAAAAAAAATATTTTCTTCCTTTTCTCTACTGTGCAAATTGGGTCTTTGTGACTTAGTCCAAGTAGGGGAAAATAAATCTTAGCCCCATGATGGTTTAGCAGTCTAAGTCATCTGTTTCAAAATAGGATGGAATTACAACCAGCTGGTAGTAATTTTCAAATCCTGACCCCTGCAGAAAGGGGTGAGAATTCACCAGAAAGTCCATTTCTTCTCCAGGGCACCAAGCTGCATTTCCCTCAGTGGGTGACATGGATGCGAAGGGGCTTTTTGCTTTTATTTTTAATTTTGTTAGTAACCGCAAGCCACACGGTTCCAGTATTTTGAATACAGCATTTATAAGTTAAAAGCAGAAGAAGGGTACAGAATGTGCCATATTTTCTAGTTCATTGTTCCATGTCCATAAAACAAAAACACTTTTAAAAGGCAAATTTTACATTCTTCAAGGTAGCAGCAGCAGTAGTACTGTTCTCTCTGCCATTTACAGTGAAGGGTAAAACTTAAGCTGTTTGGACACGCCATCAATCTTACTCATCCCTGCAGCAGCACAGGGGAACCAACAGTCCTTTCCATTTCTAATATTTAACAGTTCTTAGTTATGAATAGGCAACCCCATGCTTTTCACCACCTGTTATAAGCCGAATCGTGTCCATCAAGGAGACTGATAGAAGTTCTAAGCCCCAGTACCTGTGCATGTGACTTTATTTGGAAATAGGGTCTTGGGAAATTTAACCAAGTTAAGATGACATCATCAGTGTGGGCCCCAATCCAAGGGGCTTTGTGAAGACAGAGACATAGTGAGAATGCAGTGTGAAGATGGAGGCAGAGACCCGAGTGATGTGTCTGCAAGCCAAGGGGCATCAAGGAGTCCTGGTCATCCCCAGAAGCTGGAGGAAGGCATGGATCAGATTCTCCCTCAGAAAGAATCAACCCTTCAAACACTGAATGCAGCCTTCTGGCCTCCAGACTGTGAAGAAACAAATTTCTGCTTTTTTTTGAGACCGAGTCTTGCTCTCTGGCACAGGCTGGAGTGCAGTGGCGCAATCTCGGCTCACTGCAAGCTCCGCCTCCCAGGTTCACGCCATTCTCCTGCCTCAGCCTCCCGAGTAGCTGGGACTACAGGCGCCCGCCACTGCGCCCGGCTAATTTTTTGTATTTTTAGTAGAGACGGGGTTTCGCAGTGTTAGCCAGGATGGTCTAGATCTCCTGACCTCGTGATCCGCCTGCCTCAGCCTCCCAAAGTGCTCGGATTACAGGCATGAGCCACCGTGCCCGGCTAATTTCTGCTGTTTTAAGCCACCCAATTAGTGATACTGCCTCACAGCAGCCCTTGAAAATTAATACACCACCTTTACGAAAACTGTTCACAAAGGAACTCTGTGTAACATTACACATAAAATGTAACAAAAACACTTAATATGACAACTGTTGTAAATATGAAAAATATTATCACATGAAAGATAGTGGGAGATGTTATAGAGTTCACTGCCAGGTTACTTTGATGGAGAAAGAAAGAGATTGCTCACAGTGAAGTTTGGTTCATCTTTGGAAAGGACCTGAGAGATGGTCTGATCCGGGAGTGGGCAAACTAGGGCCCGTAGGCCAAAAGCGGCTGACGGGGCATGATTGTACAGACCCTGAGCTAAGAATAGCTTTTACATTTTTGAAATGTTCTTGAATGTGGGCCCATCTCTTTTTTCCTTCTATCCAGAGGTTTCCAGAGCCACTAGAAGGAAGGATTTTTAGATCCCCAAAAGATTATGTGGCATAGACAACCTAACCCCCTACTCACACTTTACTGTGATGTGAGAAATACGTTTTGATTGTTTAGGCACTGAGATTTCTGTTACACACAGGTAAGGGTTTTGTGTTATAATAGTTACCATAATACTATTCTACCCTAATAGATGCTGTTATTCTCTATCTAAGCCTAACTCAACCCTAATTCTAATAAAACCGGAAGAATATGCAGTGGACAACCACGTGTGGCCTGCAAACCTGAAAATATTTGCTAGTTGGTCCTTTACAAAAAAAAAAAAGTTTGCCAACCCTTGGCCTAGTCCAGTGATTTATAACATTATTATTATTATTCAGTGAGAAATACTTAATTTTGTTAAAAAAGAGAGAGAGAGAGATAAATAAAACAGAGAAAAACGCTTCTGCTCTTCCTAATGAAGCAGGGTCTGCAGTCTTGAATTCTCCCACTCAACTATCTTAGTTGCCCCTGACCTAATAGAGATCTTGGGTTCCACTGATAATCGTGATAGTGATATTGGCAACAATCAATTGAGTATGCATAGTGTTTCACAACACTACTAAACATGTCCCAGACACTCTTGAATTTCATCTTCCAATTAATCAGGTGAGGGGTGTGCTATTAGCCCCATCTTTATACATGAAGACACTGGAGTTTAGAGAGATTAAATTAGTTGACCTACATCTGGTAAATGGCAAAGACAGAATTCATATCACTGGCCCTCTGGCTCCCATACCGCTAACTATGCCCATTTAGCTCTGTTCTTATGTGGTCCTACCTCCTCATTGAGGGCCCTAAGGTTCAGAGAGGTGAAGGAATATGTCTAAAGTCTCAGGCTAGTTGGTCATTGATTGGGTCTGGAGTTCAGGTCTCCTGACTTCCCATGCGATGCCCTTTCCACTGTCCCATTCGGGCTCAATTGTCCTGGCAGAATGTGGGTTGAGAAAGACATAGACCAAACTGGCTCTGGGACTGGAGGGTAGGCAGGTGCAGGGGTGGAGGTCCCACATTCTCATTCTCATGCTCATCAGCTGGATGGGCCAGAGAAAAAGGTTTATTTAGCTTGGGACTGGTGGACCATTCTCTCTCCCGCAGTTTCCTCTCATTGTCCTTGCTCACAGAAGTGGTATCTCCCTCAGCAAAACCCCTCAGTGGCCTCACATCTCAGGAGAGGCCCCACGCGTATTCTGTTCTCCAACAACTGCTGGCCATCGTCAACCAGATCTATTTCTCACATTGGCTTAGCCTGCCTTTCTCTAACTTTGCTCCTCATCCCTTTCTTCTGACTCCATTTTGTCCCCTGGGTTACAAGCTTGGATCCATCTTCTGATTCAGACTCTAGATCCTCAAGAATCTGCCTCTCCTTGCTAGCACCTGAGAACTGCCTTGACTGAAGTTGGCTGATTGCTTCTTAACTCACCACTCAGCATCATTATACCCAGATTTTACCCAGAAGGATGCATTTCCAGGAAACTCATCCCAGTTTCATACTTGGGACCAGTAGCTCCCTCTTTCCCTGTGATATGTTTACCTTCTCCTCTGTGGGATGCACTCTATGTGTCAACTGCATCAACACTATTATGGTTGCCGATAGTATTAAGCTAATGGCTTTCAAGGACAGAAGTTTGTACTAGTGGTAAAAAAAACAATAATAGTGTAACTAATTCATTGAACACTTTATACACATATTACCTTGTGAGGTAAGTACTATTATCATCTCCATGTTGCAGGTGGGGAAACTGAGGCACAGAAAGACAACTTGTCCAAGGACACAGAGCCCAGAAACATGGAACCAGACTTGGAACCTTCATATAAAGGTGCAGTCACCTTTGCTGGCTTCCTACTGTATGTCAGGCCTTCCTCTTGGTGCTTCATACAAGTGGTGGGAAATTCTTGGGAGATATTTGCCCATATGTTTTCCTTGGTATTTCCCGTGTTTCTCCCCATTAGGCAGCTAGGCCTTCTGTAAAGCTTCAGGGAAGGGAAAACCAGTGAAACAAAGATAACAGAGGAGTCATATTTTTAGCTTTTGAGTCTCAAATGGCAGGTTCTGGTCATAAACTAAAGATTTGGAAGATTAAATGAAAAGCTGGGAAACTTTTTCTCCAGACCAGACAAGACTTTTCAAATTTGAGAAGGAGATCCAGGGAAGCCAAGAAACCTGACGTGATGGTTGAGTTCCCAGGAAGGAGTCCTAGCGTGTAGCACCTGCCTGCAGCCTGGCTAACCGGCAGGGCAATGGTGGAACATCCAGGCAGGGCTGAAGGTGGAAAGCTACATGGATCTGACATCCATGTAGATGTCATGTAGGTTTTGATGAGAGCATCTTGCTTTGACTGAGATTACATCTCCACGATGAAGCCAAATAGGGATTCAAAATAGAAACTAAGTCGAGTTATAAAAATATAAAAAGAAAGTTGCTTTTCTTACACAGCTGAGTTTTGGGGCACATATGTACCCACACATTCATTATCTCTATTCTGCACAATGACCTGTGGAGTTATTTTTTATCATCCCCATATTATAGCATTTGATTACAGAGTGGAAAAATTACTTGCCCAGGGGACACAGCTAATAAGTAGAAGAAAAAGTACATTAGGAGAAAAGTGGAAAATAAACAATGAAGGAAAAAGAAAAATAAAAGAAGTAGTGAGAAATAGGTAGAGATCGCAAGGCATAACCTCCGAGTCACAATTCTCCCGGAAAGAACATTTCTCTTTATTCTCCAAAAAAGTGAACATTTTATCAGGATATACTTACATTTTATTTGGAGGAATAGTCATTTCCTTGATCCCTTTTCCCGAAGATCTAGCTTGGGACCAGACGTTGTGAAAATGTAGCCAGCCTCCACGAAGGAGTTATTTCAACTGTGTCGTCGCTGCAAAAAAATTACATGTGAATCAGAGTTCTATCATGGAAATTATGCTTTGGGACAAATATGTTATGAATGACGGCTCATAAAATCATGCCAGTATGTATGCTATCACCGCATTCAATTATTTTAACCTGCTGTGAACTTGCTTGTGATAAATCATGGGAAAACTAAAGAGAACTATCTTAAGCCACTGCACTGTTTCACTCGCTCAAGTCATTCACGGCTCTAAAAATACAATTTATATCATTGGATTCCTGAAATTCTTTCAGTGCTTACATTCTGATTTAAGTGGCATTAAAGCTAGGGCGATTAAGCTGAGAAGTCCAAGGCTACCGAGCAATGTCCCCCCGGGGTATTAGCTGTCTATCAGATCGAGAACACTGTTTATCAGACTCCCAGGAAGAAAGCAATTAGAACGTGGCCTGTGGGTTGGAAAAAGGCTTGAGATTCTCAGCCTGAAAAAGGAAGGATCTTTCAATAACAGCAAGTGTGACACTTTTGGTGGGACTCATCTAGAGTAGGGTGATCATAAAATTTAATAACCATCTTAGAACATTTTGGGACTTGATGGGGAGACCATTAACATTGACATCAGGAATAAAGTAGGACTGTTTTTTCAAACACACAACACACAGCTGTTTTTTCAAACACAAACAGAGAAGGATTTAATAAGGGACTAATAAGAAAAATGAAGTTGAATCTCCTTCATGTTTAAGGACCACTTCTTAAATCCCTTCTCCATGGACCATCTGGAGAAAAAAGTGGGTTCTTTACCTGCATTTTCTCCACAGTCCTGACATTATTCTTCATATACCTTGGGGAACACAGAGCTGCTGGTACTGCTCATACAAGCTACTGCACGGTATTTGTGCACAAGCAAAAAGCGGACTGGGTTAGGTTTGAATGCGTCGCTTTTATAAACACAGAGTTAGGAGATGTGAGACATGAAGTTATGGAGTTACAGCGTGATTGTGAGAAAACGCCTCCCTGGGAAAGAACCAAGGCACTGTGAATCAAGTATTGTGGACAGTAACTTCTCCAGGCTCAATTTCCTCCACCAGTAAAATTAGGTAGCTAGACTAGACCCGTGATTTCTAATCCAGGCAGCATATTAGGGTCACCTGGAGAATGTACCAATGTCCTCGCCCACTCCAAGAGATTTTATTTAATTAGGCTGGGATGAGGCTCCCCCAGGGACTCTGACGTGCAGCCTGGGCTGAGAACTGCTGGAAGACTGGAATGTTTCTGAGGTCTCTACCGACTTTTATTGGGCAGCCTCTGTGATGGTCTGAGCTTTTGGGAAAATTAAAAAGGAAGGGGCAAGAGTGATCCATTACCATTGGCATTGGCTGGTTACAGTTGGAATTGTTCAGATGCAATGTTTACTAGGATGCTTTGTGGAGTTTTCTACCCTCTGTCTCATGGCTGGGGACAAACCACCAGTAAATTACATTCCCTCCTAGGAATACAGAGAATATGGCCTGGGTATGGAAAGAAGCCTAGTAAGTCTTGAGCAAGTTTCTATGTAGCTGATGTCCTCAACATGATAATGTAATTAAAAATATATAAAGCTCTTCCTGGGGTGCCAGTTTCATGCCCTGCATTGACCAGGGCCAGATTTCAAAGTGGACGTGAGTCTTTCTAGGTCAAACGTTTATTCCACCATTGAGGCACTTCTCACATAATGCTTTGGGATACTGCCTGTGACACAAGTGACTTGGAAAACAATTATGGATGTAAAAAATGTGATGAGAAAACCCTCCTCATCAACCATACTCCAGGGATTTCTGGATTTGATTACCAGCTTTCCAATGCTTGACGATTTGACTGGTATTTAATGCTTTCTCATTTTTCCTGATAGGGACCACTAAGCACGTTATGTTCTTTCTCCCAGTTGGCAACTCAACAAAGGCCAGCCATAAAAATCTCCACTTGTGTAATAAACTGTTGTACGATCTACTGCTTATGAACAAGGTCCCTGACTGAAAATGTGCAACCTTTCTGCACGTTAAACACAAAACAGATGGAGGTTTGAAAATAACTTTCTTCTTCACGGGAGGGAAAAGTTAAAGGAGGGAGAGTAAAACTCATGGTCAGAGGCCTAACTTCCCAAGCCAGGGGCTGAACTCTCCATCCAGGTTGACAGGGACAGCCGCATTCTTTCAAGGATACTGCCTACCGTCAGGGACCTGGGAAGTAGGAGGACGGTTAGGCTTTAGGAAAATGGTGCGTACAATCATGGATAGTGAGGCCGGCTGAGCTGCTACTTACTAGCTGGATAAATGAGCCAAGTCACTAATTTCTTTGAATCTGTTGTTTAAGCCTCATGTGTAAAATGGTGATAACCTAGAGCTCTAGACCCCAAGCACACTGGGGAATGGAGTAGCTGAAAATGTAAATACTCTCCTCGTTACTATTGTTTTCAATTTTCTTTTGTTTATTTGCTGGTTTTACGTGTGTAAAAAAACCAAATTACATATTCCTGGGACAGAAGAAATGGCGAAGCCAATCATTTGTAAACGATGTAGGAATGCATGCAGGTATGCAGAAATTAATATATGTCTATTTATTTGCTTATAGTTTGTCCTGTTTTCACAGAAGGAAATTGAGGTAGTTAACAAGGATACTCATTTATCATGTACTGGTTAATAGTATATAATTTTATTTGTGGAAATGACAGAGTTTGGTCATTAAAGGAAATTGAAACTTCATCTCAGAATAATAAAAGCACTGCCTTCCATTTGTGGGATGCTCCTGAGAGCAGTAAACATGCTCCCCCTATTGTAAAGTATAGATATTAAAGTCTTTATAAAATGTCCTGACATCTACAGGAGGTTTTCTTCAAAAAAGAGAATCATGTGAAGCGCTGAATGAGATATCTTCTTCACTTTTTTTATTTTTATTTTTATTTTTATTTTGAAACAGAGTCTAGCTCTTGTTGCCCAGGCTGGAGTGCAATGGCACAGTCTCGGCTCACTGCAACCTCCACCTCTCGAGTTCAAGTGATTCTCCTGCCTCAGCCTCCTGAGTAGCTGGGATTACAGGCACACGCCACCACGCCCAGCTAATTGGTGTATTTTTAGTAGAGATGGGGTTTCACCATGTTGGCCAGGTTGGTCTTGAACTCCTGAGCTCAGATGATCTGCTTGCCTCGGCCTTCCAAAGTGCTGGGATTACAGGTGTGAGCCCCCGCACCTGGCCTGAATGAGAAATCTTCTAAAGGAGTAAGATGCCACAAGAATGGGGTGGGAAGACTGGACTTTTAACTGGTTTTGTCAGTCAGGATACAGTGAGAGAAAGAGAAACGATATCGGGAATTTCGAACACGCAGGATTTAATACAAGAATGATTCCTCAGGTGTTGGTAGACTGGAAGCACAAAAGGAATACTGAGGAAGTTTGGTTATTCAGTTTCCTTTAATAACCAAACAGTCATTTCCACAAATAAAATTATATGCTATTAAGCAGTATATGATAAATGACTATCCTTATAAACTACCTCAATTTCCTTCTCTGAAAACAGGGCAAACTTTAAGAAAATAAATAGGCATATATTAATTTGTACATACATGCATGCATCCCTACATCATTTATAAATTATTGGCCCTGTCATTTCTTCTGTCCCAGGAATTAGATATGAAATTTGCTACTACCCCTGAGCTGACGCAACAAAAGAAAAAAGATGCAAGTTGTTGAGGCAATGGTGCTCAGATCTCTGAGGAAGGGGCATAGCCACTGCTGATGGCGGCTCTACAGGACATAGAAGGTTCTGGAAGCTCCAGAAAAGCCCAGTTCCAGGCAGCTGCCTCTCTCTGAGCAACACTAAATTCGAAAAGTAGGAGTCCATTCTCTCTCTAGCACCACCTATTGGCAGAACGTAAGAAGTCAGCAGATGAGGGCGTAGGCTGCAGAAGGATGGGTATGGAGCTGAGAGGCAAGAGGGCATGACTGGTGCACGGGGGCGGGTGTTAGCTGGAGACACTCATGGAGTAGGATGGCGGGCAACATCCATGAAAAATAACTGAGACAGATGCAAAAGGAAAATAAGCTCTATGGCCACATTTTCCCAGAAGCGAGAAAGAAGCAAGTGAGAAACCAATTGAATGCTATTGCAAAACGGACCGCACTGATGCCCAAAGAAAGCTCATTCTCCCCTAACAAACTCTTCCACAATTGTTTAGTGAGTGGGAGAAAATTAGCGAAGATAACAGAGCTACTTAAGTGGTAGTGATTCTTTTCCACAATTCACATATTTACCCAATAGTCCCAGGTGTTTTACTCTGCTCTGCGTAGCTGCCAGCCAGAGCACTGCAGCCAGTGACTGGACTTTATTTGCATTTAACACTTTTTTTTTAAACAAAGTCTATTAATTTATTTAATCCTCCTGCAGGGCTACTCATCCATAAAAATATGATGTATTCAAAAATATGTCTACTTCTCTGGTGTGTGCAAAAGGGAAACAAGCCAGATTTAAAAAGCTACATATTGTATTATTTCATTCATATGATGTTCTGGAAAAGGCAAAGCTATAGAATGGAAAATCCTGTATCAGTAATTGTCAAGGAATGGAAAACCCTATATCAGTAATTGTCAGGGCTTGGGGAAGGAGGAGTAGTTGATTACAAAGAGGCTGCAGAAGGGAATTTTTAGGGTGATAGAACCATTATGTGTGGCAAAGTAGGAGAGGATTAATGACTGTGCACTTGTCGAGATCCATAAAACTTTATAGCACAAAATGTGAATTTCAATGTATGCAAAGTAAAAAAATAAATAATAAAGCCACAGGATGTTAGGGGACCCCAGAAAAGAATGTAGAATGTGACAGAAGAATCTAACTGTGTTACAATGTACGACACAACCTCACTGCAGGATATGGGTGAGGGAGGGAAGGATTGAACTAAGTAACTTTGGAAAACAGCATTTTGACTGAAAACTTGAAGGCTAAACACAAAAGCAGCTGTACCTATACAATGTATTCTAGTTGGTAATGTTGTTTCTCCTGGGATTACTGGCTAACAATTCCAGAACTGTGTTCCATGCATAGCAGGTTTGACAAGTAAATAAGTAAATGGATGGTGGAGGACAGTAGCCAGTTTTCTTGCTGTTCAAGAGGAAAGTTATAGAAAAGCAAAGGTAGGAAGCTAGGATGAAACAGTTTGTCCTAGATGAGAGACATCAGCATGAAGTCAGGTTTAGGTTTATATATATGTAATACATACATATAGAACTCCTTATGGTACATGTGTATACTCAGGCAGTTCTTAGGTCTAGAAGCCTAGAAGCAGTAACACCTGTGTAACAATAAGCCTGCCAAGTACCCTGATCTCAGTTACTATTCTCCAATCAAGAAATCAGGGCTCCTTGGGGAAATGGCTGGTTCCAGGACTGGTGCAACAAGCATACAAAAATGAGCCTGGAGTATCCTGTAGGGTGAGAAAGTAAGAAAATGCTCAAAAATCAAACTGATGGGGGGCATGCATGTCAAAGGGACTTACAAGCCAACCTGAAAGAGCTCCCAATGGCTGAAGCTGGAACAAGCTGAGCAACAAAATAAATAATGTAGCATTTTATTATAAAAATAAAAATAAAGACAAGTCTTCCCTTACAGAAGAATAACATATAATTTTTTTTTTTTTTTGTGACAGAGTTTTGCTCTTGTTGCCCAGGCTAGAGTGCAATTGCACAATCTCGGCTCACCGCAACCTCCGCCTCCTGAGTTCAAGCAATTCTCCTGCCTCAGCCTCCTGAGTAGCTGAGATTACAGGCATGTGCCACCACGCCCAGCTAATTTTGTATTTTTAGTAGAGACAGGGTTTCTCCATTTTGGTCAGGCTGGTCTCGAACTCCCGAACTCAGGTGATCCACCCTCCTCAGCCTCCCAAAGTGTTGGGATTACAGGTGTGAGCCACCGCACCTGGCCAACAAATAATTGATGTAAATATTGCTCTCTCCAGGAGGTGACAGGCTTCCAAAGAGTAGCATATGAAGAGGGATGAAGAACGGTAACTCCGCAGTGGAGAGACGCGACAAACGCTGCCTTGGCCAGAGGCTCAATGTTAACGTCATCAGTTGGTAGCATGAACTTTTGATATGATATGATAGGAAAGGCACTTCCTCTCTATGGCAGCCTTCCCCAAAGCCCATAATCCCAGTCTAATGGTGAGAAAATTGAGGAAAATTTTACAACATACCTGACCAGGACTCATCAAAACTGTCAATGTCATTTAAAAAAAAACGGAAAGACTGAGAAATTGTCAGAGACAAGAGGAGAGAGGGGAGACACAATGACAAAATGTCATGTGGTATCCTGGAGCAGAAAAAAGACATTACTGGAAAAAAATAGTGAAATCTGAATAAAGTGTGGAATGTAGTTTTCGGTAATGTACCAGTGTTGCTTTCTTGATTGTTGCAAATATGCCATGATAATGTAGGACATTAGCAATAAGGGAAATTGGATGAGGGGTATGGGAGAACTCTGTATTACCTTTGCGACTTTTCTATAAATCTAAAACTATTCAGAATTTTAAAAATTTACTAAAATACCATTGATATGGTTTGGATATGTATCCTCTCCAAGTCTCATTTTGAAACATAACCCTTTTTTTTTTTTTTGAGACGGAGTCTCACTCTGTTGCCAGGCTGAAGTGCAGTGGTGCGATCTCGGCTCACTGCAAGCCTCTGCCTCCCGAGTTCAAGCAATTCTCCTGCCTCGGCCTCCATTGTAGCTGGGATTACAGGCACACACCACCACGCCCGGCTAATTTCTGTTTTGTTTTCTTTTTGTTTGTTTGTTTTTGGTGTTTTGTTTTGTTTTGTTTTGTTTTTTTGAGATGGAGTCTCCCTCTGTCCCCCAGGCTGGAGTTCAGTGGCATGATCTGGGCTCACTGCAAGCTCCACCTCCCGGGTTCACGCCATTCTCCTGCCTCAGCCTCCCGGGTAGCTGGGACTACAGGTGCCCGCCACCACGCCCGGCTAATTTTTTGTATTTTTAGTAGAGACGGGGTTTCACCGTGTTAGCCAGGATGATCTCGATCTCCTGACCTCGTGATCTGCCCGTCTCGGCTTCCCAAAGTGCCGGGACTACAGGCATGAACCACTGCACCCAGCAGAAATATAACACTTAATGTTGGAGGTGGAGCCTGGTGAGAGGTGTTTGGGTCATGGGGGCGGGCCCCTCACGAATGACTTGGTGCCCTCCCTATGGTAATGAGTGTGCTCTTGCTGTGAGTTCACAAGAGATACGATTGTTTAAAAGTGTGTATCACCCCATCTCTCTTGTTCTCACTCTCCATATGACACACTGGCTCCCCATCACCTTCTGCCATGATTGGAAGCTTCTTGAGGCCTCACCAGGAGCAGATGCTGGCACTAGCTTCCTATACAGCCTGCAGAACCATTAGCCAATGAAACATCTTTTCTTCACAAATTACCCAGCCTCAGGTATTTTTTAATAGCAATGCAAAAATGGCCTAATACAACCAATTACAAAACATCCCCAAATATAAAGTACCTAGAGATAAAATGAACAAAGATATGTTAGATTGCTGTCTAAAAAAACCAAGTTATTGCTGAGACATTACATTTAACCTAAACAACAAAAACAATATGCTGTGTTCATGGATTGCAAACTCAATATTATTAACATAACAATTGCCCCAAACCTAACTGATTGAACCAAGCAGAATTCTTTTTTGTAGAAATCGACAAGACAATTTTGAAATTTATATGGGCATGCCAAAGGGATGCGAAACAACTGTGAAAATAAAACACAGTTGGAGCACCTATTCCACCTAACTTCAAGACTTACTTTTTTTTTTTTTTTTTTTTTTGAGATGGAGTTTTGTTCTTGTTGTCCAGGCTGGAGTGCAGAGACACGATCTCAGCTCACTGCAACCTCTGCCTCCAGGGTTCAAGTGATTCTCCTGCCTCA
Source organism: Homo sapiens (assembly GCF_000001405.40). Classification (NCBI taxonomy): domain Eukaryota; kingdom Metazoa; phylum Chordata; class Mammalia; order Primates; family Hominidae; genus Homo; species Homo sapiens. The sequence continues at coordinate 12,542,033 of NC_000017.11, read as the reverse complement.
GCCTCCCGAGTAGCTGGAATTACAGGCACCCACCACCACACCTGGCTAATTTTTTGTATTTTTTAGTAGAGACAGGGTTTCATCATGTTGGCCAGGCTGGTCTCAAACTCCTGACATCAGGTGATCCACCTGCCTCGGCCTTCCAAAGTGCTGGGATTACAGGCATGAGCCACCGCGCCTGGCCAAGACTATTAAGTGACTATAATCAGAACTGTGTTGTATTAACAACAACAAAAATGGACAAGTTATCATTGGAACAGAATACAGAGCCCACAAATAGACCCACTTACATACAGTCAAATGATTTTTGAAAAAATGTAAGAGCAATTCAACGGAAAGGAAAGTCTCTTCAACAAATGATATTGGAACAACTGGATTCTAATATGGTAAAAAGAAGCTCAATCCCTATCTCACAACAAGTCACAAATTAATTTGAGGTAGATCACAGGCTACATGTAAAACCCGGAACTATAAAACTTCTAGAAGAAACCATAAGGCAAAAAAAAATCTTCTCACCTTAGAGATACAAAGATTCCTTAGAGAGGACACAAAAAACATTAACAAAGTGATAGATGGAAGTTCATCAAAGTTTCAAACTTTTACTCATCAAAGAAACCATTAAGAAAATTAACGGGCAAACCACAGACTGGAAGAAAATATTCACAACACATATATCTTGTGAAGGGCCCGTATCCACAATATATAAAAACTTTTATAACTCAATAATAAAAGAAAAATGACCTAATAAAAAAAAGCAAAGATTTGAAGAGATACTGCACAAAAGAAGACAGGAGAATAGACAAAAATACGTAAGAAAGTTTCCATCATCGGCATCAGTGATTTGGGAAATGCATATTAAAACCACAAAAAGGTTTTACCGCACACCATTAGAATGAAAATAATTGGGCTGAGCATGGTTAAAATGAAAATAATAGGGCTGAGCATGGTGGCTCATGCCTGCAATCCCAGCGCTTTTGGAGGCTGAGGTGGGAGGATTGCTTGAGGGCAAGAGTTTGAGACCAGCCTGGGCAATACAGCAAGACCCTGCCTCCACAAAAACCTTTTTTTTTTTGAAGTCAGCCAGGTGTGGTTGTGGCGGTGTGACCTACAGCACTAGCTTTGTGGGAAGATGGTTTGAGCCCAGGAATTCTAGGCTGCAGTGAGATAGAATTGCACTACTGCTCTCCAGCCTGGGTGACAGAGCAAGACCCTGTCACTAAATAAATAAATAAATAAATAAATAATAAAAAGGCAAAAAAAGAAAAAGAAAATGATTGATCACATCAAACCAAATACTGGAAAGGATTCAAAGTAACTGAGACTCTCATACATTACTGGTAGGAAAGTAAAATTGTGCAAACGTTGAAAATTGTTTGGAAGTTTCTTAAAAGCATACCTTTATCCTATGACCTAGAATTCTACTTCTAGGTATTTATCAAAAGCAATGAAAACATGTGTTCCCAAAAAGACTTATACAAGGATATTCATAGCATATTCTTAATAATCCCAAACTGAAATATTCATCAGCATCAACTGAAGAACAGATACATTGTACAATGGAATATTACTCAATTGTAAGAAGGAATAAACTACTGCTTCATATGACAGTTGGGATGAATCTCAAAAACATTATTTTGGGTGAAAAGTCAGAAACCAAAGAATATGTGCTATATTATTTCATTTACATGAAATTCTAGAATGGACAAAACTAATCTATGGTGATAGTGGTTGCTTCTGAGGTTGAATGACTGGGGAAGGGCGCAAGGGATTTCTAGGATAAACTAAGTATTCTCTGTCTTGATAAGAGAGAGTTACCCAGGTTTGAGATCACGCCGCTGCACTCCAGCCTAGGCGACAGAGCGAAACCCCATCTCAAAAAAAAAAAAAAAAAGAAAAGAAAAAAAAGAGAGAGAGAGAAACTTACCCAGGTGTAATTTGTCAAAACAGATCGAAATTGTATGCATCACTGTATGTAGATTATGTCTCATTTTAAAAAGAATCCATGCAAATTATGAAAGTTCTAGGAGCAGTGTAAGAATAACATAAATTCGGGCAGGGCGTGGTGGCTCATGTCTGTAATCCCAGCACTTTGGGAGGCTGAGGCAGTGGATCACCTGAGATCAGGAGTTTGAGACCAGCCTGGCCAACATGGTGAAACCCTGTCTCTACTAAAAATACAAAAATTAGCTGGGTGTGGTGGCACACTCCTGTAATCCCAGCCACTTGGGAGGCTGAGGCAGGAGAATCGCTTGAACCCAGGAGGCGGAGGTTGCAGTGAGCCGAGATCATGCCATTGCACTCCAGCCTGGGCGACAGAGCAAGACTCTATCTCAAAAAGAAAAAAAAAGAAAGAAAGAAAGAAAGAAAAAAGAATAGCATAAATTCAATGATAAAAGACATTGAAAAGGATATGGTTAAAAAAGAGAATAAAATAGAAAAATGAATTGGAGAGGATGAATTGAGGGCCCAAATTGCACAAATATACAACAAATTTAGTAGAAAGAAATAAAATTGACATCACTGAATACTTAATTACTAACACATAATAAAGGACTGAAATAATGATAATGATAACAGAAAATCCCAAGATAATAAAGTGATTAGATCATGATAATAGACCATGCATACCTCAGCTGCCTGTAACCTAGACCTTTTACCAATAACTCAAAGCCCTCTCTACCGTCATCTCTTACGTCTCATTCTGACTTATCTACTCAGAGCACCTGGTATCCTGACCCTGAAATTTTTCAATTTCACTAGGACTTTCCATTTAAAAAGCATTTTTCAATGTTTTTCACATTTTGATGTCCTACTTCCTTCTCACCCAGCTGAAATTCCAAGGTCGATAATTATGAATTGTTCCCTTGGACATACCCCCAACTCCTTTGTCCTTCCCTAACTTTATAATTCTCACTTAGCAAAAGCAGAACGTTGGTTAAACTCAACTTTCTGCCTCTCCTGCTGCTGCACTCAAGTTGAATATAGGTGGAAAAATTTGTACAAACACACTGGCTTCAATTTAAGTTCATTATTATCCCCCTCAAGTGGACCTTAATGCTGTCTGCAATTGTACATACTTGCCTAGACAATTCTCTTCCAATCTCCTGAGTGACAATTTAACTCCCTACCCTCTCTGCTCAAACCTCCAATACCTCCTTCCCCATTCTTATTTTTAGTTAGACATATGGCCTCTTACTTCACTGAGATCTTCAAAGCAATCAGCAGAGAACCTCCACAGATGTCCACCACAACATCTACCCACCTGCCGGTGTCTGCACACCACACGTTCTGTCTCTCTGTGTGGTCCTACACAAAAACCATCCACACTCCACTCCCACCTAAGGCCAACAGCTGTACTAAGGCACCAGGCTCCTGACCCCTTGCTCACACGGGGAAGCTTATTCAACAGTGAACTCTTCTCACCCATTTTATTCCTATCAGTCAAGTAACATGCCACTTGACTGATATGGTAAATATCAGTACCATATTATTCCTATCAGTCAAGTAACATGCCACTATTTCTTAAAAATAAACAAAACCAAAAAGTCCTCTTCTCTTGGCCTTACCTCACTCATTGATTATTATACAATTTATTTGTTCTTTTTTGCAGCAAAACTCTTTTTGTAACAACAACGGCAGCAACAAAGTTATGTAATCCTAATGTCTCCAATTTGTTTCCTCCCATTGTCTTTTAAATTCATTCTAATTAAACTTTACCCAAAACACCCAAGGTTAAACTTTACCCAAACTACTCCTCTTACCAAAGTTGCCAATAAGCTCTATGTTGCTAAATCCAATGTCAATTATTAAGTTCTCACTTTTTTTTTTTTTGCCATATCAACAATATTTTCAACTGATCATTCCTTCCTTCTTTGATACATTTTCACCTGGTTTCCAAGGCACCAAACACTTTCTTAGCTTGCCTTTCACCTCACTGATAATATATTGAGTCAGTCATCTCAGTCATCTCCGCTGTTCTACTTCTTCTGCCTCACCTTTTAATTCCAGTGTTTCCTGGGGCTTAATGTTTGGTCTCTTTTCTTCTCTGCCTCATTCAATCCCTTGGAGAAATTATTTGGTTAACTAAATTAGAGCTGCAGCCAGATCTCTTTCTTGAACTCCACATTTGTTTGCCCAACTATCTATTCAACTTCTTCACATGAATGTCTGATAAAATATCTTAAATTTGATATTTCCCAGACTGAATTCCTATACACTCCATTCTTCCAGTTGCTTAAGCTAAAAAATTACCTAGTTAACCCTGACTCTTCCTATTTCTCTCAAATTCCATACATGATCAAATGCTCTCTCTGTTTTCAAAGTCGAAAGCTTTGTTCAGAGTCACTAGGCTGTAACCAAGGTGTTGGTCAGGCTATCCTTCCCTGAGCTAGGGAAGAAATATGCTTCCAAGCTTATTCAGGATGTTGGCAGAATCTGACTCATCATATCTCTGGCTACCATCTTTGTCTATGAGTTATCACCACATACTTGCACCTAGAAAATGGGTCGAGACCATTGCATTTCCCACCGAGCATAGAGTACATTTGTAGTCATCAAATACAATTATTAAAACCTCATTTGGAAAACTGATTTGGATCAGGAATCACGTCAATATTACCACATAAACTAGAATTTACTGTAAAGTAAGAAGTCTTATTGATTCTGGAAGACTTCTTTGACTAGTTGGAAGTAAGAGTAAGTTCCTTACTCATCTTTTTTGCCTTTGTTTTTACCTGACAATCACTTTTCTTTTTTTTTTGAGACGGAGTCTCGCCCTGTTGCCCAGTGTTGCCCAGGCTGGAGTGCAATGGCGTGATCTTGGCTCACTGAAACCTCCGCCTTCCAGGTTCAAGCGATTCTCCTGCCTCAGGGTCCCAAGTAGCTGAGATTACAGGTGCTTGCCACCATGCCTGGCTAATTTTTTGTGTCTTTAGTAGAGACGGGGTGTCACCATGTTGGCCAGGCTGGTCTCAAATCCCTAACCTCGTGATCCGCCTGCCTCGGCCTCTCAAAGTGCTGGGATTACAGGCATGAGCCATCGCACCCGGCCTGACAATCACTTTTCAAGTAACAGAACAGTTTGGACATGCTCATTCTTATACCAAACTTCCAAGACTTTTAAGTTACACAAACTTTTTTTTTCAGAATGTCAAAGGGGATAATTATCCTCCTCCAAAGATAAGCAAGACTTCATTATTCTATCCAAAGCCTACAGTAGACTTTTGATTTTTTGACTTCTAACCTCTGAGTACAAATAATGTCTGTACTTGAAGTTTTCCTTTGAGTACATTAGTCAGTATAGATTCAACACTTGACACAAGGGCACATGCATGAGAGTACATGTGTCCACTGTTAATGTTCTTTGATGACGACAGAGAAATTCCATCACATATGATACATTTACATTCTTTCATTAACTACTCTATACCAGATGACCTCCACAATTTTACAGGAAGTGCTGATCTCCATTTTCTAATTTTATTCTACTTTTGAAAGAACTGAGACCATATTGTCATAATTAAACATTATTCTGGAGGTTCAGGTAAGGCCTTCTCTCTAAGAGGTGATTTTCACATAAAGGAGAAAACTGGCCTTGGTTTTAGAAGACTTAGATTCACTTCTGGCTCTGCCACTACTCGCTGGGAAACTTGAGCAAACAACTTAATCTCTCAGCTTCAACAGAATACTTACACATCGTGCAGGATTATAATGAGTATCAAGTGAGGTAATGTGGGTAAACACATATTAAAACTAGTTAAAGTTCTGCTCAAGTGTAATTCAACAATTTCCACAGCCAGTTTACCTTGGTGAATAAACACACTTAATCATAGCCTGATAAAATTTTCTCTTGGTACACTGGAGTCTTGCAAATGCCTAAGGAAGGATAGATCATAAAGCAATGTAGTAACCCAGGTGGAGAAACAGCACGTGGCATGGTTCTGCCTGTGTCAGGCCACACTGAAAAGGGTAAGGCAGGGGCAGAGTTAGCCTTCTGGTTTTGTACTTTCTTTTTTTTCTTTTCTTTTCTTTTTTTTTTTTTTTTTTTTTTTTGAGATGGAGTCTCACTCTGTCACCAGGCTGGAGTGCAGTGGCGCAATCTCGGCTCACTGCAACCTCCGCCTCCCAGTTTCAAGCAATTCTACTGCCTCAGCCTCCCGAGTAGCTGGAACTACAGGAGCACGCCACCACGCCCAGCTAATTTTATGTGTGTGTTTTCAGTAGAGATGGGGTTTCACCATGTTGACCAAGATGGTCTCCATCTCTTGACCTCATGATCCTCCCGCCTCGGCCTCCCAAAGTGCTGTGATTACAGGCGTGAGCCACCACGTCTGGTTGGTTTTGTGCTTTCTTACATCCCTTGCTTTGATAGTGCCTAAGTTTTCTATTGCTGCGTATCAAATGACCATAAACATAGTGGCTTCAAACAGTACACATTTATTTCACAGTTAGGAAACTGAGTATAGCCTAGCTGAGTGATTTCTTCAGAGTCAGTAGGCTGTAACCAAAGTGTTGGTCAGGTTATATTTTCATTTAATGGCTCAGCTGGGGAAGAATCTGCTTCCAAGCTTATTCAGGATGTTGGCAGAATTAATCTCCTGTGGCTGCATGACTGAGGGCCATGGCTTTTTGCTAGCTGTTGACTGAAGGTTGCTCTGAGATCTTAGGCGCTGACAGCAGATCCTGGAGCGCACCCGCAGTTTCTTGCCAATTAGGCTTCTCCAACTTGGCCACTTACTTCATTAAGCCTCTAAGGAGGGACTTTAGTTTCAATCTACTAGGATGGAGTATTATATAAAGTAATGTAATAATGGCCATCACATCCCACCACCTTTGCATATAATACTGCCTAATCATGAGATATACCACCTATCGTTGCATGTAATACCACCTAATCATGCATTATCTTTGCCACATTGGTTAGAAGCAAGTCACAGGTCTTGCCTACCCTCAAGGAGAGAGAATTACATAAGGGCATGGACTCCAAGAGACAGGGATGATATGGGTACACTAAAGCCTGTTCATCATAAGCAGCACCTATACTTTTTTCCAGAGAATCAAAGACTTGGGATAAGTTGGAGGAAAGGTTATATAGTTATCGTAAACAATCAGAAAAATTTTCTTTTTTCCCCAGATTTTATATACAAAGATTGCCACTGTCCAGTACCCTATTCATTAGAAACCTTGGGTATCAGAGATCGGCACCCTGTTGAGTTTTATGGCAATGATTTTGTTCCAGCTGCTCAGTAGCAGGAGAAAATGTTTTATTGAGGTGTGTTCAAAACCAAGGAATAAGGATGCCACAGGAATGGCTAAAAGGGAGTGATTACTGGGGCTTACCTGGAATGGATGAGCGGTGGCTTCTCTGTGTACTCAACATTATTGCTCTCTCTTAAGTTCATCTATCTCACTCCTGGCTTTGGTTTATCACTCTCCCTATGGTCTTAGCTCTAGCCCATATCCTCCTGACTTCAGCCTCTTTTGGCAGCTGCAATCCTTCTATAAATTTTGTTCAACTTCCTGAGACAGAGAGTCCATTGTCTAACTCACTTTAAAAACAAAACAAAAAAACAGGGCACTAATTCAGATCACAAGGTGATATGAGCCTTTGTATTCTTTTCTCATGGGTCCATATACATGCTGGTTCTTTTAGCTAAATCCTGGGGTTGAAGTACACTGTTCAAAGCTTGTTCAACTTGCTGCAGCTTTCTTTTGCAAGGACTATAGAAAGGAAAGCCTCTGGCCGGGCGCAGTGGCTCAGCCTGTAATCCCAGCACTTTGGGAGGCCTAGGCAGGTGGATCTCCTGAGGTCAGGAGTTCAAGACCTGCCTGGCCAACATGAAACCCCATCTCTATTAAAAGCACAAAAATCAGCCCGGCGTGGTGGTGGGAGCCTGTAATCCCAGCTACTCAGGAGCCTGAGGCAGGAGAATAGCTTGAACCCAGGAGGCGGAGGTTGCAGTGAGCCGAGATCGCGCCATTGCACTCTAGCCTGGGCAACAAGAGTGAGACTCCGTCTCAAAAAAAATTTAAAAAATGAAAGGAAAGCCTCTGTGACAACTCAGTGATGGTCATTTTCAGTCAAAAAGAAAAGTAATCACCATATCCGTGATTTTAAAATATTTCTGATATTTCTGAAAAATATCCAATATGTTTAAAATTTTTTAGTTTTGCAAAAGAAAACTAATCATCACATCCATTACTAAGGGCATGATGGTCTAAGGTTCTGCAGTAAGATAGCATTATAGTAAGAATTCTCAAAAAGATGAAGAGAGCACAAAGCGTAGCATCTGGATCTGAAAACAATATGTATAAATTGTAAATGCAATCAAACTATTGACAGACTAGCTACTGCTGAGAAAACGCTTTGATGGTCTGCAAGATCAAATGAAAAAAATATTTTACAAGGAACATAAACAAATTAAAACCATAAATGAGAATAGAAGAAGCTTAGAGGAGGCCAGGTACGGTGGCTCATGCCTGTAATCCCAGCACTTTGGGAGGCTGAGGCAGGCAGATTACCTGAGGGCAGGAGTTCGAGACCAGCCTGACCAATATGGTGAAATCCCGTCTCTACTAAAAGTACAAAAATTAGCCAGGCATGGTGGTGGGCGCCTGTAATCCCAGCTATTAGGGAAGCTGAGGCAGAGAATTGCTTGAACCTGGGAGGCAGAGGTTGCAGTGAGCCGAGATCTCGCCACTGCACTCCAGCCTGGATGACAGAGTGAGACTCCATCAAAAAAAAAAAAAAAAAAAGAAGAAGAAGAAGAAGAAGAAGCTTAGAGGATAGATACAATATACCTAATATGCAAATAAGGAAAATTCTAGAAGAAGAAAAAAAGGTCAAATATAAGAAAAGCAATAACTGTAGAAGGAATACAAATTTCAACTTCAGACATATGGTTAATTTGATGAATGCTTTCAGAAATTCCCCCAACACAATTCATAAAAACAATGTGATGAATAGAAACAATTTCTGAGGTACTAGTTGTGTCAAAAGAGGTGAGGAAGCCATGAAAATAAGTAAATTGTTTCCCATTTAGTAGGTAGCCCAGACTAGAGCAGTGAATATCTTGGAGAATGTAATTGCTTGAATTAGGTTGCCCACAGCAGCAATGCTATTGGTGTGCTAAGTTCTCACAGCGAGGTATTTTCACTCACGAATAAAGACCCTCTGAAGAACTAAAGATGAGCAAGGTTAATTAAATCTGGCTACCAGCAGAAGCAGAAGTAAATTCAGTCAGGATAAAACCTTCCCCAGTTGAGGCCCAAATGATTCCCAGAAACTAAGATTAAGCAATAAGCTTACATCAAAGATCAACATTATCAAACATATTACAAGTGAAGCTACTATTAATGGCATTTGGCAGAAACAACAGACAATATACTTAGATCCACAAGTATTGCAAATATTGGAACTGTTAAATACAAAACAGAGTTGAATATCTCAAATGTTCCAAAAATTAAAGATGCTATTACAAAGAGGAGAATGCAACAAGAGACCATCAAATGCGGTCCTTTAGGTGCTTTAGCAGTGTATAATTGTAAACCAGAAGTAAGAGTGTACTTGCCGATTTGAAGAAACAAAAGGTCTAGAAATGAAAAATATCATTGTTGAAACAAAAACTTTCAAAGTTAGATTAAATAGGAGATAAGAACTAAAAAAAGATGCAGTTCAGAGAAACAGGGAGATGGAAAACATGTAATAGATGTTAAGAAATATGAATTATGGAATAATAAAGTCTACTGTACATTTTATTGGGTACCCAAAGTAGAGATTAGTGAACAGAGGAAAGGCACTATTTTAAGAGGTAGTAGTTGTAATTTTTTAGAAATTATTATTTTTTAAACCATAAACTCAAAAACCCAAGAAGCACAAAGTATGCCAAAAAACAAGTACATTAAAGGGAACAAATTTCTAGATATACCAGAGCAAAACTGAAAAGCAGAAAAAAAAAGTTAGAAGCAAGTAAGGAAGATCACCACATACACAGGAATGGAAAAAATAAATAAATAAATGATAACAACCTTTTCAACAGCAAATATGAAAGCCAGAAGACAATGGAATAACATTTTTGAAATGATAAGAGAAAGTAACAATCAACCTAGAATTGGTTGCCAAGAAAGTTACCTTCAAGAATGAGGGTAAATATAAAGATATCTGTAGAGATAGACAGAGTTTAAAACCAAGCAACTTGCACTTAGGAAACTTATAGATGATATCGTTTAAAAGAAAAAAAAATGATGTCAGGAAAACATCTTGAAGTGTACAAAGAAAAGATAATCAGATATTAAAATTTAAGCCAAGTATTTACATTTGGAGAAATAGTAAGGTTTATAATAATATATTTGGGGCTATAAAAGAGAACAAAACTACTGAACAAAAAAATAGCATGCTTGTTAGGAATGAATGATCGGATTAAAAGTATTTTACATAGAGTAAAAGAAAAAGTCAAATGTACTGTCGACATCTAAGAAGAAGAAAGGCAGGAAGAGAAACAGAAGCAATATTTAGCGAGAAAGTGAGTGAGATATTTCCAAAATTAATGAGACAAGTCAGATATTCAAGAAGCCCTGTTTGTACTGCCTCTAAGTATCAAAATTAAATTCATTTACAGACACATCATAGTCAAACTATTAAAAATATACAAGGAGAAAATCTTAAAAGGAGTTGAAGATTATCTTTAAAGAAGAAACATTTAGACAGACAGTAGATTTGTCAACCTAAACAATGGAAGCTACAAGTTAATTAAGTTATCTCACAATAAAAAAAAATACTGCCTTTCTAGAATTCTCTACAAATTGAAAACTAATTTTTAATAATATAGTATACATTTATGTATTCAAACAAGACAAAAATGAGAGAATTTATTCCCATCAGGACCACACTAAAGGAAAAGCTAAAAGATGTTCTCAAGCACACCGTTATAAATCTAAATAGAATCTGAAAGAGGCAGGAAAAATCAAGATATACATATATGTATGACTATATATACATAAAGTTACAATAATTAAGAGTGTAGAAATACTCCTACTTGTTGCAAATATAGCTGAACAGAGCAATGGAAAATAATAGCGTCCAGGAATAGATCTGCATGGTCACAAAACTATAGCATAGTGGGGAAATACCATACTGGGGATGGCCTTTTCAACAAACGATGGTCAATATATATACAGAAAAAATTAAATGACCTCTACCTCAGAAATCAATTCCACATGAATTTTAAATATATATGTGAAAAACAAAACAACTTAGCTTCTAGAAGATAATATAGAATATATTTATGACCATGTCACAAAAAAGTGTTTGCAACAAGATACAAAACACTCTAAATACAATAAAATATTATAATGAATTTTACCATTTTGACATTAAGAATTTCTCTTCATCAAAATATTTCTGTGGGTGCCTGAATTTTTAAAATGCTCCATCCCCAAGACTTAATTCCCCAATCCCTGGAACCTGTGGATGCGATGAGATATCGCTCCTATGATTGTGTTATGGTATATGGCATGTTTCATTTGTCAAAACAGAGATTATCCAGGGCTAATCACATGAGCCCTTAAAAGCAGGGAAATTTTGGTGGCAGAAAAAGAAGGCATAAGAAGTCAGAGAGATTTGAGGAGTGAGAAACACTACACACACGATTGCTGCCTTTGAACTTGGAGGGAGTCATCTGAGATGGAATGCGGGTGGCAGTAAGGAAAGGGAAACTCAGATCTACCACCACATGGAGCTGTACTCTACCAACAACCTAAATGAGCTTAGAGGAAAATTCTTCCCCTTCAGCCTCTAGATAAGAATTCATCCTGCCTGACACCTTCATTTCACCCTTGTGAGGCCGTGACCAGAGAACCCCACCAAACTCTCCAAGACTTCTGACCTACAGAATTGTGAAATAATAAATGAGTATTGTAAGATGTCTTATAGCATCTTATTAAATAGTATGTAACAAGTATATATACAATATGCATTGTATGGCTAACATCATGCCATTAAGCAATTGGAAAGGCCCGCCACCAAATGTAAAAAGAATTCCTAAAAATCAATAAGAAACCACTAGACAACCTGGCAGAAAAATGTTCACAAGACTTGATCAGGTACTTCAAAAATGCATATCTAAAAGGCTAGTAAACACAGGGAGAGGTGTTAGATCTTTGTCATTGGAGAAATGCAAATAAAAATCACAGTGGAATACACATAAAGCTGGCTAATATGAAAAGGACTGGCAATACCAAGTATTAGTGAGCAATAGAAACTCTCATAAATTAATTGTAAAAGGGTAAATTGGTATCACCACTTTGAAAATAATCTGGCTGCAAAAGATGAATATATGTGTATCTTCAATGACACAGCAATTCTTCTGCTAGGTATATTCCCCACAGAAATGCATACACCTGTGCAGGAATGTTTACAACACTATTTGTAATAACCTCAGATTGGAAACAAACCAAATGTCCACCAAGGGTAGAATCTAGAGCAAACTGTTGCATGTTCTTCAGTGAAATGTTACATATGATATTCAATGGAATATTATTGGTACAAAACGCACAAATGAATTAAATAAGCACAATACAAAAGAATTCGTGTTGTTTGATTCCTTGTTTATAATGTTCAGTAGGTGAAACTAATCAGTATGCAAGAAGTCAGAATAGTGGAGGAGAAAGGAACTAATGATTAATAGAAGACATGGCTGAGGTTTCTGGGCTTTTTTTTTTCTATTTCTTGATTTTGTGGTACTTTGAGGTTCATTTTGAGGTTAAATAATTGAGCTGTACATTTTGTCTTTTGTGTGTTCTTTATATGTGAATATTTTACATAATTATAATAACATTTAAAATAAAGTATAATTTTAATAAAATAATAAAAAATAAAGAAAAAACTTGTCCAAAAATGTGGGACAAGTAGAAATAAGAAAGTAAAATAGTAGCAACTAGTTCAAATATATAAATAATCACCAAAAACATGAATTCATTACATCCACCTTCTAAAATACAGAGATTGAGGCTGGGCATGGTGGCTCACGCCTGTAATCCCAGCACTTTGGGAGGCTGGGTGGATTGCTTGAGCTCAGGAGTTCAAGACCAGCCTGGGCAACATGGTGAAACCCGGTTTCTACTGAAAATAGAATAGGTGGCCCACGCCTGTAGTCACAGCTACTCAGGAGGCTGAGGTGGGAGATGACTTGAGCCCCAGGAAGCGGAGGTTGCAGTGAGCCAAGATCATACCACTGCACTCCAGGCTGGGTCACAGAGCGAAACCTTGTCTCAAAAAAAAAAAAAAAAAAAAAAAAAGGAACAGAGATTGAATGGTTAGATTAAGAAAAATATCAAACTCCATTGCATTTGGAAGAGACACAACTAAAACATAAGAAATATAAGAACACTGAAATGTTCAGAGTAAGATGAGTCAGAAATAGCCACATATCTCTCTCAATTATGGATAAATCAAATAGATAAAAAAGTCAATAACAATATTTAGGTTTGAACAACACAAATTATAAATTTGTACTGATGCCCTTAAGTAGAACTCAGCATCCAACAGCCCTGAGATATACATTCTCCTCAAGCACACATGGTTTATTTTCTGAAGTTAATCATGGACTAGGGCATCAAGTAATTCTACAAAAATTCAAAGAGCCTGAGTAAGAAAATCCACACTTTCTTGCCACAAATACTACAAATGTAATTATTTCCACTCATAGCTGTATATACAGCAGAAATTCTTGTTCCTGTGCCTCAGTGGAGGTGAACGAGAATGTCTCACCAGGACAAATGAAATAGGAATAGCTCAAATCTCTATCAACAGGCAAACAGTTAAAAACATCATAGTTCATTACCATTAAAAAAATATTAACTAGCAGTGAAAATGCACAAGCTAGAGCTGCACACATGATTGAATCTTAAAAAACAAAAATTGAGTGGCCGGACGTGGTGGTTCATGCCTGTAATCCCAGCACTTTGGGAGGCTGAGGTGGGTGGATCACCTGAGGTCAGGAGTTCAAGACCAGCCTGACCAACATGGAGAAACCCCATCTCTACTAAAAATACAAAATTAGCCGGGCATGGTGGTACATGACTCTAGTCCCAGCTACTTGGGAGGCTGAGGGGAAAATCGCTTGAACCTGGGAGGCAGAAGTTGTGGTGAGCCAAGATTGTGCCATTGCACTCCAGACTGGGCAACAAGAGCAAAACTTTGTCTCAAAAAAAAAAAAAAAAGTATGGTGTTAAAAAAGCATGATCCAGAGACTACATACATATAGTTATATATGTACATATAACCTTTTCAAAACTTGATGGTAGATAAAAAAAATAAACAGGATATTGGAAAAATACAATCATCAAGATGTATAGTATAGACCTTTCCTATGTAACAAATGGAAAATTATATATGGTTTCTTATGCCCATAAACATCTATGAATTTTGATCATGTAGTTGGTTTCAAAGAAACCCTTAACACATTCCAGACTGTACAGTTTTAAAGAACAAAATCCATGACTATCATACAAGAAAACATGAAATAAACATAAAAAATGTTAAATACAAAAAATTAGCCGGGCGTGGTGGCGGGGGCCTGTAGTCCCAGCTACTCGGGAGGCTGAGGCAGGAGAATGGTGCGAACCCGGGAGGCGGAGCTTGCAGTGAGCCGAGATTGTGCCACTGCACTCCAGCCTGGGTGACATCCGTCTCAAAAAAAAAAAAAAAAAAAAAAGAAGAGACTTCGTCAAAAAAAACCCCATGGATTTTAAAGAACACAATTCTAATGCCTGTGTTTGATAAAATAAACCCAACAATATATAGCTAATGAAAAAGAAAACTCTGTATTAACACCTGTGATTTATAGCTAAAACTTATTTTGGAAAAAAAATTATGGTGTTTTGTTTTTGTTATTTATAAAAATAAATTGAAATTAAATGAGCTATGATGTTATTTTGACAAAAAAGCACAAGGAAATCAAAATAGAATATGAAAATTACTTGAAATTGCAAGAATTGCAAGGGACCCAGAATAGTCAAAACAATCTTGAAATAGAATGACAAAGTCAGAAGACTTCTGGACTTTGAAACTTACTACAAAGCTACAGTAGCCAAATGATGCGGTACTGGCATAAGGATAGACATATAGACCAATGGAGTAGAATTGAGAGTCCAGAAATAAACCCACGTATCTATCTCAACCGATATTTGACTAGAATGCTGAGGCCACTGAATAAGAAAAGAATACTCTGTTCAACAGATGGTGCTGGGACAACTGGATACCACATGCAAAAGAATGAATTTGGACCCTCACCTCACATTGTTATACAAAAATTAACCCCAAATCAAGGCCAGGCATGGTGGCTCACATCTGTAATCCTAGCACTTTGAGAGGCCAGGGAGGGCCAATCACTTGAGGCCAGGAGTTTGAAACCAGCCTGGCCCACGTGGCAAAATCCTATCTCTACTAAAAATACAAAAAATTGCTGGGCATGGTGGTGCACACCTGTACTCCCAGCTACTCTGGAGGCTGAGGCATAAGAATTGCTTAAACCAGGTAGGCAGAGGTTGCAGTGAACCAAGATTTCACCACTGCACTCCAGCCTAAATGACAGCATGAGATTCTGTCTGAAAAACAAACAAAGAACCAAAACAACAAACAAAAATGGGTCAAGGCCTTAAATGTAAGAGGTAAAATTATAAGGGGCAAATCTTCATGACCTTGGATTTGGCAATGCATTCTTAGATATGATATCAAAAGCATAAGCAACAAAAGAAACATAGATAAATTGGACTTTATCAAAATGTGTAAAAACTTTGGTTATCAAAGGATATTATTATCAAGAAAATGAAAGGCAATCTACAGAATGGAAAACATATTTGCAAACCATGTATTTGAGAAGAGACACATTTAGAATGTATAAGAACTCTTATAACTCTATCATAAAAAGAGTCTAATTTTTTAAATGGACAAAGAAACTGAAGACACATTTCTCCAAAAAAGATAAACGAATGGTCAATAAGCACATGAAAAGATGCTAAACATCATTAGTCAACATGGAAATACAAATCAAAACAACAGTGAGATTCACTTCACACTTACTCATTAAGATTGCTAGAATCTGAGAGTAAGGCCATAAGTATTGGTAAGGCTGTGGGGAAACCTGAACCGTTTTACACTGCAAAATTGTACAACCTCTTTGGAAAATAATTTGGCAGTTCTTCAATGGTCAAACTTATGATCCGGCAACATCTACCGAAGAGAACTGGCAATGTATAGCCACATAAAAACATATTCATGAATGTTTATAATAGCATTATTTATGAATAGCCAGAAAGGTGGCACAAATCCAAATGTTTCTTATTTGATGAGTAGATAAACAAACGTATATCTGTACAATGGAATATGATTCAGCTATATAAAGGAATGAAGTACCAATACTTACTACAATATGCATGAGCTTTGAAAACATGTGAAGTGAAAGAAGCAAGTCAGAAAAGACTCCATATTATGTGATTCCATTTGTATAAAATGACCAGAATTGGGAAAGCCACAGAAACAGAAAGTAGAGGAATGGTTCCTTAGGGGTTGGGGGGCAATAGGAGTTTGGAGGTTATAGCTAAACAGCCTGACATTTCTTTTTAAGTTGGACTATGGTGATTGCTCCACATATCTGTGAATACACTATTGAATATACTAACAACCACTGAATTCTACCCTTTAAGTGGGTGAACTCTATAGTAAGTGAATATCTCAATACAATTATTATTTTAAAAAATCAAAATAAACATAGAGAAAGTTGGAGAGGAGAATTAAAAGAATAAAGACAAAATTAATAATATATGAAAAAAAAACCCACCGGAAATGACAACTAAAACCAAATCTGGTTTTGTAAAGTCAATGTCGATCACTCTTATCAAGTCTCATTCCTAATAGAAATGCTAAAAAAGTAAAAGTTCTTCAAATTAGCAGTATTTACCTAAAGACAGCATAATATGTAAAGTAAAATAATTATGTATAAAGCTATTCCAATGACAATCATTGCTGGGGAAGGTTTTAGAATTTTTATTTAATGGATTACACAGAGAAAAACATGATGAAAGCGTACATAATGAAAATAAAAAGGTAGAGTTATCATTATTTAGGAATGACGCAATTGCATATGTTGAAAGTTAAGAAAATTTCAGAATTAATAAGATAATTTGATAAGGTGGCCATATGTAAAGCTGGGATGGCTTTGCATACAAATAAGGTAAAATGTCTCAGTGCAGCAAAGACACTTAAAATTAAGCATATTTGGATTTCACAGTGACCTGTGGAATCAATTTCAAAAGAGAGCTCACGTGACCCCAACATGCCTGCATCTCATCCTCTTGTGCTACCTGAAAGCAGGAACTTAGTTCTAAGTCATGTCTACTACCCTGTGTTTCTCTAATGTTAGGATTCTGTGGCTGGATTTCTACATAGTTCATTTTAAAATGTTAATTTTAAAACAAGAAAGCCTTTCCTGGGTCACATTATCTTCTTCCCTTGGGGATATAAAGGTATTTTTTTTTTTTTATAAATGTAAGTTTTGATTTAGGCAAGAAATGTAGGCATTTGAACCTCAAAAAAGTGAGAATGTAAACTAGCCAATGAATGATCTACACCAAATCTAAATGATGGTGGCCTGTTGTCTAGGTATAACAACATATTTCTGGCAACCCAAATTAGCAAAACAAAAAAGTCTACTGGTGATTGAGGAGGTGATGACTCATCTTTAATAATCGTGATTATAGTAGACACAATTTATTAGTAATCTACATAATTTTTCTCCTGTATCATTTTATTATTAACTTCATTTAAAAATTGAGGAAACAGCCTCAAAAAATGTAAATAATTGGCCTAACGTCACATAACCAGTAGGTAGTAAAGCTGGAATTTATATAATGATCCACCTCCCTCCATCTTTTTGTACCCCTCATGTTCCACACATATTAAGTGCTCAGTTAATATTGATTAAATGACCAAACAAATGTTTTTCCCTTCATCAAGACTCCAATCTTTTCTAGGCGTAAAGGAAAGAATCACTTTATCTTTTCTCTTCCCCTTATGTCCCCTGCCACCTTTATGTATAATGTTAAGCACCAGAAGATATACAGTGAAAACATATTAACAGTCTGGGAAATTAATCAAGTACAAGAAAGTACTTTAAAGAGATGTATTTGCATAAGACATCAAATGAAATGACTATGATAGCCAAAAAGGTGCCAAAAATCCAAATTATACCTATTATACAAATTATACATATAATGAGTTGGATGATTAATGGTTTAACGTTTATACGGTCACATGCCATATAACATCATTTAGGCCAACGACTGACCACATATACAATGGTGGTCCCATAAGATCATAATACTGTATTTTTACTGTTACCTTTTCTATGTTTAGATACACAAATATTTACCATTGTGTTACAATTGCCTGGAGTATTCAGTACAGTAATACGCTGTTCAGGTTTGTAGCCTAGGAGCAATAGGCTATACCATATAGCCTACGTGGGTAGTATGGCTGTGCCATTTAGATTTGTGTGATGTGCACCCTGTGATGCTCTCACAATGATGGAACTGCCTAACTACAAATTTCTCAGAACGTATCCCCATTGTTAAGTAATGCATGACTGTATTAACAGCCTGTGACCTTTTTCCCAAATGTACACATTTGTGTTTTTTCACCATCTTTTTGCTTTTCTTTTTATTAATTTTTTTGAGCACTCGCATCAGCCTTAAGTATAAATTTAATCACACTGCGAGATCCCAGCTACTGGTTAGAATGTCCTGCCTTGGGTAAAGACAATTAAAAACCACGAGTCTAGTCCCAGAGAGATGCAGACAAGTGCCCAACCCCCATTATTTGTAATTTCCAGGAATCCACCCTGGCCTGTTCCTGCAGGGCCCCAGAGCTGGCTGTGGAGCTGTTCAAAGATCTGCACCAAATTCCACTGCTGGAAAGGAAACCACAAATATCAGGGCGGCACTCCTCAATTAGACGTCTCTCAATCACCTTTTGATCCCAGGATCCTGACACTTTGCCTGGAGTCTTGCCAGAGCCCCAGCGTCTAGCTCTCGGAATACTCCACTCCTCCCGAGGCGAGCCTTTGAATGACAACATTTTGGTTACAGTACTTTAATGCCCTCATAAATTCCTCAGTTGTGGTTAGTGCAACAGACTATTTAGACATAGTCCACAAACTGTTTGGACTGCAGGGGTGGTTCTGGCATTCAGATTTTCAGACTGGTTCAGATAGTTTCAGATGGCTGAGGATGTTATATGTCTTTAGGAAGATTCTCGAATGGGCTTCCCTAATTAAAACATCATCTGCAAAGCAACCTGAAAAAAATCAAGAAATTCACGCAGCATGGATGGTGTTAGGTCTTTCTGTGGCTTTCAAGTAAAACTACATAGTATGATTTTTGTCACAGGGAAAAAAAAATTGCTCAGGGAGATTTGCTATGGCCGCAAAGAGGAATTACTAGACACGAGAGGGAATTAGAATGCTGTTGATTCCATACCCTGGGGAGATATTGTCGCTTGCAGGTTTATTTGGTTTGTTTGGTTGGGTTACGAGGATTTTAGAAGAAGCTCTAGTCATCAACCAGGGCTGTGCTGTGGCTACTGAGTCCTTGAAATGCGGCTAGTTGGGAATAATGAATTCAATTTTTTAATATACTGTCAATAAAATTAAATTTAAATATAAAAACTGTATCAATTAAATTACTGGAAAACTTTCAAGTGTTTTTTGTTTGGCTTAGGTATGTCCCAGTCTACTTCTATGACATTTCATGAAAAATAA
Organism: Homo sapiens; assembly: GCF_000001405.40. NCBI lineage: Eukaryota > Metazoa > Chordata > Mammalia > Primates > Hominidae > Homo > Homo sapiens. Next base: position 12,522,222 of record NC_000017.11, on the reverse strand, counting down.
ATACAAATTGAGTATTTCTGATGAAATTTAGCACTTACATTGAGAAGTCCAACAAATGTATACACACTGGATTTTAAAGGTTCAGTATGAAAAACTGTAAAATATTTTATTAATAGTTTATATTGACTCTGATAAAATGACAATATTGAATACATTGAGTTAAATACATAATTACAATTAATTTTATCTATTTCTTCTTGTTTTTTAAATGTGGCTACTAGAACAATTTAAAATCATGCAGGAAGTTCACATTGTATTTCTGTTGGAGTGCACTGATCTAAATCTTGCTGCTACCCCTGCTGATTTAAAAGAAGGGGCATTGCTTGCAGGATCATTTCTGGAAGAAGATACCTAGGAAATGGGGCCAGACGTGAACATCTTTCGATCCTATGGGCTAGGTCCTCTAATACTCTCGACGACTTTAAACCTGTTATCTAGGGTGATACGAAGGAATCCATGTTAAACCAAATTCATCTTATGCTAATTCAGTCATAATACAAATTCAGCTCTGAATCAAGTGCAGTTAGGGACTAGAGGCAATTCCCAAGAGTTTACGGGCTTGTAGAGCAAAACGTATGACACACAACAGATAGTGAGCAAGAGAAGGCAGTGCCACAAGACGCCAAAAAAAGCTATTACCAGATAACATAGAGGGTGCACAGCTAAATTTAAAGTTTTAAATAAACAGTGAATCATTTGTTTAGGATAAGTATGTCCCACACAATACGAGGGTGTCCTACATTTTTTATTTGCTAACTCTGTAGCCCTAAGAAACAAGGGTTATAGAAAATTAGAGAGAAGATTTATGAACAGAAAAAGGAAAGTGACGTATAGCAAATGGAAGTAAGGCACAGAAACAGCCAGATTGGTAATAGCTCTGTGTTTGCCTTATTTGAATCCAGTTTGAACACTTGGCCACCTTTGACTGGCCAAAACTCAGTGACTGGCACAAGTGTAGGTTACAGTCTGTTTACATATCCAGTTAGGTTACAGCTCTCTATGTCCAGAGGAACGTTTAAGCCAAACTTAAAATACGTAAGGAGGCAGCTTTGGCCTAAACTTGGTTTAACAGTAAATCACAATGCATATCTTGCCTTTGTACTGCCGTCTTCACTTGTGGATAAGACCTAAATTCTTCTAGGTCTCTGTGCAGTGTAGAGATGAAAGAAAACAGAGAAAACAGTACAGCTTATACCTTTGCATTTAAGACTTTTCTCTGCGTCCACATGCTGTCATGGGTGGAAGTCATGTGTTACTGTAGAAGTGAGTTTTTAGTAGCAGCCAGGCTGCAGGAGTTGGTGGATCAGAACCAGGCAGACAGATTTAAACTGTCATAGGACCTATACTGAAAGAAGAAGGGGGAAAAAATCACAATACTAAAAAGTACCATGATCTTCTCCTCACCATGGCCAGAGATCTGGGGATGGCCAGAAGATTCTCTCTGTAGTGAAAACATCACATTGGACAAGACCTAAGAATTCACTTGCGATCTTCATGCCCCCAACACTTTTTCCCATTTTAAGCTTGAAAGTGGGGAAGTCACTTATGAGAAATCAGAGTGGAAGTGGGGAAGTAACCTGTTCTGTACCCACGGACACACAGAGCCCAGAAAACCTCACAGAACTCTCCAAGTAACAAGGAAAAGATGGTGTCCCAAGCATTCTATTTACTGTCATTTATCTGGCAAAATGGAACCTTATCCCTGGGATCTCAGTCCTGGGATTCCAAAAGGACTAACTGCTGAAAGGCATTAGCTCACATAATTTGCCCGACCTCAGAAATACTTCTTTGCCCTCCCAGATAGGCCACCTTCTACCCTCACTAGCAACCCTGCTTGCTTAACCATCTCTGCTGAAGTTGAGCGGGTTATCTCACTTAGAATCCCAGGAGAATATTGCATTTCAGTCAAATATTTGAGCCGACTGGTTTATTTCACTTACGTAATTCTTGCCATTGGACTTGCCATAGCCAGAATTTTTCCAGTCATTTCAGAGGAGGGCCACAGAAACCTCATTTTAATTTAGAACTGTAATTAGGATATATGAAGTGGTTGAGGGTAGGATCATGTTAAAATAAATCAAACAATTCCAGATGAAGCCTTCCTACGTACTTGATTTTCTGAGTCATTCTAATTACTACTTTGGTGGCCCATTGTCATAGCACGCACCAGGCTGCAGGCTTTTGAGTTTTCATTCAGGAAATGTCTACAGTGACTAGACTGCAAACCAAAGAGATTGTGAAACATCGTTAAAGATTTTGAAGCCACACTGCCTCATCCATTTATCCCAAAGGAACATATAACAGATCTGTAGATATTTGAATGTGAATATGGAAAACTTCTTAATGATAAAGTATATGTAAGTACGTGGGTAAATTTATATAAATGTTGACTCTATCAATAAATATTAACAATGTTTTGGTGAAGTTCAAAATTTGGAAAGAATCAAAATGCATGACAATAATGGGATATAAGTCAAAGGATTAAAATAGTTAAAGGGTTCAATGGTTTTTGCCTTGTCCAGGAAGGGAATAAAATATCAGTTAATATTAGATTTTGATAAATTATAAATATGTGATGTCATCCGTAGAGTAACCACTAACTCTTGTCTCCAAGATAAAACAAGGATTAAAATGGAATAAATAGAACAAGACAAATAACACAGATTAAGATGGCAGTTTGAAATTCACATGCATCAGTAATCACTAATTGTAACTGGACTAAATGTTCCAATTGAAAATAAACGATTATCATACTAGATAAAAGCTTGATGATATTTAAATGAATCCCATCCAATCAGAAGGACACAGGCAGGTTTAAAGAAGACAGATGGACAAAGGTATGTCATGCAAAACGCTGACCAAAATAAAGTTGGTGTGGCTGTATTAATATCAGATTCTTCTTTTAGACAAAAAGTACTATTAGAGTGCAGAGGGACGGTTCATAACGATAAATATTTCAGTTCATCAGAAGGAGATAATTCTGGATTTCTATGCAGCCATATGGGAGAAAAAACACATCTATTTCACAGTCCTAGAACAAGCAGGTTAAGAGTTAATAAGGAATAGACTATTTGAGGGACACGAGCAGCAACCCTGACCTAATGGACAATATACAGAATTGTACGTAGCAACTGCAGGATATACATTCTTGTAAGCATGCATGGAACATTTACAAAAATCTATAATTTGTTGATCAACAAAGGATGTTTCATTGAATGTTATTTCTTGGCCGTCCCATCTATTCCTTATACAATAGCTCTTACTAGAAACATGTTAAAACCCCTCAGTCACCTTTCTTTCATTGTAACTTTTCTTGTTTTCAAGTGACTTTGATGCTGCATTCTAGGTTATTTTCTTAGTATGATCTTCTAATTCAATAATTCTTTTTTCAGTTGTGTCAAGTCTAGAATTTAACTTGCCTGGTGAGTTTTTAATTTCAAAGAATCTTTTTTACTTCTAGAAACTTGGGGGTGGGGGAATTCCTTTGAATTAGAAAACATGTATCTGTGCTCCACAACCATGTAAACATCTACGTGGATCAGAAACCGAACAGCACTAAACAGCCAAGTGCAACCTCTCAGGCAACCTCAACAACCATGATAAAGCAGAAAGAGGACACATGGTTTTGTGCGATAGAAGGTGCAGAGAGTATCTCAAACAGCCTCTCAGAGTCCTAGGGTCTCCAGGTGAAATGAGAGGCACTGGAGTTAGCTGGGTAAAAGGTTATGGACCTAAAGAGGTCTCATTGCCAGTAGGAGAAGATGCTGTTACAGAAAATAGCATGGACTGTGTAGCTCTGGAGGCTGGATGGGATCATTAGAACAACAGACACCCACAGGGAGGGATGTCCAGGAAGCATAGAACATTCCAGTGAATGCCATGCTTAGGACAGACGAAAGGTGTGGGGCACATGCACCTCCACTCTAGTCCCATATTGTTCTTCTATGTGCAGTCCTCAGGACTTCAGTGCCACCAAGGACAGAGGAAGGTCTGAAATCCAGGATTAAGTGATTTATACTGAAATGGATCTTCTGAGAAATGACGAAGTTCTATTTTTCTCTGCCAGCAGAAGAAATGGAGTATTGAGGTAGAAACTAAGTTAAATTATAGAAAAAATAAAGCTGGATCTTTTGTACATTTCCAGCTGAGTTTTGTGGATGTACAATTTTATTATAAATTCAGAAGCATTTTAGGATGGAAAGGGACTTCCCATGTCACCACGTTCCACCCATCATCACAAAGACAAGGGATCTAAGGAATGCAGGCCACAAGTGAGGTGAAGCATGAAGCAACAACTCCAAGGTCACCCGGCTGTGTTATAAAAGAGTAAGGACCTAGACCTGAGACTCCTGTTAAGTAACTTCTCAGTCCTAGACTTTTTAGTCTGCACTAACAGGAGATTCCCTTTACTCTTTCATCCTCCTGATTCTGCCATCTAGAATTATTTTCATTCTGTTAATTTCCATTGCATTACCATAACTGTGCAACCAAGTTTCTGGTTCGGATAAGTGAGTATACTATACATAGATGAGTGGTTCTCAAACTTCACTGTGGAATTTTCTAAAGAGTACATTGAAACACAGATTCCTGGGCCCCACCTTCTGGGGTGGGGCCTGAGAACTTGCATTTCTAATAAGTGTCAAGGTGATGCCTCAGCTGCTGGTCTTAGGACCACACTTAGAACCACTGTCCCAGACTCTTCCTCTTGAAGATGGCTTCTCTTCCCTACACACTTTGGTTGCCTCTATAGTGAGTTGCACTTAGGAAGTACTTGTTAGAGTTTCCTCAGACATTCACAATAGCATTATACTTTTTAAATTACTCTTTCATTTCACAGTTTTCTTGGCTATTTTCACACTTTTTTCCCAAAGAGGAAATCTAGGTTTCTCCTAAATTCCATTTCAATGTTACTTGAAATTGCATTGAAATTCAAGATCTGAGGGGAGAACAAATGTCTTCTCACTATTAGGTCCTGCTACCCCCTGAACAGGATGTGCTTCTCCATGGATTTCCATTTCACTCTACACTTGTCAAGAAATTTTATTGTTTTTTTTTTTATCTGTACTTTTATTTTGAAGCTTATTCCCAGGCAGTTTATATTTGTGATTGCTTTAGTGATTAGGATCTTTTTCTACTATATTTTCTAAATACTTCTTAGAGGTAAATAGGGAAAGGCTTCTTATATTTATTTTATCTCTATGTTTTGAAGCTGGAGATTTCATCTGAAGCTTAATACATAGTACTTTTTTAAAAGTCCCCTATTTTCTGGGAGGGGGTACACTCACTTTTTGTAGAATTCATAGTTCAAAATGTATTTTTAAAATAAACCTTATTACTTTTATTAATATGTTGCCATATTATTCCTTATTCTTTAATTACTTTGAGATAGATATGTCTCTACAAATTTCTCCTTGTACTTCTAAGAGTTTTAGCTTTACGTACATTTTAAGCACTGATTTTGGCACAGAAAGGTTTCCTGGTGCTCTGTCACCACACAAACTTCTAGTTTTTACACATTCAAATAGTGTCCTTCACCTCAGTCTCATTTGATGCTCTCATTCTTAAATTCTACATAGTCCTCTATTAATATTACAATTCATGTTTTTCTTTTTGCTTGCATTTGCCTTGTTACATTTTTATATGAATTTGTTTTAGGTATGTCTTAAGTAAATAGACGATAACTGGACTTTGCTTTATTAACATACAAATTTGAGGATCTCCTCTAGAATAATTGAGTTTATCTCATTTCTAGTTACTCTGGTAAATACTATATTTTGTCTATGTCTTCTTTCCTTTCTGTTTTTGCATCTTGAGATTTCTCTTTACTTTCTTTTTTCTTAAGCAGACAAAGCTTTTTTTTAAAAAAGAAAAAAATTTCCTTTTCTCTGACGAATTATCTTTAGGCTTTTAAAATATATTCTTTCACCTATCAGTTTGCAAATTATTAGAATTAAGGAACTTGTATTTTTTCAGTCACCCTAATATAAGCAAAATATTTAACGTATGTTTACATTTTCTTTTCTCCATTCACATCTTGGTCTTTGTTAATGTAATATGGTTTTATAGATTGAGATTATTCATATCACTTTTCATTAAAAAATTTTATCTTTTGTGAGGACAATGGTCATTTGCATTCAGTTTTATGACAGGTTTACAATTATTTGGATCTCTCTTCAGCTTAACTTGTTTCAGTGCACACTGCCAATACTTTTATGATTATTTTTCCCAGCTTCAAACATCTGATTTTGAGTTTACAGTTGGTTACAACACTTCTTCAAGGAACTCTTTTCCAGGAAGAGTATATGCCTAGTATCTTCTGACTCCTTTCTTTTGAGGGTGTATTTCTGTTGCCTTCACATATAAAAACACAGCTTAACACTATAAAATCCTTGTATCCCAACCTTTTCTTCTCAGAATTGCTTTGAGGTTCCCTGTTGTCTTCTAGCATTTAAGGCCAAGAAGTTAGATGAATCAGCCTAACTTTTACTTACCTACTGATGGATTACTTTTAAAACTATTTTCTTATGTAGAAGTTGAAATTTTCTTTGTCTATATAGTTAAAGAGTTTTATAAAGATTGTGTCTTGGTGTAAATCTGAGTGAAACACACTGAGCATTATTCTGTATGGATAACTCTTTTGGCTCAGAAGATGTCTTCCCATAGTTAACAATACTGTATACCTGAAATTTACTAAGAGGGTAGATTATAAGTGTTCTCACTGAACACATAAAAAGTTAGAAATGTTCTTCTACTATAGCTTCAACTTTAACTTTTATAACATTTGCTATGTCTTTTAGGTACAAAGTATACAAGGACAAATAAAAAGGCAAATATTTGGTATTTTGGAGCTTATTGTTAGTCTCGTCTGCAAGATAGTCATTAAAAGAGTAATTTCTCCTTGAATTCTCATGACAGCAGAGTGAAGAAGATACGGTGTTAATTGGGTTTACAGATAAGGAGACAGAGTCTCCAAGACATCAGGCAAATTGCCTTAGCTGGGATTCAAACCCAGCCTAGTGAACAGGACGGAGGAATACATTCAAGCCAGAAGTAATGACAGGTCCTGGAGGGGAAAAGCTTGATGTATTTGAGGAAAGAAAAGAAAACCTGTGACTGAAGACGAGGGACCAAGGGGTGAGTGGCTAAAAGCTAAAGAAATATATTGGAGCCATGCCCTTGCTGGGAAATTTGCAAATTTGGCCTCTATGGCATCATTTTTTATTGCTCTTTACTGCCTTGGAGGCTGATTTTAATTCTGCTACTACGTCTTTAATTTCTTGCAGATTGTCTATATCCCAGTTTCTATGTCTTGAAAGCAATTCCATATTCTTCTCTTTCACAAATTTTATTGCTCAAACTCAAGTTGCCTTTATCTCAATCTATTCAGTCTTTCTGATGAGGCACGCAGAGTATGGCGTCTTTAACCAAGTTGCGAAAGCTAAATAGTTGTCTGAATTTTCACATGGATTCTGCATGAGATAATATTCAGATGCTTCTTCTTAGCCATCAAAATGCTGTCCTTTTCTATTGTGCTAGAGTATAGTTTTAATGAACTCCTTGTTAAACTTTTGGCGATGTTACAAACTTCACATCCTTGAACAAGAAAAACCCATCCAGACTCAATTCCCACATGGAGATTAAGTGAAAGGGTGGATCTTGGTCTTACTATCTGTACACTCTGTTATGGTAAATCCACTTCCAAACTCTAGAGCTTATAAAGTATTTTTATGCTCTAGTCTAATTTCTGGCTTCCAGCAGGTTGTCACGTGTATGTTTCCATTCTTCTATGAGAGCACCCTGTTCCATCACTCCTTACCACTTGGTTCTTGGGTTTCTGAACTGATGCAGTGCTTGCAAAGCAAAAATCCTCGGAATGCACAGCTCTTGAGATCTTTCCTGATTTCATTCCCACTTTACTCTGAGAGATGGCACCCCCTGATAGAGCAGGCCACTCCAGTCTTCCCTGTGCAGGCCAGCTAGTTTCCCGTATTATTTAATTAATTTATTTATTTAGAGACGGAGTTTTGCTCTGTTGCCCAGGCTGGAGTGCAGTGGCACGATCTCAGCTCATTGCAACCTCCGCCTCCTGGGTTCAAGCACTTCTCCTGCCTCAGCCTCCCATGTAGCTGGGATTACAGGTGCACATCACCATGCCCGGCTAATTGTTTTGTATTTTTAGTAGAGACGGGTTTCACCATGTTGACCAGGCTGGTTTCGAACTCCTAACTTCAAGTGATCCACCCGACTTGGCCTCCCAAAGTGCTGGGATTACAGGCATGAGCCACTGTGCCCAGCCCAATTAATGCTATGTTCACACTTCTATCCTCTTGTCAAGTTGTTTTTCAATGTTTTTCTGAATTATTATCTTTATTTGCGTATTCACAGGAGGCTGCAAGCCTTCTACAACTTTCTATTCATGATGCAACTTCGTAAACATTTGAATTGGACAAGAGCACAAAGAAAGATTTTTGAGGACTGATACCTAACTTCTAATTCTTTATATTGTTAAAAGGAAAAAAGAAAAAAGAAACCTTTACAGTGTGAGGGGTAAACAAAGATTCAGTCAAGGCAATTTGGATCGATAACACCTCCTCATGGTTGCCCGGCCAAAGGTAACAGCTCCACAATATTCTGTCAACCCTAAATTTGTCAATGGGTTTAGAAACTATACAAATATAATTTCTTGATTTTTGCAAATGTGACTTATTCCTTCATTCTTTATTGGTGCCTTTCAGACTCACAAAAATTTGAAGTGACACATCTCAACTGTTTCCTTCCAGCCAGTGATGATGTCTCATGATTGATCGGTATTATTGCATCTTTTATATGTAACATTTTTCTGATATCTGCAGTTTTCTGCCTTATGTTTCCTTTTTCACCCACCCCATTCTTCCTCCCTGGTTTTAGTGGCTCTTCTGATTCCAAGCGTCCATTTTGCAACTCTTGACTTCATCCAAGTCTCCTCAGTTGAAATCTGAAGAGATTATTTTGCAAGTGAGTCAGAAATCACTTCTTGTCAAACATGGTGCCAGAAAATGAGCAGTATCGTGCTCAGTGGGAAAGTATTTACTCTTTCTTTGCTCCTTGCAACTTGAAAGTAAATGCTTCTCTTTCCCTTCTTGGAATTTAATTTCCCAATCTCTATTCCAAAATCGACAAAGACCAGGAAGAGCATACAAGCGCTGGCTCCTCAGTCCCAGTAACATATCATATTTGTCACCTTTAATGTCCCTTAATGTCTTTGTGTCTTGTCTTTCTAATTTAGCTATGACTCCACTAGTAAAAATCATATGACTCATGTCCAAGTCCACATTTAGCAAAATTTCTAAAGCTTTGTTAGTGTGCAAGGCAATGAATATGAAATGAGGTCTGCATTCTTTATTTGGATTAAGTTTAAAGCTTTTCAAAGAACACCATCTGAAAATGTCACAGCATGACAAAGCAGCCATCCCTATAGGAGTCTACCCACAGAGTGCAGGACTCCAGGATAAAATACATTCTTTACCTTGCTGTCTTGTAACCACTCATTGCCACTTGCACGCTGGCCCCAGCAATTTTATACATGAATGAAATAAGGTAAAAATTAACAAGCAAATTCACAACAAGATTAATTTCAGATGGAAAATAATCTAGAGGAGAAAGCTAAAATGTGCTGATTAATATAGGATAGAATGAATCAAGGGTCAATAACTTTTGGCCTGGGAGCCACGTTTGACCTATTTTTGTAAATAAAGTTTTATTGGAACATAACCATGCACATTCATTTACGTATTGTCTATACAACTGCTTTCCCATTACAAAGACAGAGTGGAGTAGTTGCAACAGCCTAAAATGTTTACTATCTGTCCCTTTACAGAAAAAGTTTGCCCATCCCTGGGGTAAGCGATTGTTGGTTTCTACCCAGAATCCATTCCTCGCTTTCTCTTTCCTAACAAGATCCTGATTTATCTATGTTCGATCTCTCCCCCATACATCTCAGGTGTTTCAAGAGGTGATCACTGTCCCCCATCGGTGGGGGTGAGCCTGACCTGTCCAATGGGGGTCCCGTCAAGCTCCCCACATTAACTGGAACAGGAGCTTGGGTCTCAGCCGCTCAGCACAAGGAAACCCTCCCAATCACAGAGATTCTTTCAAAAATGGTTATGGGACCCAATTTGAATCATATGAGGAAAAGATTGCTCAAGGTTTCTGGGAAATAAGCTTCTCTGCTTTTAATAGAGGCCCACTGGAAGAAGCACTCTCTCGTCTCCTGGGTGGTGTGTGTGGTACCCTAGCCATGTTGCCACCAGGAGAAAACGTAGCCATCACAGAGAAGGGTACAGCTAAGAGAAATGCAGAGAAATAGATCTGGAATCCAGCTTTAGCTCACCTTGGAAGCTGCCTTATTTCTGGATTTCCAATTATTTGAGACAATTAATTTAATTACTCAAGCTAGTGTGAGTATTGGGTTTTCTGTTATTTGCAACATAATAATTTTTAACCAATAGACATATTTTCACTCCATTTACCTAGTGTCATAGGATGTTGTGTTAATCTTATTTATTTGTAGGCCTAAAAATGTCTTTATGTCTGGACAGAATTACCTTCCATTTCTTTCTACCAATATCTCTTGGTAGCTGCCTCTTAGAGTTACTGCTCGGCATTTTCTTAAAGAAGGAGACAGAATCCCTCAAAATTCGTGGTGGTCACTATTCTTTGTGATGCCTTTTGGTATCCTTTACTCTGTCATAGTTCTTGCTACTACTATTTCTTGATTAGAGGGTAGAAAATCTCTGTGTGATATTTCATTGCAATTCTTCATTAGCTTTCTATTTTTTGTCCTCACAACTATCCAACAATCTTAATAAGGTTTATAAGACCCTCCACGCTCTGTCCTCTGTCTGGTGCCCTGGCCTCATCCTGGACCATTGTGTCCTGCTCACTCTACTCTTGAATGCACCACTTTTTCTATTAGTTTCTCTAAGGAGCCATATTCTTTTGTGTCTCCAAACTGTTCTCTGCCTGATATGCTTCTTTCCCCATTTTCACCTATATCATTCTTGTTCATCCTTCAAATCTCAACCCAATGGTTGTTTCCTCAAAGATGGCTTGACTGATCGCCAAGACTGGTTTAGCTCCCCCTGTTACCTGCTCCCATCCACCACAGACTTCCCATTTCACAGCCCTCTAACTTACAGCCACTTATTCAAAATCTATATTCATAGTAGACGGCGAGCTCCAGGGAGGCTGAGACCAGGACATTTTTTTTTTTGGCTCACCGCTAGGTCCCAAGTCCTCAGCATTGTACCTGGCACAGAGCTGGTCCTCAATGCATAGAACTCCTGACTACATACATAGTTTTGACCATTTTTAAAGTTACAGAAAACACCAATGTTTAAATGCAGAGTACACTTCTGGTGACTCATGTCTACTGACTTGAAGAGAATGTTGGATAAACACTAATAAATTCTTATTCTCTGACTCTGTTTTCTAGAAAACATGCAGAACATCAGCTTTAAAATCTGACAACCATTTCTGTCTTAAAATATAGCAGGATCTCAGACAGGCCCTCAGAATGTACTATCTCGAACTTCTGAGCTTCTACAGAGTACATTTTAATAATTTCAGTCTTCTGATGGGAAAACCGAGATTGAAGAGGATAAGTAATTTAACTTGCTAATGACGTGTAAATCTTAAGCTGCAGACATCACCATCACAGATCACCCAGGTTGATTTTGAAACCTAGAGAGTAACTTCTCCCCAAGTAGACATGGGTGAAGATTTTGTGGCCACTTAGGTCACCGTGATTCCAGGTGTACATTCTGTCTGTCTCTGTGTTTGTGTGTGTGTTTGTGTGTGTGTACACATGCTGCTATGGCCAAAACTGTGTCCCCCAAAATTCATATGTTGAGGCTCTAATTCCCAATGTTATAGTATTTAGAGAGGGGGCCTTTGAGAAGTAATTAGGTACAGATGAGTTCCTCAGGATGGGTTCTAATAATGGAGTCAGTGCCCTTACAAGAAGAGATATTAGACAGCTCTCCTTCTTTCTCTGAAATGTGAAGGCAAAGTAAGCAGGCTGCTATCTGCAAGCCAGGAAGAGAGCCCTCACCAGAACCTAACCCTGCTGGCACCCTGATCGCAAACTTACAGCCTCCAGAATGGTGAGACAATAAATTTCTGTTGCTTATGCCATCCAGTCTACAGTATTTTGTTATGGCAACCCAAGCTTACAAAGACACCTAAAGTGAATGAAGTCTGTGTCTCATCTCCAAAATATCTCTTAAATTTCTTAGATCCTTTATCCACTTTCATTGTTTCCACTGGAATCCAATCTTCCATCATCTCTCCTGGACAGCTATATACATGTTAACCTTCCTCTTAATTGGATTCTCACATGGCAGCCAGAGAGCTATAAATCTGATATTGTTTAACCACATGCTTAAATCATTTCAAAAAACTTCTCATCACTCTTAGGAAAAAAAAAAATTCCTGATAAAGTTATCAAATATGTGGACCAAATTCTGGAATAAAAATCAAGACTTAAGAAGTCTTGATTTTTATTTAAGTCAAGACTTAAAAATGGTTGAATGCATTCAGAAAACAGCATCACTCATTTTTATATCAACTAATTTCATAAGATGTTTGAGTGGAAAGTTTTACAAAAGACTGTAAATTTCATTGATGAGAGAGGTACAGTGGCTGCCTCAGTTTTAGTCTAAGCTGCTTTAACCCCCAGAGCTCATATGTATCAGGACATGCTCCTGTGGGTCAACCAGATGTCAGTTTTCCTGAAGACAGGAGAAGCTTGTTGAGTTAGAGGTCATTTAAAGGAAAAGAAGAAACAGGAAAATAGGCTCCTTTCATTAATTTTTTTTAAAGGTACTAAGTCAGGACAGGGCCTGGAGGAGCAGGGTCATTCTGAGTTTAGCAGTTTGTCTGTCACTCAGCCAAACCAGGTATGCCATCAGTCCTGTATTCAAGTCTTTTTTTGAATAGGGGAACAATAAATGAAAAGAGGATGAGCCAGTTCAGTATAATCTCTTGAGAAAATGGAGCACAGAGAGTCACAGATCAGGTCACTGCCAACAGAGGGTAACTCAAAAGAGGGCTAGACCTTCCCTCCACTTCTTTCTTTCTTTTTCTTTTTTTTTTTCTTTGACGGAGTCTTGCTCTGTTGCCAGGCTGGAGTGCAGTGGTGTGATCTCAAGCGATTCCCCTGCCTCAGCCTCCCGAGTAGCTGGGACTACAGGCGCACGCCACCAACCCCGGCTAATTTTTTGTATTTTAGGAGAGACGGGGTTTCACCATGTTGGCCAGGATGGCCTCAATCTCCTGACCTCGTGATCCGCCCACCTTGGCCTCCCAAAGTGCTGGGATTACAGGCGTGAGCCACAGCGTGCAGCCTCCTCCACTTCTTTCTACACCTTAGGCAGCACTAGTACTTTGACAAGGGGGACAGTGGTGCTTGGCAGGAGATGCTTGTGCACGGTAGGGTGGTAGGCACTACCATGTAATAGTAACATCCAGCAGATGATAGGCAGAGGATAGTGGAACACCGTGGGGGATATAAGTGCCTGGTAGCAATAGATCTGGGGCTGGAAAGAAGAGGGAAAAGGAAAGGCAAGCTCCAGGTGGCAACTGATCAGTTAGCTCATGTATGAAAACATGGGAGAGACACCACCATAACATAGTCGGAGTGGATTTTCTGGGATCTGAAGCCTTATTGATGAAAAGATGACAGGAAGAAAGGAAGGGTTGAATATCAGCTCTTTTTTTTTTTTTTTTTTTTTGAGACAGAGTCTTGCTCTGTCACCCAGGCTAGAGTGCAGTGGCGCAATCTTGGCTCTCTGCAATCTCCGCCTCTCAGGTTCAAGCAATTCCCTGCCTCAACCTCCCGAGTAGCTGGGATTACAGGCGCCCGCCACCACGCCCAGCTAGTTTTTGTATTTATAGTAGAGACAGGGTTTCACCATCTTGGCCAGGCTGGTCTTGAACACCTGACCTCATGATCCACCCGCCTCGGCCTCCCAAAGTGCTGGAATTACAGGCAAATATAAGTTCTTAAAAAAAGGTTTTCACTTTTGGTGCAGCTAATGAAACAATCGTATGCATGGTGATGGGGATCATGTTAAGAGATTAAAACGTGAACGTGGAATATGGAAAATTCCTCCCTTCCCCTTAAAAATCAAATGTTTCCTTATAATATTGATGTCATTAGTGTGTGATGCTTTAATAAAATAATTTTAATAATATAATTAAATTATTTAAATGCAATAGGCAATAATACAATCTGGGGAAGGGGGACTTGTAATTGGAGTGAGGAGTGACAAGAGTGGGTAAATCGGACAGAACAAACTCGAGGAGATGTTTATAAATCCCGAGGGAAGTAAAGAGAAGCTGAGTTTCCAGGGAGAAGCATGGGTGAGAAGCCCAGAAACACAAGTTGAGTGCTGGATTGTGCTGTGCCGGCTCTGAAATTGTAACTAAGATGACAGTGGCAAACAATATGGAACAGCCATGCCTTCCTTTAGGTGGATTTGTGAGAAAGGAGTTTTACAGCAATGTCTAATATAACTTGGTTGCCTAAATATTGTATCAACTATTAGTAACACTGAACTCTGTTCAACATTCTTGGAAAATTTTCATTCACATAATAGAAAGACAAGCTGTGACATGGGTGATATGCCAACGCAGTAAACCCCATCGGATCTGAGAGCCTCAACTTCATTTGGGCAGGGGATAGTCTTTGAAAAATTAGACAGGGATTTGGTGATGTACAAATTCAAGTGATGTGACAGATTTATGTGACTTATAATGATTCGTGGTTTTGAAATGTAACATGAAATGCCAGACTGTGAGTGTCTGGAGACCACCAGCATCGAAAAGGCCTCTCTATAATAGCTGCCGCATTATTTATGTTAAGTCCGGTTTTGCACATTGAACAGTTTTGTTTTCAAAGTGAAGGCCAAGATCCTCGATTTCTAAACCAGAATGCTACACTGACCCCAGAGACATTTGCTTTCTTAACACACCCAGCCTTCACTGACTCGACGGTTGAATTTGGGCAGAAGAACACCACACACACTGTTTGCTTGCAGTTGTTTGACTTTATTTTATTTACAAATCATAAGCACATTTGGGCTGCTGAGCACTTCTCTCACTGAAGGCTCTTGCCAGCCCAGAGCAGATGGAGACACAAATCAGGCCCTGTCTCCCTTCCTCTGCACATGGCCACACAGAGGGTTTTGTGTCTCGGGTCCCTTTGTGTCCTGTAGATATTTGCTCCCTTCCCGAATGTGCATGAGGCTTCAGAGGGACCAACATCCTCCACTTCGGGGCCAGAAGTAGAGTAACTCATGGCCATGGAGGAATTCGTGCCAGATGTGGCTTCTCTTCCCTTTAGCTCCTCGATTATTCCTGGAATATCAGCCCATTCAAGTGTCATGCATTTTAATGTTTGATCATTTCCAACTTACCACTTAAAATGTGTACTTGTCTTTCTTGGGAGGTATAAGTATTTTACCCATAGTGGATATTCCAGGGCTTTGATTTGCTTTAATGACATTGGTCAAAAATAGAAAATCTTATATGGTGAGTTTTCTTTTTTCCTACTTTAGATTTTTCTTTTTAAGTCAATTTTATTAAGGCATAATTTACATACAATAAAATGTACCACATTTATAGTGTACAGTTTGATGAGTTTTGAAAAATATATAGACCCATGAAACTACTATCACAAGATCTATAATATTTCCCTATCCCTTGAAGGCAACCACTGGTCTCTGTTGCCACTATTGAGTAGATTTATCTTTTCTAGGTATGCTATAAATGGATTCATAAAGTGTATATTCTTTGTGTCTGACTCTTTCATTGCATATAATGTCTTTGAGTTTCATCCATGTGTTTTCATTTATCAGCTATTCCTCTTAATTGTGAGATAGTATTCTATTGTATGAATATAGCATAATTTATTTATTCTTTCACCTGTGAATGGGTCTTTGGATTGTTTACTGTTTGGGGTTATTATGGATAAAGCTGCTAAGCACATTTGTGAACAAGTTTTTTTTTTTAATGGACTTTTTCATCTCCCTTGGGTAAATGCCTAAGAGCAGGTTCATATGGTGTTTGTACATGTAACTTTGGAAGAAACTCCAAACAGATTTGCAAAATGGTTCTGCCATTTGGCACTCCCTCCAACCACGTGTGTGTTTCAGTTGTACCATATGTTCGCCAAAACCTGTTTAGTAAATTGGAAGCCAGATGTTTTAAAACATTAAAGTTTGTATATAAACAATTGACTCCTCCTTAATATTGGATTGCTGTCAATTTCTACCTCTAGGTTTGTACCTAGTAAATACTATGGATGCATTTTTTAAAATAAATACTTTGTTAATTACATTTGATATATCTTATATCGTTTCTCGTTGTGGGAACTCTGAAAGCACCATACATCCTAGTCTCTGACTTACTGACTTTAGTTCTTCTACAGGCTTGGTGTGGCCTCAAGTTTCCTGGTATATATATCCAAGTGCACAGAGAACAGTGGCTAAAACATAGTAGGTTCTCCATAATAATTTGTTGAATAAATGAATGACTGAATATTCTGAAAACTTCTACCTTGAAGTGTGTCATATTGTTGTAAAGAACAACAATTGTATAATTATCTGAAATGCCTTGTCTGACAAATTCAACCATTTGGAACAAGAACCAGGAAGAAAAAGAAATAAACAAAAAAAACCCAGAAATTAAAAAAAAAATTAAAACAACATCAGATGTAGCCAAAATAGATACCATATTTTCTTATACTTCAATTGTAGGTGACTCATCAGTCTCCCAGTTTATAGCTAATTTACTCTAGAATTTTGTATTATCTTCAAAAAGCAGTTTGGGGGAGGGGAATAAGTGATATTTGAACAACAGTAAGCCTTCCAAACTATGAACATGACAAATACCTCCATTTATTTAGGTCATATTTTTATCAATGTCTTGTAGTTTACAGAGATCTTGTGTACCTTTCATTAAATGTATGACTACAGTTTTATTGTGAATAGTATTTTTAAAATTCAGTTACCATTTGTTCATTGTTGTTTTACAGACCAACAATGGATTTTTGTATACTGACCATGTATCTTACAAACATGAGTTTATTTAATTGTTCTTGTATTTTTCATAGATTCCTTTGGATTTACTATATATACAAGTATGTTATCTGAAAATAAAGACAGTCTTACATCCCCATTTCCAATGTTTGTATCTTTTATTTCTTATGTTATTGCACTGAGTAGGACCTCAAACCTAAAGTTTAATGGAAGTAGTAAATGTGAACATCCTCACTCTGCTACCGATCATAGGGGAAACGCATTTGGTATTTCACCATTAAATATAATATTAGCCACATGTTTCTCTTGTGTGCTGTTTATCAAATTGGAGGAGTTCCCTTCTATTCCTAATTTGCTGAGAACTTTTATCATAAATGGATGTTGAGCTTTGCCAAATGCTATTTCTCCATCGATTGACATGACCATTTGATTTTCTTCATTTGGTTAATGTAGTGGATGACATGGATTGATTTCTTACATTTTTTTATTTCAATAGCTTTAAAGGTACGAGTGGTTTTTGGTTACATGGATGAATTGTATAGTGGTAAAGTCGGGGCTTCCAGTGTACCCATCACCTGAGTAGTGTACCTTGTACCCAATAGATAATTTTGCATCCCTCATCCCCCTTACACCCCCTCTTCTGAGTCTGCAACGTCCATTATACCACTGTGTATGTCTTTGCATAGCCATAGCTTGGCTCCCAGTTGTAAGTAGAACATGTGGTATTTGGTTTTCTGCTCCTGAGCTGCTTCACTTAGGATACTGACCTCCAGTTCCATTCAAGTTGCTGCAAAAGACATTATTTCACCTTTTTTGTGGCTGAGTAGTATTCTACGGTGTGTGTGTGTGTGTGTGTGTGTGTGTGCACATACTGAGCCATATATATGATATATATCAATCTAAATGTCCATCAACTGATGAGTGGATAGAGAAAATGTGTGTGTGTTTATGTGTATATATACATACATATACACTCACATATATACTTTATATATACATTATATATTATACAATATATATACATACACAGAATTTTCTTTATCCACTCATCAGTTGGATGGGCATTTAGGTTGATTCCATATTTTTATGACTGTGAATTGTGCTGTGATAAATATACGCATGCAAGTGACCTTTTGACATAATGACTTATTTTCCTTTGGTTAGGTATTCAGTAGTGGGATTGCTGGATTGAATGGTAGATCTACTTTTAGTTCTTTGAGAAATCCCCATACTGTTTTCCATAGAGGTTGTACTAATTTACATTCCCACTAGCAGTGAGTAAGTGTTTTTTTTCCAATCCATCTGTGCCAACATCTACTGTTTTTGACTTTTAATCATGGCCACCCTGCCTAGAGGGAGGTGGTATCTCATTGTGGTTTTAATTTGCATTTCCCTGATGATTAGTGATGAGCATTTTTCCCTATATCCGCTAGCTATTTGTATATCTTCTTTTGAGAAATGTCTGCTAATGTCATTTTCCTACTTTTTAATGGGATTATTGGTTTTTTTTCTTGCTGATTTGTTTGAATATCTTGCTTGGATATTAGTCCTTTGTCAGATGTATAGTTTGTGAATATTATCTCCCATTCTGTAGGTGTCTATTTCTTTGTTGATTATTTCTTTTGCTGTCCAAAGCTTTTTAGTTTAATTAGGTCCCATTTATTTATTTTTGGTTTTTTGTATTTGCTTTGGGGGTCTTAGTCATAAATTATTTGCCTAGGCCAATGTCCAGAAGAGTTTTTCTTAAATTTTATTCTAGAATGTTTGTGGTTTCAGGACCTAGACTTAAGTCTTTAATCCATTTTGAGTTAATTTTTGCATTTGGTGAAATACAGGGATTCAGTTTTATTCTTCCATGTGTGGCTATCCAAATTTCCCAGCACTATTTATTGAATAGGGCGTCATTTTCCCAGTGTCTGTTTTTGTCTGCTTTGTCAAAGATCAGTTGGTTTTATGTATTTGGCTTTATTTCTGGATTCTCTATTGTGTTCCATTGATCTATGTGTCTACTTTTATAGCAGCACCATGCTATTTTGGTTACTATAATGTTGTGGTATAATTTGAAGTTGGGTAATGTGATGCCTCCAGATTTATTATTTTTGCTTAGGATTGCTTGGTTATTTGGGCTCCTTTTTTTCCATATGAACTTTAGAATTTTTTCTAATTCTGTGAAAAATGACATTGGTATTTTGATAGAAACTGCATTAAATCTGTAGGTTTCTTGGAGCAGTATGGTCATTTTCACAGTATTGATTCTTCTAGTTCATAAGCATGGGATGTTTTTCCATTTGTTTGTGTCATGTATGACTTCTTTCTTCAGTGTTACACAGTTTTTTTTTGTTTTTTTTTTTTTTTGTAGAGATCTTTCACCTTCCTGGTTATGTATATTCCTAGGTTTTTATTTTTTATTTTTGCAGCTATTGTAACTGACATCAACTTCTTGATTTGATTCTCAGGTTGGTTGTTATTGGTGTATAGTGGTGCTACCGATTTGTGTAAACTTGTTTTGTAACCTGAGACTTTACTGAATTTATTTATCAAACCTAGGAGTCTTTTGGAGGAGTCTTTAGGATTTTCTAGATATAAGATTCTATCATCAGCAAACAGAGATAGTTTGATTTTTTCTTTTCCGATTTGGTTGCCCTTTATTTTTTTTCTCTTGCTCAATTGCTCTGGCTAGGACTTCCAGTACTATGTTGAATAAAAGTAGTGAAAGCGGAAATCTTTGTCTTATTCCGATTCTTAGGGGAAATGCTTTTTAACTTTTTCCCATTCAGTATAATGTTAACTGTGTGTTTGTCATATATGGCTTTTATTATTTTGACATATGTTCCTCCTATGGTTAATTTGTTGAGGGTTTTTATCATAAGGTGATGATGGATTTTATCAAATTCTTTTCCTGTATCTGTTGAGATGATCATAATGTTTTCGGGTTTTTTTCTGTTTATGTAGTGAATCACATTTATTGACTTGTGAATGCTGAACCATTCTTGCATCCCTGGGATGAAAACCACTTTATCATGGTGAATTTTCTTTTTGATGTGCTCTTGGACTCAGTTTGCTAGTATTTTATTGAAGATTTTTGTTTCTGTGTTCATCAAGGATGTTGGTCTGTAGTTTTCTTTCTTTTTTTGTTGTTGTTATATCCTTTTCTGGCTTTGGTATCAGGGTGATACTGGCTTCATAGAATGAGTTAGGGAGGATTCCCTCCTTCTTGATCTTTTGAAATAGTTTCAGTAGGATTGGTGCCAATTCTTCTTTGAATGTCTGGTAGAATTCATCTGTGCTACTATTGCTAGTATCCCCGTGAAGACTTTTAAATTAATTCTACAAAGAGAAACGTTTTAAATACAAAACAATTTACTATTGATGAAAGTCAAATTCCACTGGCAAATGGAAACTTCTCTAACTTAGGCTGTTTGACCATATGTGGCATTTTTCTGTTATACAAATAACTGTGTATATGTATATACAAACACATTTGAAAATGATAAACAAAGGCAAATCAACATTTTCAATGACATTTCTACCATGTTGCATCTGTCAGAAAAACACTGACATATTACACTAGATATCTATCTTGTCAATGCCCTAATGGCGTTAGTTTTGAAACCTGAGACTTTACTGAATTTATTTATCAAACCTAGGAGTCTTTTATTTATCAAACCTAGGAGTCTTTTATAAAATCACCTCTTAACATTAACCTATTGCTGGTGGATATTGTCATACATTTTGTGACAAGCAATGTTGTGATGTTGAATATTTTTTTTAACATCTAATATTCTAGATGGCTAGACATCATTGAATATACCTAATGCTTAGAACCAGTTTTGTTTGCAAAAAGCAATATAAGAACTTAACTCTGTTCATTGGATCATTGGACTCAATTTTTAGTTTGTGGTATATGTAATATAAAATGTTCTTATGATATAGTATCTAGTACGATACATTATCTCCACATATATAGATATATGGATTGATTTTTTGATGTTACACCTTTATATGCCTTGGATAAGTTGTAATTGCCCAAGATATATCAATCTTTCTATACATTGCCAAATTTTATTTGCTAATATTTTGGTAAAAATTTTATGTCTATGTTTATGAAAGATATTGGTCTGTAATAATTTTTTCTTGTAATGCCCCTGCCTGGTTTTGTTTCCAGGGTGATACTTACGAAATAAATTGGAAAGCAAGCAGTCCTCCTCTAGTTTCTGAAATCATCTATGTTGAATTGATATTCAAAATCCTAGCTATCTAGGATTTTGGTTTTCTTCATAGGTAAGTATTTAATTACACAATTTGTAAAAGATAAATTACTATTAGATTTGCTTTTAATTATTGTGTTAGTTATAGTAAGTTGTTTTCACAAAAAAGTTGACCATTCTATCTAAGTTGTCAAATTTAATAGCTTATTTTTTCATTATTCTTATGTTTCATTCTTTATGCCTGTAGGATTTTATGCCTGTAGGATACATTTTATGTCTGTAGGATTTGTAGTGGTGTCTGTTTTCTTACGTTTGTATTTAGGTATTCTTTTCTACTTGACCAGTCTTGTCAGGGAGTCATCAATTTAATTAATCTTTTCAAAGAATCAAACTTGGGTTTGCTAATTTTTCTGTTGTTTTTTTTTTTAAATCAGTCTTCTGTTTCAACTTCTCCTGTTATCTTTATTATATTCTTCCTTCTGCTTGTTTTAGGCTTAATATGCTCTTTTCTTTCTGGTTCTTCAAAGTAAGAGTATAGAGAACTGATTTTAAGTCTTTCTCCTTTTCTTATACAATAGTTAAAGCTAGTTTTCTGTGTATATACTAATTTAAGAATCTCAAGAATACATTGTGCTATCATTATCATTCATTCAAAATATTTTCTGATTTCTCTTGTAACTTTTCCTTTTCGACTCATGGATTACATAAAATTACTTATTTAATTTTCAAATGATTTTTCCAGGTATTATTCCTTTATTTATCTTTTTTTGTTTCCTTTTCTTTTTTTTTTTTTTTTCTTACTGCAGGCTTGAACCTCAGGCCTCAAGCAGTCCTTCCTTCTCTGCTTCCTGAGTAGCTAAGATTAAAGGCATGAGTGAATGCTGGCTATTTTGTTTTGTTGTGTAACAATGAGGACCTCATTATGTTGCCCAGGTCCTGCCTTGGCCTCCCAAAGCAGTGGGACTACAGGTGTTTGCCACCATGCCCAGCCTTCTTTATTAGTTTCTAATTTACTTCCATTGTTGTCAGAGAGCATATCAATGACATCAATCCTCTTGAACGTATTGGTACTTGCTTTATAACTCAGCATATAGTCTATCTCACGAAATATTCCACAGTATAGTAAGAAGAACGTATATTCTGATTTTAGGGTAGACTTCTACAAATGTCAATTAAGTGAATTTGGTTAAACTTATTTCAATCTTCTATACTCACATTGATACGTTTGTGTATTCACATCCTTCAATTACTGAGAGAAGAATGTTAAAGTCCCCACCTATAATAGTGGATTTTTCTGTTTGCCCTTTTAGAAAAGTTTCACGTCATTTTTTTAAAGCAAGGTGTTTAGGTGCATAAACATTTAGAATTTTTATGTCTTCTTCATGAATTGGTACAGCTGTTTTAGAAATAAGAAAACTCAGACTCAAGTTAAATACATTTTCAGTAGGTTGGAATGAACTTAGTAACTGGTTCTCTCTAGGGGGATATATAATCATCAAGGGGATAAAAAGAAGACAATACATTTTGAAATCAAATTGCCTCAGACTTTTCTCAGACAACTCACTGATTAGTAGAGAAAGAATGCTTATGGTTGGTTAACAAACTAGAAGGTAAAAACTAGTCTATTACATTGAGCAAAATTACAAAATCTGACTTATCTGATGGTTTATTCTTCACTCTAGGGCACTGGGAAAAGGCCATACTTAAGAAAGGTGATAGAATTTGGTTTGGCTTTTAGGTCATCCTATGTTATCTGAAGTCTTAATTCTGAAGTACTCTTGTTCATTTGAAATAAAAAACTGTTTTGCATTTCTGAATGAAAAAAGCCATAAGCAGTATCAGTCCACTCTAAAACATCAAATGATAGCAAATAACTAGCTAAGACATAATTTAGCCTTATCAAAGTCTTCAAGTTGATTGTGCTTTGATTGTGTTTCCAAAGTTTCTTCTTAAAAGAATGTGCCTGATTAAAGCCACACTTGACATGGATGTTGTTTCCAGAAATCTACATTGATATTTACATAAACACAAGAATGTACAAGTATGAAGTGCATTACACGCTAGGTTGGAAGTGAAATATACGATAGCCAGAAAATATTAGTATTCACTCAGGTGGGAGATATGGGAGTCTTGGGAGTTTCAACATAAAACATTTTAAAAACCAACGTAAATTTCAATGTTGCTGCAGCCAGGCAAGATCTGCCATTGTTAATTATGGGAAGAATGCTTAAGTATGTTAGAAAACAGCCTCATTTGTAAAACACACCAGTGTCTCTACTTTTCTGTCTTCTCTCTGACAGCATTCTTGTGAACTCTTTGTTAACCTATGCCACATTTATCGTTCTGCTCAAAGAGAAGAAATATCAAGGAAAAAAAAAGTGTGTTGAAACATTGCCCAGCCCAGATGAAGAAGTAGAGAAGAATACTATTTCGACAAATTTGAGGGGAAGACAGAGAAAAACAATCTCTGCAAAGAGAGTGGAGGAAGGAAATGCTATTGGCACTGTCAGGAAATATGGCCAAGTAGGAAAGAGAGTGGTAGAAAGAGTTCAAAAGGTAGATTAAGAATATTTTATGACCTATTCCTCCACTGTTCTCAAGTTCCCAGAAATGGCAGAAATCATATTCACAATGAGTTCAGACTCATACTAAGAGAAAATACAATGCGCTGATGGTGGAGACCTGAAAACTCTTTGGAAGATGAATAGAGGATAAACAAGGAAAACCATAGGCAAAAAAAGAGGAGCGGGAGAGAGCAGCTGCCAAAAGATAGAAGCACTCCAGGTGCTCCCTCACCGTAATTACTCATTAGTAAGTATTAGGAGCAGGAGGGACTCTGGAGTAGATGGGACACGCTGGGTGGAATTCTGGTTTTCTGGGCAATGAGACAGGTTGACTATCCTACCCAACACCAATGTCTGCTTGCTAGATAGAGCAGAAGCGCAGGCACTTGGTCTAAATAAAGCGCAATGGGAGTAACTCTGGGACACGTGGGACACCTGAGGGGGAAGGGAGCCCACACTCTCGGGAAGCACACTGGCTCACCTCTCTTGAGACTCATCACCCCAGGTGCTAAGGACACGCTGCAGGGTGCCCAGCCTGGTAGTAGCCTTTCCTCTCTGGCAAATGCTCAAGGGAAGTGGTGGGTAACGACAATATTGTCATAAATAGACTCACAGGAAATCATTCGCATACAGTTAAACAGAGCCAAGCACCCGGCCCATGAAAGGGAGGTACCAAATCCAGCAAATGGTTGAAGAAACAGGAAATTAAGCATGCCAGGACTTTAAAATAGATATTTCTAATATCATCAGTGAGAGGCAAGAAGAGATTTCATTTGTTTAAAAAGTATCCAAAGATCTTCAAAATTTAAGTATTTCTTAACGATAAAAACTCAAAAGAGAGAGTGAATGGACAAAGCTCAAAGTGAACCAGAAGAACAAACCAAAAGTTTTACAGCAACTTACTAAACAACAAATCAAAGGAAAAAAAAGTTAATGTAGTAATGGTAGGAGAGTTTTGTGGCATTTTTTGCCTCGTCCTTGCCCCACGTACTCCCCTCTCGGCGGCAGCCTTGAAGATAGCAGCTCGTGTTTCCAGCATGGAACTCTGATCCCTGGTTATGGAGCGAAAAGAGCAAACCTTATTTAAAAATTAAATTGTGGGTATATTCTAACCTGTCTAGAGGCCACCGGAAAGACTGACTGAATAAATAATTGTTGGTATATATAAACAATGGAGTATTCTTCAGTCTTTAAAAGGAATGTAGTACTAATACCTACTACAATATGAAGGAATCTCAAAAACATTATGTTAGTGAAAGAAGCCAAACAAAAAGGTCATATATTGTATGATGCCATTTATATGAAATATTCAAAATAAGTAAATCCAGAGAAATAAAAAGCCAATTATTGGTTGCCAGTGGCTGAGGGGAGGGGGAATTGGGAAAAATTGCTTGATTGGTATGGGGGTTTATTTTAAAATGAAAATGGTTAAGGACAAGATAAAAGTGGTGCTTACACAACATTATAAATGCACTAGATGCTGTGGACTTATCACATTAAAATGGTAAATTTTATGTTATGTCAATTTCATCTCAAGGGTTTTTTTTCTTATTATTGCAAACACTGCAGGTGCAGAAAATGTATTTTCAACTATAGCCTATACCTGATTTTTCTGTCCTATACATGAAAGACAAAGTAAAATGCTGTGTGAAATATGAAACTGTTCTTTTTAAACCAAAGAGAGGAAGAGATGAGAGAAGGAGGGAAGGAGAGAAATACAACACAAAAGAGAAGGGGTTGAGGTCAGGAGGGAAGGCAGCAGGGAGGTCTAGATGGTACAAACCAGCACATTTTAACCTCAAGGTGGTTAGAACTAAGCAAATATTCTAACTTAGATAGAATTACGCCTTCTTTAATGATTCCTCAGAAATAGGAAACATTACACACATAACTGGGGTGACTTAACCAAATAGAGCTTGTCACTAGTCATGTCATCTAAAACTTACCTCAAAACTTTTCCTACACTGCACTCTTTCCAAAACTCAGCCAAAGAAAATAGTCTGGAACATTGAAGTTCCCCATTACATGATCTGGTCTTTTTCAGATGTTTAAACTACAAAAGTGAAAAGCTCATTCATTATTTGATATCTGTCCAGTTCTACCAATATACGTTCATCTATTTTTAAAAAGACAGAGGGAGTTTGCTGGGGTTCGGGGGGGCGTTGATAATTTGTAATAGAGAGCTAGAAGATTAAATATTTACCTTCCAAAAGGTTATGACTTTAGGTATTGGTTAAACAATGGAATTCCTGAACTGGCATGCTGTGATGAGGTCCTACATTACGGAAAATCCATTCATTTCCACCTGGTGAAATCTGCCAGGCTGGTGGTGGCATTCAAATGAGTAGGTCCAGAAACCAGTTTCCAATAAACAGGGACTCTGTACAATAGAATACTAAGCAAACAGCCATCAGAGAAGAGCTTAGGGAGAGCGCCCAGAGCCAGCACCTCCCCACTGTGAGTTTAGAGTGGATAAATTCAGTGTATTCGGTCTAAGGAGGAGATTTATTAAGAAGAAGCTTCATGCTGTCAAACAGAGCCCCACTAGCCCCACATGGAAAATGCAGTTTCTGAAAAAGTCAAGAGGACAAGGACTGAAATTAGGATTTCATAATTTCTCAAGCTTTAAACTGAAATGTGAATAAAATCGTGAGTTAATTAGCCTTGTTGATCAAATCTGAAAATGTTGTGAAATAGAATTAAAGGATGTATTACGGTGTTTCATCTCTAATCATGCTATGATCACCCTACCAAGGTAGTTTCAAATTCTCTGAAATAGGAACATGGATGTACTTATAAAGGAAGTAATTCTAGAAACAACGCTCTCACACTGTAGGCGCATGTGCCATGTCTATGAGAACACACACTTAGGTGAGCCTGAATCCACACTGACAAATAAGATGTACGAGTGCTTTGCTTAGAAGTGAAATTATTTTCTGGAGCATTTATTCATGCTGTGCCTCAAGTTAACCTCAATAGAGGCAATTCTAATAGCCCGAGCTATTTGGGGACAGCATTAAATGTAACACAACACATTTTGCACAGTTTTAAACTTTATCTTAGTCTCATTTTCCTTATTTTTTTTTTATTTTTATTTTTTTTGAGACCGAATTTCTCCTTGCCACCCAGGCTGGAGTGCAGTGGCATGATCTCAGGTCACTGCAACCTCCACCTCCCAGGTTCAAGAGATTCTCCTGCCTCAGCCTCCCGAGTAGCTGAGATTACAGGCGCCCGCCCCCACGCCCAGCTAATTTTTGTATTTTTAGTAGAGAAAGGGTTTCGCCAATGTTGACCAGGCTGGTTTTGAACTCCTGACCTCAGGTGATCCACCCTCCTTAGCCTCCCAAAGTGCTGAGATTACAGGTGTGAGCCACCACTCCCAGTTCATTTTTCTTTAATGTGATCTTTTCTCTATTATATTTAATGGAATCACCCACACATTATGGTTGTGGAATTGTATAGTAGGGGCATGTTAAATTTTTAGAAATGCCAAATTATTTTCCAGAGTGTTTGCACTGCATTACATTCCTACCAGCAATGTGTAAAAGACTGCACCATCATTGTAAATGTCAAATGTGGTATGTCTTTCTTCCATTATATCATATCATTTTGGAATAGCATCGCTGAGTATAGCCTGCTTATCATCTTACTTTCTTCTTCACAGTATAGTAGTTTTTGTCTGGTAAGTATTTTTTAAAGATTGAATTGACAGATATATCAACGAATATTTCCTATTCCCTTCTTTAATTTGTCAGGTCATTAGGCCACACAGTGCCTTCAAGATGCCCACAGAGTAGAGTCACCACCACAGAATAGAGCCATTCAGTGCCAGGGAGGATGCCTCTGATGCTATTTCAGCTGGACTCACCCTGGTCTTCTGTCTCTCTCTTTTTTTTTTTTTTTTTTTTTTTTTGAGACAGAGTTTCACCCCTGTTGCCCAGGCTGGAGTGCAATGGTGCAATGGTGCAATCTCGGCTCACTGCAACCTCTGCCTCCTGGGTTCAAGCGATTTTCCTGCCTCAGCCTCCCAAGTAGCTGGGATTACAGGTGCCCGCCACCAAGCCCAGCTAATTTTTTTGTATTTTTAGTAGAGATGGGATTTTTCCATGTTGGTCAGGCTGGTCTCAAACTCCCGACCTCAGGTGATCTGCCTGCCTCAACCCCCAAAGTGCTGGGACTACAGGCGCGAGCCTCCGTGCCTGGTCCCTGGTCTTCTCTTGAATGTATCACTTACCTTTGGATACTGAATATAGTTTTCAACACTTATATGTTAGTGTTCTCTAGAGGGACAGAACTAATAAGGTAGATGTACATATAAAGAGGAGTTTATGAAGGAGAATTGACTCACACAAGGTGAAGTTCCACAATAGGCTGTCTGCAAGCTGAAGAGCAAGGATGCCAGTCCAAATCCCAAAACCTCAAAAGCAGGGAAGCCGACATTGCAGCTTTCAATCTGTAGTTGAAGCTCCAAGAGTCCAAAAGCTGAAGAACTTGGAGTCTGATGTTCGAGGGCAGGAAGCATCCATCACGGGAGAAAGAAGGAGGCCGGAAGACTAAGCTAGTCTAGTTTTTCCATGTTCTTCTGCCTGCTTTATCCTAGCCTCCCTGGCGGCTGATTAAAGGGTGCCCACCCAGGTTGAGGGTGGGTCTGCCTCTCCCAGTCCACTGACTCAAGTGTTAATCTCCTTTGGCAACACCCTCACAGACACACCCAGGAACAATACTTTGCATCCTTCAATCCAATCAAGTTGACAGTCAATATTAACCATCACAACTTAGATCTGAAGTCAGTCTTTTCATTTCTATCATCAATGTCTGGATCTGAACTAAATTTTTGCAAGCTCCCCCACTAGGTTTTCTAGTACCAATTTTTGTTGTTTCCCCTTTGTTCCAACTTTTGTTGCTGATGCTACTTCTGGCGATAATGGGATAAGTGAATTATAGGTGTGTCATGATAACTTGGTTGCAAGATTCCGTTGTCATCTGGGTTTATAATGATCTTTTATGTTTTAAATTCTTTTGAAATCATTATAGACTCCTGGGAAGCTGCTAAAATAGTACATAGAATCCCATAATACATTTTACCCAGGTTCCATCTGGTGACATCTTGTATCACTGTAGTACAAAATCAAAAGCAGGAAATTGACATTGGTACAATACTGCTCACTGGACAATCGATCTTATTCGTTTTCACCAGTTTTTACGTAAGTTCATTTGTGTGTATGTGTGTGTGTGTAGTTCTATTCAATTTGATTCCATTTATAGATTTGTGCAACCACCACCATAAACCAAGACAGAACTGTTCAGTCACTACAAAGAAACTACCTCAGGCTATCCCTTTATAGAAACACCAGCTCCCCTCCCTTGTCTCTGTCCATGGAAATCAAAAATCTAATTTCCATCTTTATAATGTTTTCTTTTTGAGAAAGTTATATAAATGAAATTACACAGTATGTATTTTGAGATGGCTTTGAGTTCATCCCAGTTGTGTGTATCAATAGTTCCTTTTTCTGTTTGTTTGGTTTTTGCTGAGTGGTACTATTACATTGTATGAATACACCAGACTATATTTAACCATTCACTTGCTGAAGGACATTTATGTTGTTTCCACTTTTTGGCTATTATGAATAAAGCTGCTGTGAACATCTGTGTACAAGTTCTTGCATGAACGTAACTTTTCATTTTTCTGGGATAGATGCCCAGGAGTGTGAGTGCTGGGTTGTACGTAAGTGCATGTTTACTTTGATAAGAAACTGCCAAATTAATTTCCATAGTGGCTGTACCATTTTGACATTCCCTCCAGCAGTGTGGGAGAGAGACAGTTTATCCACATCCTCACCAGCATTTGGTGTAAGCATTGGTTTTTATTTCAGCTGTTCTAATAGGCGGGTGGTGATATGGTATTGTGGTTTTAACTCACACTTTCTCAGTGGAACATCTTTTCGAGTTTATTTGCTGTCTATATCTCTTTTTGGTGAAAAGTCTGTTCATGTTTCTATTAGTTTGCTAGGACTGCCATAACCCACCACAGCCTGCATGGCTTAAACAACAGAAATACTTTTCTCACAGTTCTGGAATCCAGGAGTCCAAGATTAAGGTGTTGGTTTGGTTGACCAAAACAGAGGTGTTGGTGTT
This sequence comes from Homo sapiens, assembly GCF_000001405.40. NCBI lineage: Eukaryota > Metazoa > Chordata > Mammalia > Primates > Hominidae > Homo > Homo sapiens. Next base: position 12,492,234 of record NC_000017.11, on the reverse strand, counting down.
GGTCAGAGTAACAAGGTTTGGTTTCTTCTGAGGCACCTTTCCTTGGCTTGCAGTTGGCCATCTCCGTGCTGTGTCTCACATGGTCTTTCCTCTGTGAATCCCCAGGGTCTCTGCTGTATCCTGTGGGGCCTCTCCTGTGCCCTAATTTTCTTTTTTTTTTTTCTTTTCCTTTCCTTTCTCTCCTTTCTCTTCTCTTCTTTTCTTTTTCTTTTTCTTTTCAAGACAGAGACTCTGTTGCCAGGCTGGAATGCAGTGGCCCGATCTCTTGGCTCACTGCAACCTCTGCCTCCCAGGTTCAAGCGATTCTCCTGCCTCAGCCTCCCAAGTAGCTGGGATTACAGGCACGCCCCATCACGCCTAGCTAATTTTTGAAGTTTTAGTAGAAACGGGGTTTCACCATGTTGGCCAGGATGGTCTCTATCTCTTGACCTGGTGATCTGCCTGCCTCGGCCTCCCAAAGTGCTGGATACAGGCGTCAGCCACCTTGCCCGGCCTAATTTTCTTTTCTTATAAGGACTTCATCAGATTGGATTAAGCCACCTTAACGGTCTTATTTTAACTTAATCACCTTTTTAAAGTTCCCATTTCCAAATACAGTCACATTCTGAGATACTGGGGGTTAGGGCTTCAACATATGAATTGGGGTACGGGGGACAAAATTCAGCCCATAACAGTGTATTCCATTCATTTCTGAATTCAATTGTTTGTTTGTTTTGCTGTTGAGTGTTAAGAGTTCTTTCTAGGCCAGGCATGGTGGCTCACACCTGTAATCCCAGCACGTCTGGAGGTTGAGGCAGCTGGATCACCTGAGGTCAGGAGTTCAAGACCAGCCTGGCCAACATGGTGAAGCCCCGTCTCTACTAAAAATACAAAAAAAATTAGCTGGGAGTGGTGGTGGCCGCCTGTAATCCCAGCTACTTCAGGAGGCTGAGGCAGGAGAATTGCTTGAACCCGGGAGGCAGAGGTTGCAGTGAGCTGAGATTGCACCATTGCACTCCAGCCTGGGCAACAAGAGAAAAACTCTGTCTCAAAAAATAAAAAATAAATAAGAGTTTTTATATATTTGGGACACAAGTCATTTCTTGCATGTATAGTTTGAAAATATTTTCTCCTAGTCTGTATCTTGCCTTTTCATCCTCTTAAGTTTTTTCTCAGAGCAAAAGTTTTAAATGTTGATGGGGTCCAGTGTACCAAATTTTTCTTTTATGAATTGCATTTGCAAGGTCATGTCCAAGAACTCTCTGCCCTGGGTTTAGTTTTATCATATCCTTTGTCATTTCAAAAATTTCTATAGGAAACATGTATTGTTTATGTCATTCATTACATGGACGATTATATCACTCAGGATTTCCTGTATGAAATCCCGGCTGAAGGATGACTTTTAGAACACTGCTTCTCAAACTAATGTGCATATATATCGTCTGGGATCTTGTTTAAATGCAGATTCTAATTGTTTTCACTTCCAACAGATGCTAATGCTGATGGTCCAAAGAAATTGTAGAATTCAGTGTTCCTCTGATATCTGATCATGGGAAAGAGATAACAAATCAAATCATGTCTTCTTTTTCATGGGAGAAAAGAAGACTTAAATTCAGAGTGTAAATACGGCACATGGGTTGACTTATGTTTGTCATTGTTGTCTTTGTATTTCCTTTGTCTGATTTTCTGTTTTTATTTCTAGTTTTTATTTCAGTAAATGTATTCTTGTAAATTTTTTCAAAAACACTGAGAACAAGGTATATTACAAATACAAATAAATGATTAAGCATGAAAAAGAGATCTTCTCTTCCCTGCATACTCAGGAATGGCTCCTGTTCATTGCGTTTTTTCTCTCAACCTATTGATGTCAATATTTCCTAGAATACATTTTAAATATATCATTTTATATAACATTAGACATTTTGAGTTGTTATGATTTCTTTTTCCTAAATTATCTGTGACTTTCACATTGACAGTTACTTCTTCCTTCTTAAAAATTACATTCTAATGTGCTAGGCTGTGCTGAGGACAGAATCTTATACACAATGTTGTTTAATCAACATTTATCAATGGAATTACTTCTTGCAAATTTAATATTCTACTGTCAGCAACACAGGACAAAAATGTAGTCATTATTCAGCTTTTTTACTAAATGTGACGTTCATCAGTTGCATAGCGAGCTGTTTCCATCATGACAATATGTTGCCTCTGTGCCAATTTTGCAAATTTTGTTTGCAACTCCTCAGGCTGGCCATGCCATTCACAATATATTTCAACAATGATTTTACTTATTCCTTTATTCTTTTGACCATATGACTTTCCATTATAATGATCAACTTACGTGAATCTCCCCCATTTAATTTTGAATTGTTTAGAGACAAGAGTGATTGTTTTTTCATATGTTAATCCCCAGTATTTGGCATACTGAGTAGAATTTAGTAGTTGCTTAATATTTTCTTAAATAAATCAGTATGTCTTTAAAAACCCTAGAATGCAATTCATCTTGTCCTTCTATTTGATCTGATTCTTATAAAAAGCATTATATGTTCAAATAAAATAAGCTTTATCAAGTGTTAAAAATGGCTTCAGATAACACAAAATATGCTTGTGATATATATTTCTGAGCTTTCTGGAACATACTGCATTTTCCTACACTGTTTATGTTGGCATATATAGATAGCTGAGATCACAGATACTGTCTCCAGTGAATTCCCATATTATATTCATGTGCAAATGTGAATGCAATCTTCGCATTACTGTCACCCTAAGAAACTGATTTTGCATTGTATCTGAGCGGTTTTTTTTCTTTTTTATGTACAGAAAGCCCAGGTCTTGAGTGATTTTTGTACGTCTTACAAATGCTGTGTGCATAGGCCTTTTGAAATCACTGCAAACCTTGGTAGACTCCTATTCTGATATACCAAGGTCACTTTGCATCTTTTGTAAATATTCAAGTCACTTAGCTGCAATTCACTTCTTTATCTTGAAAATACCACCTGTGCACACAGGTGCTTCCATTTTTCTAGCCTGAAGTTTATCATGGCAAGAAACGCCTTTCAGGTTTTTTTTAGTTGTGGCATTGATTCATTCACATCTGATTCTGCACCTGGCAACTGAGGGACTGGTGAATCTTTGCAGGTAACATTCTTCCATAACTCTTTGCCATCTAAGAAATACAGTCTCCTTCTTAACTTACTCAGAGGGTTTATACACAATTCTCTCCCTCAGTAACAGTCTATGATTCACCACAACTCTTCCCCTGGTTACTGGAATGAGTTTCCTTCCTCCTGTAGGTGATCCATAGCTCATGCAATGGTATCTGTCCTTCACAGCTGCTGGAACTGCAGAGCAGGGGCAAAGCCCTCTATTTACTGTATAGCTTCAAGGATATGGAGTTCCTTTATTGGGGTCTCTAGGCAGTAAAGGATACCAAGTCTCATAGATGATCTGGAATGTCTGATTCTGCTCTAGTATGGAGTTGAAGCTTCTTTGTAACCAGCCACTTTTCAATGATGTCAGTGCCTTGGGAACAAGGCTGAACTATACACAATAAATTAAAAGGAACAATAACCTTGGGAACTTACACGTGGAAAAACCGTTTCAGCAGGCATAGTGATACAAACCAGTAAGCTATCATTCCAAGGGGGACAGAGACTCATCAAAGTATGCAGAGCTAGTTTCCAGTGGCAGTACTAGTAGGATGAAGAGAAACAGCAGACCACAGTAGTCAGAAAGTGCGAGTATTGGCTGGTAGCGGTGGCTAATGCCTGCAGTCCCAGCACTTTGGGAGGCCGAGGTGGGCAGATCACGAGGTCAGGACTTTGAGACCAGCCTAGCCAATACAGTGAAACCCCGTCTCTACTAAAAATACAAAAATTAGCTGGGTGTGGTGGCACGTGCCTGTAGTGACAGCCACCCGGGAGGCTGAGGCAGAAGAATCACTTGAACCCAGGAGGCGGAGGTTGCAGTGAGCTGAGATCACCACTGCACTCCAGCCTGGACAACAGAGTGAATTTCATCTAAAAAGAAAAAGAAGAAAGTGCTAGTATTTTCTCTGCCTCTCATTTAGAAACATAGGAACTCTTTTAGACTGAGGTTCTTGGACAATTCAAGCATGAAGATGGAAGCTTCCCAGGAGATTCTCATAAAGGAATGTGAGTTCTTAAGTTTAAAATGAAATTCTGCATGTGAATCAAGCTGATGAGTTAATCATATAGGTAACAATTCATACATAGTATTTTATATTAATACAATTGTAAGCAATGTTCCATAAATACATTAATTGTTAGTAACGATAGATATTATAAAACCCTTCAGGGTAGTTTCTATGTGAGGAGCTTGGCAACAGTCCACGGTCACGGTACCATGAGGGTCAAAATCAAAATCAACTCGGAAGGTAATTCCAAGTTGGTTTCAATTACCCACACACTCATCTCTAAGTAGTGGCTCTATTTTTTTTAAAAAACCTACTTATAGAAATAAAATTATATTAAGGTGGGGATTGTCAAATAGAGAGTGATGGAGTAGTGTGATGAGGGGCAAACTAGAATTGACCTAGGGGATTTCTTCCCAACAAGGAGTACCTATTTTTGTCACTTGAAACTCTTCAGTTTAAACTAGATACAAGTTTCAATGCAGATAATCTCATATGCATGGGGAGGATTTTGTTATTACTCATAAAACCAAAGAAAAGGCTGAGGGATCCAGGACCTGAGCTATTATTACCCTTGGACTCTAAGCAGCCAGAGAAGAGCGAGATATGGGTCAAATGTAAAGATTCTGCAGTCAGAATGCCTAGTTCAGCTACTGATCCTGTGGCTCATTAGCTCTATGACCTTGGACAGTTACTGAAGCTTTCTGTGCCTCAGTTTCTTCATCGTATTTATCTCAGGAGTTATTAAGAGAATTAAGTTTATGCTTGATATGGAATTAAAACACTATTAATAACAATTCTGCTTATTGGCTTCTACTTTTCTTTGTGGGTTGAGCTCATTTCCTTTTGCAGAGAGGCTGTGACAGTTAATAGTGAGTATCAACTTAATTGGATTAAAGGACACAAAGTATTGTTCCTGGGTGTGTCTGTGAGGGTGTTGCCAAAGGAGATTAACATTTGAGTCAGTGGACTGGGAGAGGCAGACCCACCCTCAATCAGGGTGGGCACCATCTAATCAGCTGCCAGCACTGCTAGAATAAAGCAGGCAGGAGAAGATGGAAGAGCAGACTTGCTGAGTCTTCCAGGCTTCATCTTTCTCCTGAGCTGGATGCTTCCTGCCCTCAAACACCAGACTCCAAGTTCTTCAGCTTTTGGACTCCTGGACTTACACCAGTGGTTTGCCAGGGGCTCTTGGGCCTGTGACCACAAACAGAAGGCTGCACTATCGGCTTCCCTACTTTTGAGGTTTTGGGACTCAGACTGATCCACCACTGGCTTCTTCGCTCCTCAACTTGCAGATGGCCTATCGTGGGACTTTACCTTGTGATTGTGTGAGTCAATTCTCCTTAATAAACTCCCTTTTACCTATAAATTTGTCCTATTAGTTCTGTTCCTCTAGAGAGCCCTTACTAATACATAGGCCTTCTTCAAGTGGCAGATTTCTAAGTCCTCCAGCTTAGAATTCCCAAAAGAGAGCATTTCCTTCACTTGCAGTTTATATGTAGATCCAGAAGGACTCAGGTTGGCTTTGTTTGAGTTGTGTGTTCACCTCTGCAACCCAACATGGTTGTTAAGAAGATGGGATATTGGACTTGGTCATATGATGAAGATGAGGATAGACGCTATTATGCAGAGAAGTGACACGATGTATGGGAAAGTTTGCTAGACACACAAAACAACAGCTGCCTCAAGTCCTCAAAAGTCTCTTTAAGGATAGGCATTCTTCCTGTCCGGGGGTGAAAGTCACTGAATAGTAACTGCTGTTGCTGCTAAGAACTGTACATATACCAAATGTAATTGAATATGTACCTAATGTAATGCATTGGATTCTTATTTGTTTCCTACAACATCAGTAGGAAGGAAATACTATTATTATTCACATTCAACCTCTGCAGGAATGAAAACAAAATGAGTTCAATGTTTTAATGATTTTTTTTTTTTTTAGTTGTCCATCTTCCCCGTAGAGTGTAAGATCTGTAAGGGCAGGGACTTTGTTTTGTGAATCTGTATCTCCGGTGGCTAGAACAGAGGCTCGCATGTAGTTCAAGCTCAAAAGTCCTTTGTGGAGTGAACGAGTGAATAAACAAAGTTGCCCAGGCTCCCACAGCTAGTATAAATGGTGTGGTGGTCAATCAAACCTACAGTTCTCTGTCCCTGGGTCAGAGACTTGAGTAGGCTTCTAACCACTATTCAAGTCAAAGTCAGTGCATTGTATTTCCTAGGGAGTTGAGACAAAAAAAAAAAAAAAGTGGCTTCATTTGTTTTCTGTAGAAAACGACTGTTAAAACATAAACATCTTACCTAGAAGGGTAACACACTAAACACATTACCAGCCATTATCGTGTCAGCCCCTAACACCCTTGTCTCTCAACAAAGATAATTCACATGACAGGATGACACACAGCATGGGAATGTTGAAATGGTGAAGCTGTGTCAGGTTGGGGAAGAGTTCGTATAAAAGACTGGAAACTTCTTCAGCACAGAGAGGAGTCCTGCTGTGAGATGGTGGGAGGGAGAAACTACTGGAAGAGAAAGGACACTGAAGGGCTGCAAAGTGGAGGAGAGTGAAAGGGAGAAGTGAGGAAAAGGGCGGAACAGAGGAACAAGTGGCTCCTGGCTCTGAACTCCAGTGTTCCAGAATTCCCAATTCAAACAGAGACCAGTCCTGCCCCTGGGGCCCTTGGAGCTCCAGTAGTCATTCTCCAGATGGTCTGGACCCTGTACTTCTTTCTAGGCCTGACATAGTGGTGAAAGAACTCAATGGTCTTCTTTGGCAGCACGTTTGGAGGATGGCTTAGCTGGAAGGAGGCATCTCTTTTATGCCAAGAAGCACATTCTCTTGGCTTAGAGGGAGCCATTTACAATGGTGTGGCAAGGGAAGGGGTGGGTGGGGAGGCCTGGACTCCCAGCAGACTTTCTGCTGTGGATTAAGGCATTGGAAGTGAGAAACAGTGGTCAGTTCATAAGTTATGAAATAAGAAGTCTAACTGTATGTAGTTAACCATTTCAGTCTTTCTTCATATCAGTCACTCAAATCATATGAACGCTGGGGTCACAACCAAAATTGTGATTCAGTTGAGCAGGTATTAAACCTCACACGTGGATAAAAATACATACATACATATAAATATACACACACATTTATTCTCATTATATAAATATTACAAATAGATAGAGTTATTCTCATGATTAATTGTAATACCTGTGCTTCCTTCTTTGTATGTTTCACAGGTATACTTGGTCCAAACATGCTTTTTTCTTTCACAGAATGTGAAAAAGAAGAGAAAAAGTGGAGAAGAGCAATATGGTTGATGAAAGGGAGAACAGGACCTGTTGAGCACTACAGTATATTTTGAAACTCGACTTTGAGTTCAGCAAAATAATTTTAAGATAAAAGTTATACAGGTTGAATATTCCTTATCTGATATGCTTGGGACCAGAAGCGTTTCAGATATTGGGTTTTGGAATATTTGCATTATATTTACTGGTTGAGCATTCTAAATCTGAAAATCCAAAATCCAAAATGTTTCAATGAGCATCTCTTTTGAGTGTCATATCATTGCTCAAAAAGTTTTGCATTTTGGATTTCCAAATTAAGGATACTCCATCTGTGCTGCAATTTCCTCAGAGAAGATCTATGGCAACATTATTTTGCCAGTTATTTACTTCACCCTCAAAAAAAGGGAGTGTTAAATATCTTTGAGGACTTCAGGGACCACGGCTCAACCTGAAAGGAGACTATAAAGCTGGATAAATGTGTGACTCATTGCCTCTTGCTGAACTATAACATTCTGTTTCCTTAGAACTCATTTTCCATGACAATTACATGTTTATTTCTAGGGTTAAAGAGCTAAAGATAAATAGGATTAAACATGGGGACAACCACAGGGTACTTCCAGGCACCGAGGCACTGCGTTCTAGAGCAATGTGGAGTTCTGCAGAGGGGAATCAGAGTAGAAGAGAGCCAAGCAGCTTGAAATAGGCACAAAGCTCTTGTATTCTGAACAGAAATAGAATCGCAGGTAAGAAGAAAATGAGAACACATGAGAATACAGGTGTCTTCCAAACCCCTTTCATATTTCCAATAAAAGCCCCCAGGATACTGAGGGAAGATCCCAACCTACAACTACCCTCCCTTCCTGCATCATCAGTTTCTTTCTCCTGGAGTATAACCTGGTTGTCAGCATCTATATATACCCTAATGTTTTCTATCCCCCAACTCCAGCTTTACTGAGGTATAATTGACAAATAAAAATTGTATATATTTACTGTGTACACTGTGATGTTTTTGTATATGTAGATACTGTGAAATGATTACCACAATCCAGCTAATGAACATATCCATTATGTCACATTATCATCTTCATATCAGTTTCACAGGGCCTTGAAATTTTTCATCTGTATTGGACAATTGGTCAATTTCTTTAACATTCACTTGCACTGTTTGAATTAGGAAAGGTTTTAGCTACTTATGGACATGTTTTATCCCTTAGGCCCCAGAAAGCCTGGCTGTTGTTTTGCAAGAAAATATAAAACTGCGTTCATTCCTCCAACAATGAATATTTGCTTTCCGAATGTCACATTTCTGCCCCAATGTAGTATCTTTCTGTCTACATGATCACTTTTCGTTTCAAAGCTAAATCATAAGGTAATCTTTTTGAAGACATTTTCAAAGACAATGAAGCTCGGCACCAGCAAATATACACAGGTAACTCAATTGAACTGATGACACTACTATAGCTTTAGCCAAGTTTGCACACATGAATGCAGTGAGAATTGCATGACTGCTGCCTATCTGCCAGCAGTGGTATGATGTCATTATTGTAAAATACATCCCAATCTCAGAGATATTAAAACGTGAAACTGTCTTAGAATAAATCAAATATGATACACACTCATTGTTTATTATTTATTGTCTCCTTCCTCCACAAGCATGTAAGCTCTATGAGTGCAAGGACTTATTTTATTCCTCAAATTCATCTCTGCATCCCAAGCTTCTAAAACAGAGATTGACTGGCATAGAGTAAGCGCTCAATAAAAGCTTCTCAAATGAATGAGTGAATGAATGGTTCAATGAATAAGCACCCGAAACAAGAGAAAATCTAATACATGCCAGAAACTTTGAGGAATTGCTATTACAATAGAAGGTTGATGAGTCTATATTGAAACAAAGCCAATCTGATATATAAACTGCAGCATTATGGAGGAAAAGGGAAGAACTCATAGCAGATCTACTGCAAGCTTCATGACTTAGAGGGGGCATGCTGAAGGTGAAGGACAGCCAGGGGACAGTCAAGGGCCACATCTGGGATGTATCTCCAGTTCCTTGGCACTAAAGTTGACCCTGAATGGGAAGCTCATAATGCTACTATCTCTCCTTACCCTTGATCTTGGCTGACATACCAGAAAAACAAAAACAAAAACAAAAAGAAACAAAACAAAACAAAACAAAACAAAACAGGATGACTATAATGGCTGGATCCCAATGAGAATGAAGGTGATGCCTTGCCAATAATGGGGTCTCTGTTCCAGGTAACTGCTGACTGCTGCAGCAAAAAAAAGCAAAACAAACAAACAAAAAAACAGCAAAACAATTCTTTGGAAGAGGTGACATTTTCTGAGACGTTGCCTCCAGCTTTGGTCACCCTCCTCTTCCCCAGGCTTCTGGATCTCTGAATCTGTAAAGTCAAAACGACCATCGACCGAAACCTAAACTGTTAAAAACCTCAACATTTCTTTGCTTCTTCCATCTGGACTGGAACTATTTAACCAGGATTTACATCAGTCTCTGAAAGGACCCATTTTAATGTCCAAAAGGGGTAAATAAGGGCTGTGCATGGTAGCTCATGCCTGTAATCCTAGCACTTTGGGAGGCCGAGGTGGGCTGATCACTTGAGGTGAGGAGTTCCAAACTAGCCTGACCAACAAGGGGAAACTCCATGTCTACTAAAAATACAAAAAAAATTAGCCAGGCATGGTGGCAGGCGACTGTAATCCCAGCTACTCCGGAAGCTGAAGCAGGAGAATTGCTTGAACCCAGGAGGCGGAGGTTGCTGTGAGCTGAGATCACGCCACTGCACTCTAGCCTGGTCAACAGAGTGAGACTCTGTCTCAAAAACAAAGACAATAAAGAAAACCAAAAGGAGTAAATAAGTGTTTCCTCCCAACCCCTGTTCCTTCTCAGGTTAACGAGACAGAAAACCACCAGATCTATGAAAAGGATTCCACAGCTCAGAATACAAGTGCTGATATGGATAAGCAGAATGAATGTCTTCCTAGGAAATAGTAATTTCTGGAAACAGGACACAATTCTACAAGATGTCTTATGCATGTTCCAACTGGGAATTAAGATTACAGTGAGACTTCTGGTTTCAAAGAGTATCTAAGGAATATCCTCCTAGGTAGCATTTCCCAGGTCCTCACTAAAATCGCAACAAGACTCAAACAAGAAAAACACTTCACAGTCTGGTTGACAAATTAAATTTATAGAGAACTTAATGCCGAGACATGGAAAGAACTGGGTTTCTTATATGACAGACAGAATTAGGTGAAGAAAAACTTGTGCAGGCCCTACTTTTATGATGCAGCTTATCTTTGCTTTATGAAGAAACTACCTCAAGAAGACATCTATGAATCTACCTCAAGAAGAGATCAGACTCTCTGAAGTCCCACAAAATGTGGCCCCAGACTCAGAGATGGAGGAACTCAACCCACTAGATAGGCAGATCCAGGTTATCTTGAGTCTGGAACTTATACAATGTGTGGACCTTCTTTAGGTAAAAGAATATAAACTTAGCCACAAATGAGATTTTTGTTTAGAGTGAGAAAATAAATCACAACAGATTAAAAATTTTGAAAATTGACAAATACAGCAAACATCATAAACACCCAAAAATTGTGCTTAATATTTTAAAAATAATTAACTGCCTATCATGATACTTTCCCTACATTTCTTGACTGTACACTCTTTGATCACCTTTTCAAATAATGACAATGAAAAGTTTCTTTTAGCTTCCCAAGAACATTAGTAATATTATAGAAATTATTAAGATTGTTATACATTTGGGAAATCTACATAATGTTTCTTTCACATTGTGAGATTTAGAAGAACTTTCCATAGACTTACTTTTGGTTTGAGACATGTCAATCCTCAGGTGCTGGGTGACCCAGGACATAGTCATGTCTTGATATGAGGTGACCTCTGGCCCTGAATTCTGCTGTCTCAATGAAGCTGATACAGTGGCCATAGGAGTTTACCTAGAAACTACACCAGGACTTTGTACACAGTCCTACACCAGTACTGTGGTCAGTAACTTAATTCATAAAAGAAACTGCAAAACACATAAATATATGCCATTAAATGTAAACTGAATGAAATTATTCTACACAGATCTCCAAATCCCTGAGGCTGTGCCATGGGCTGGATTCATTTTCCATTTCCCTCACTCAAGAGAGCAAAAAAACGTGGTTTCCATGCAATAAGACTAACAATCTGAGGGAGAAAGTGGGCTTAGGGTGAAAATATAGAAATAAAAGATGAACAATGATATGTTTAAGCTAAAAAAGTGCTAATATTAAAAGAAAAGAAGAAATAAAGAAGACCAAACCAAGAAGACAGGATTTAAAATCTGGACCTCAACTAGCACCTCATATTTTTAGCTGAGGCCCTATTTAGGTAAAATAGAAAAACATAAATGGTTCTAGAGATCAGTATCTAGGGTGATTTAACTATAAGCATGTTGCCTGCAGCTATAAAGGAAGTAGGTATGTTAGAGAAGTATGTCTCGTTATATAGCTCCAAAAATCACCAGGAGTAAAACATCTTCATGTCCCATTGCAATTATTTTCTCAATACCTTCAAGCCTTCCATTATTCCTGGTCCTCCTTCTGATTGTAAATATCAAGATATCCTGCAGCACGTGTGTTTCCCATAACTTCTTTCTGATCATGCTGACTGTTCCCAACCTCACTCCTGGATGCCTCTCCTTATTGTAGCAGCTCTCTCTGCTCTGTTTCTCCCCCAAATAGAAATACACCCACCCTCTCCTTTTTCCTCAATGCACAACTCACATATAATTATTGTGTGAATTTATTTTCCTGAATATTTGAGGCTATTTGAATTCATCTTCCTGTCTAAGAGCGCACACAAGTGAACTGTCTATTCTAGAGCAAGTAGGTGATCTGGCAGACAATGCTGCATTTGCCAGCAGTCTAGGTAACCCAGGGAAGCCTTGGGCAGTGACTTTGCCTGTCTATGACTTCACTGCCTCATGTGTTAAAAGAGGAAGAAAAAAATAGGAACCCAGCAAAATACCAAAATGGGCTTTATAGCGGCCTAAACGGGTTAATATACATTAATATAAAGTGCTAACAATAGTGCCTGACACCTAAGCAATAGCTACTGCTACGCATTATCTCCCTTCTCGGCCTTCCCCAGTGCACTTTGTTATAGTATTAGTAATGGTACTGAAAAATCAAAAGCAGATGAAATATTAATAGAAGATTCATTAAATGCTAAATAAGGTGTATTAATAAGCTAGACTATCGTGCAATTGTGAGAAATAATGATCAAGATTTATTTACATAAAAATTTATCTAGAGTGTCAAATGTTAAAAAAAGATCACTGAATGGTATGTATGATGTTTTACATATTCATATGCATATGTGTATAAGTGTGTGTGTGTGTGTGTGTGTGAAAACAAGGAAACAGTCTGTTCAAATAGATGCCAACACATATAATAGTGGTTCCTTCCTAAGATTATGATGTGCAATTTCCAATAGCAGGAGACAAAATAACACTGAATATTAGATACTGTCGTTCTTTTTTTTCAGTCTTTTTTGTGACTGGCTTATTTTACTTCTCATAGATTTTTTGCCAATTTTTTTCAAGCTTAATTAAAGTAAAGTGACAAATTCTATGATTTTAAGGTATTCAATGTGATGATTTCATATACATATCTCTTGTAAAATGATTTACCACAATCCAGTTACTTAACATACCTACACATCTATTACTGCATCTAGTTACTCTTTTTTTGTGATTAAGTGGTGAGACCACTTAAGCAAATTTCAAGTATGCAATTAAGTATCATTAACTATAAGCACTGTGCTGTATATTAAATGTCCTGAAATTATTCATCCTTTTATTTTATTTTTATTTTTTTGAGACAGAGTCTTGCTCTGTCACCCAGGCTAGAGTGCATCAGCATGATCTCGGCTCATTGCAACCTCCGCCTCCCAGGTTCAAGCGATTCTCCTGCCTCAGCCTCCCAGATAGCTGGGATTACGGGCACCCAACACCACGCCTGGCTAACTTTTTGTATTTTTAGTAGATATGGGGTTTCACCATGTTGGCCAGGCTGGTCTCGAACTCCTGACCTCAGGTGATCCACCCGCCTCAGCCTCCCAAAGTGTTGGGATTACAGGCATGAGCCACTGTGCCCGGCCGAAACTATTCATCTTATAAATGAAAGTTTATACCATTTGACCAACATCTTCTCTTTTCCCTTAACCCTCTGCCTGTGGTAACCACTGTTCCGCTTTCTGTTCCTATGAGTTCTCGAAAAATTAAAAATAGAACTACCATATGGCCCAGCAATCCCTCTTCTGGGTATATATCCAAAGAAAATGAAATCAGCAGCACACAGAGACATCTGCACTCCCATGATCACTGCAGCTTTATCCACAATAGCCAAAATGTGGAAACAATGTCCAATGAATTAATGGGTAAAGAAGTCGTGATGTATATGTGTATATACACGATGGAATATGATTCAGCTATTAAAAAGGAAATTCTGCCATTTGCAACAACATGGATAAATCTTGAGGGCATTATGTTAAGTGAAATAAGTCAGAAGGGGAAAGATAAATATTATATGATCTCTTTTATTTCTTTCTTTCATTTTTTTTTTTTTTTGTTTTGAGAAGGGGTCTTACTCTGTCTCCCAGACTGGAGTGCAATGGCACAATCTAGGCTCACTACAACCTCCACCTCCCAGGTTCAAGCGATTCTCCTGCCTCAGCCTCCTGAGTAGCTGAGACTACAGGCGCCTGCCATCATGCCTGGCTGATTTTTGTATTTTTAGTAGAGATGAGTTTTCACCATGTTGGCCAGGCTGGTCTCGAACTCCTGACCTCAAGTAATCCACCCACCTTGGGCTCCCAAAGTGCGGCCTCCCACCGTGCCCAGCCTCATGATCTCCTTTATATGTAAAATCTAAAAATGTTGTTCCTGATGGTCATTGAGTGTCCTCTGCCTTTGAACATTTCCTATGGAGCAATTCATCTTTCTGTCTAAGAGCGCACACAAGTGAACTGTCTATTCTAGAGCAAGTAGGTGATCTGGCAGACAATGCTGCATTTGCCTGCAGTCTAGGTAACCCAGGGAAGCCTTGGGCAGTGACTTTGCCTGTCTATGACTTCACTGCCTCATGTGTTAAAAGAGGAAGAGAACAATAGGAACCCAGCAAAATACCAAAATGGACTTTGTAGCGGCCTAAATGGGTTAATATACATTAACATAAAGTGCTAACAATAGTGCCTGGCACCTAAGCAATAGCTACTGTTACACATTATCTCTCTTCTCTGCCTTCCCCAGTGCGCTTTGTTATAGTATTAGTAATGGTACTGAAAAATCAAAAGCAGATGAAATATTAATAGAGGATTCATTAAATACTAAATAAGGTATATTAATGCTAAATAAGGTATATTAATAAGCTAGAATACTTAGTGCAATCGTGAGAAATACTGATCAAGATTTATTTACATAAAAATTTATCTAGTGTCAAATGTTAAAAAAAGATCACTGAATGGTATATATGATTATGTTTTACATATTCATATGCATATACATATAAGTGTGTGCGTGTGTGTGTGTGTGTGTATGAAAACAAGGAAACAGTCTGTTCAAATAGATGCCAACATATATAATGGTGGTTCCTTCCTAAGATTATGATGTGCAATTTCCAATAGTATTTTTAAGTAAGTGTTAGTGTAAATAATGTATATTTAGATGTGTGTAAATATACACAGAGATCAAATAATACATCATCAAATAATGTAAGTGAATAAAAGGCAAATAATCAGGAAAAAATTACTTATACCATATGGTATAGGCAATGAATTACTGTCCTTACTATATAAATAATTCTTACAAACCAATATGAAAATGGAACATTTCAAAACAACAGGACATAAGCAGGCAATTCACAAAGCAAGAAACACATAGATCATCATTATATAGTAAAGAGTTCAACTTCATGTACCATCAAATAAATAATAATTAAACCAATTAGGCCCTCTTTTTCACCTTTCAACGTGGATTTTCAAAACTAATAATGCCCAGTGCTTGTCAACAGATACAATTATTTGCTGCCTGTGAGGTGCAAACTAATACAGTCTTTCTGGAGGACAATGTGATAATATATATTTTTTGAAACCAATAGTATCCATTCTTTTTTGTTAGTAATTTTAATTCTAGAAATTTTTACTTAAAAATTATCAGCAATGTACAAATATATTTGTCATAGAAATAAAATTTAGGTAATTGGCTACGCAAATTGTGTGTCATTCATAATACAGAATATATGTTTTCTATAATATTTAAAAGGTGAAATGGGGAAATGCTCACGGTAAAATGTTAGGTGATAAAAGTAGATGAGGCAACAAAGTGACTCTATATTCTTCAGAATAATGTGTGCAAAGTGAAAAAGAACTGAAGATACATTCATTAAATATCTTTGTGCATGCTCAAAATGGTAATTTCTATTATATTCTATATACATTTTGCTATTTCCTAACATGCACATCTTTTCTCTCTTAAATGATGCAGTACTTCTCTATGGCTACTGTAAAATATTATCACAAATGTAGCAGCTTAAACTACACAAACTTGTAATCTTGCATTTTGCTAGGATGGAAGTCCTACATGGATCTCACTGGACTAAGCCCAAGGTGTCAGCAGGGATGCGTTCCTTTCTGGAGGCCCTAGGGGAGGATGCATTTCCTTGTTTTTCCTAGCCTCTAGAAGCTAGCCACTTTCCTTGGCTTCTGATCCTTTTCAAAGCCAACAACAGTAGGTTGAGTCCTTTTCACATCAGAACACTCTGACCTCCTCTTCTGCCTCCCTCTTTCACTTTTAAGGATACTTCAATTATATTGGGCCCACCCTGATAATCCAGGATAATCTCTCTATTTTAAAGTCAGCTGACAAATAATCTTAATTTCATTAGCAACCTTTAATCTTGATTCCCCTTGGCCATGTAGTGTAACATATTCACAGATGTCACACATTAGGACATGGACATCTGTGTGTGGGGACATTGTACTGCCCAGTACAAATGGTAAAAAATAATAAACATTATTTAAAATAATTTTTTCTCTCATCTTAAATTTTAGGTTCAGAGGATGCATGTGCAGGTTTGTTACGTTGGTAAATTAGGTGTCACTGAGGTTTGGTGTATAAATGAACCTGTCACCCAGGTAGTTAGCCTGATACCTGATATATAGTTTTTTGACCCTCGTCCCCTTCCAACTCTCCCCCTTCTAGTAGCCCCTAGAATCCAGCATGTATTTTTCCCACCTTTATGTCCATGTGCACACGATGTTTAGCATATTTGAATATTTGGTTTTCTGTTCCTATATTAATTTGGTTAGGATAATGGCCTCCAGCTGCCAAGGACACGATTTTGTTCTTTTTTATAGCTGTGTAGTATTCCATAGTGCATATGTACCACATTTTCTTTATCAAGTCCACCATCGATAGGCACCTAGGTTGATTCCATGTCTTTGCTATTATTAACAGTGCTGCAATAAACATATGCGTGCATGTGTCTTTATGGTAGATGGTTGTGTTGATGTATACTACAAGGCTATAGTAACCAAAACAATATGTACCATATTGTTTTATTGTAGTATACATCAAGAAGTTAAAAAGGTCTCAAACTAAAATGTAACATTGCACCTAGAGGAACCAGATAAACAAGAATAAACTAACCCAAAAGCTAGCAGAAGAAAAGAAACAACCAAAATCAGAATAGAACTGAATGAAATTGAGACCCAAAAATCCATACAAGGAATCAACAAAACCAAAAGCTGGTTCTTTGAAAGAATCAACCAGATAGATAGACCACTATCTAGATTAACTAAAAAATAAAATAAAAAGAGAGAAAAAGTTCCAAATAGGCACAATCAGAAATGAAAAAGGTGACACTACAACCGATCCCACAGAAATATAAAAGATCCTCAGAGATTATTGTCAACACCCCTGTGCACAACAAGAAAATATAGAGAAAATGGATAAATTTCTGGAAACACCCAAACTCCCATGACTGAGTCAGGAAGAAATCAAAACCCTGAACAGACCAGTATCAACTTCTGAAATTGAGTCAGTAATAAAAAGCCTTCCAACCAAAGAAAGCCCTGGACCAGATGGATTCACAGCCGAATTCTACCAAATATACAAAGAAGAGCTGCTACAAATCCTACTGAAACTATTCCCAAAAAATAAAGAGAAAGGACTCCTCCATAACTCATTCTACAAAGCCAGCATCACTCTGATACCAAAATCTGACAGAGACACAACAAGAAAGAAAACTACAGGCCAATATCCCTGAGGAACAAAGACGCAAATATCCTCAGCAAAATACTGGCAAAGTGGGCCGGGTGCGGTGGCTCACGCCTGCAATCCCAGCACTTTGGGAGGCAGAGGTGGGCAGATCACAAGGTCAGGAGATCGAGACCATCCTGGCTAACATGGTGAAACCCCGTCTCTACTAAAAATACAAAAAAATTAGCCAGGCGTGGTGGCGGGCGCCTGTAGTCCCAGCTACTCGGGAGGCTGAAGCAGGAGAATGGCGTAAACCCAGGAGGCAGAGCTTGCAGTGAGCCGAGATTGCACCACTGCACTCCAGCCTGGTCAACAGAGCGAGATTCCATGTCAAAAAAAAAAAAAAAAATACTAGCAAACTGAATCCAGCAGCACATCAAAAAAAGTTGATTCACCATGATCAAGTAGGCTTTATTCCTGGGATGCAGGGCTGGTACAACAAATGCAAATAAACATGACTTTCATATAAACAGAACTTCCATGGAGATGCACTTTAAGTACTCACGAAGAGAGTTTTACAAATCAAAAGTGACATCTTGTACTGATTAAAAAAAAAAAAACAATAAATAAGAATCCAATGGAAATTACCACTAGGATGCAGCCATTCTCCTGTTTGCCCAAAACAGCTTCATTGCATCTTTTGTGAATGCTGCTCTGGGTGGACACTCAAGGAAATGACTGACAACGTGCTAAGAAGAGCCTACTACTTCATTCTTAAAAAGTTCTATTCCTTTAAATCTTGCCATAGATTGTATCTCTGTTTGTTTCTTCGTCAAAGTTAACCAATTCATAATTTTGTTTTATTAAACACTAATTTTAATATAAAAATTATAATTGACTTTATATTATGCACTAAAGTATCCACTACACACTCATTAGTTAACCAAGAGCATAAGCACTAAATGTGTCAGATAGCCAGAAACTAAAACTTCAATGGCCTTACCAGTTAAAGAAAAGTCCCAATCTTCAGTGGAAGGCTTAGAAATCAAATGCTACTGAGAGTTGGTAAATATCACAAAGTTCTTATACAAGGAGTATTATCACTTGTCTTAAATGAATACCTGACAGAGGTACCTTCAGTTTTTCAAAGTCCTTCCAGGTCTCCAACAGTCCAAGTGGTCCTTATTGTAGTATACATGTCCCAAGGCAAAGGACACGGTTGATATATAAATCACTACTCTTACTTGGTATTTCTCAGTCCCGTTTACTGCCTGGCGGTTATGGGTCAACAGATTAGCAGGCCTCTTGGACAAGGGACACCAGGAGATGACCTCGGAGAAGATATCCACCTCCCACATTCACACCTCGCCTTCCTGACTTGGAAAACACCTCCAGTTAATGAGCAAATCTGGCATCTGTCAGCTTTTTGTAAGCAAGCATTTCACAAGGTTTACAGAAAAGTAAAGTAAACAGAGTTCTGAGTAACAAAAGAGTGGCGTTTATGCATTCTTTGATTCACTTTAAAGGATGGTATAAACTGACTTTTTAACCAAGCATTAGGCAAGATCTGGGTGCAAGCCATTCTATAATAAACAGTGACATGGCTATATTAAAATATTTACTTAGTGTGCTAAAGTGACTTATAGGAAGAGTGGCTACTACATAGAAGTCCTAAGTATTAAGGCGTCAGGTGCCACGGGCAGCATAAATATTCCATGTGCACTTGTTTATAGGAAAACCCCATCTGGATTCGGCTAAAACAGCAGGCACCCTGGTGACCCCAGTTTTGCTATTGGAAAATATAACACAAGTGTTCACTCATCTAGAATAACTACAGTGCTAAGTGCCAAATGACAGATGGGAGGGGATTGGCTTTTCTCAATAAAATCCAGGCACTCCATTGTGAAGGGTTTCATTGTAAGGCCTCCTCCACATTTATAGACTCTCAGAGTAGACACGCAGCTAGACAAGGCAAGGTGCTGGGTCAGACTGACCAAAGCCTGCCTAGTCAGGCAGTTAAGGTTAGGATTAGGGTTAGGGCCTTGCCTATACACAATGTGCAAGCTCGACAGGATTTGGAAGACTTGGCCTGGAACAATCCATCAGCGTCATCAATCCCCACCCTTAACTCCACTTCCCCTCTAACTTAGTTATGCTGAATGATGATTAAGCAGATAAGCTGAGGACCAAGCCTGGTGAGAGACACAGAGCCCAGTATTTTGAGATAGAAAGTCCAGATTTAAGACTGCTCCTCCACTTACTTGAGTATAATTTTAGGGTCAGAATAGGGAGGTGAGAGTAGACAACGCTTGTTGACAGGCATTGTACCAAATGCTTTTCATATGTTATCTCATTGATTCTTTGTGACAATAATATTACGGAGTTAGTACTGCCCCCATTTTACAAAATCACACAGTTGAAAATGATTCTAGGAAATAAAAGGTCTTCCTAGGCCAGGCCTCAGTCACCTCATTAGATGAACACATCACCATCTTCTTCCAAGGTTGACCCAAATGTAGTGGGAATAATAAAAATTAAAGTATAGCTGTCCCCTGAAACTGACAGTTTCACTGCAGAGAAAATGCTTCTGCATGATAGCATGTCTACCCAATGTTACAAGTGCAGAGCTCACAAAGATAAACTCTCAAATTAAAACTGCTAACTGCAAACCAAAAACTCTATCTGATTGGAGAAAGTGACTCCCTTACACACATAGTTCCAACTGTAAACCTTCCCCTACTGAACTTGATTAATAGATATTTTTCACTTATCTACTCACTTTAACAAAGATGTATTGAGTACCCGCCATGCATCCAGCCCTCTATAGACAATGGAGATACAGTAAGAAGCACAATCCCTGCATCCATGGAGCTGACCTTCTAGTGGGAGGACAGATAAATGTATGTTTAAATAAATACTTCACATAATTTCAGGTAGTAATAAAGAAAAATTAATCAGGTTATAGGAATAAAGAATAACTAAGAATACCATTTGAGGTAGGGTGGCCAGGTATACCAAAGCTATTAACTTGGAAGTTTTGGGAATTAAAAAAAAAAAGTTCAGGCTAGGTATGGTGACTCATAATCCTAGACTATTGGGAGGCCAAGGCAGGAGGATTGCTTGAGGTTAGAAGTTCAAGACCAGCCTGGACAACATAGCAAGATCCCATCTCTACCAAAAAAATTTTAAATTTACCCAGGTGTGGTGGTACACGGCTGTAGTCCCAGCTACTAGAGAGGCTGAACGGGGAGGATCACTTAAGCCCAGGAGTTCAAGCCTGCAGTGAACAATGATCATGTCCCTGCACTCCAGCCTGGGTGACAGAGTAAGACCCTGTCTCAAAAAAACAAAAATTCAACCTAATTTACTGTTCAGCGTCATATCTCAGAGTTTAAACAAATCAATTGCACCATGACATGAAAGAAACAATACTGAGACAAGGGTTGTGTAAGACTCTTGTCTAAGATTTAACATTAACTTATTATGTAGCGTTGAGAAAGTTATATCATCTCATTGACGAGGAAACCAGTGTCCAGAAAGGTAATATGACATCCTCAAGGCAGCAAAATTAACATGAACCACTAAGGTTCCTTTCTATTCTATATTTCTATAATTGGACTGTTCAATATGGAAACCACTACCTACATGTGGGTATTTATATTTAAACTAACTAAAATTTAAAAATTAAAATTCAGTTCCACAGTTGTACTAGCCTTATTTCAAGTGCTCAGGTAGCTACACTGGGCTGGTGGCCTTACCACACAGTGCAGACTAGAAAATCTTTCCATCACTGCAGAAAGTTGTACTGGAAAGCCCTGTTCTAGAGTTGTATGAATTCTGTTAGCTCTTGGGGAGAAAAAGCAACTGTTTGTTTATACATTTTCTCATTCTACCATATAATGTGGCATGTTAGAGGCAAATCATTTTTGGTGGTTTTAACTCAAGAATTTTACGTCAAGTCAAGTTGCCTCTCATGTGTGAAAAAAACAAAACAAAAACAAGGTACTTAGGAAATCTTACCATCCCGGAACTTTATTTGAAAAAAAAAAAAAACCCCACGATAGTTTAACATGTTCTGACTGAGTGACAAAGAAAATTAAAGATCCTAGTGTGGTTGCAGTGGTCTCAATGTGTCCTCGCAAATTCATACTGAATTGAAACTTGATCACCAATGTTAGAGTAGTAAGAGGTGGGGCCTTAAGGAAGCGATTAAGGCTCGAGGGCTCTGCCCTCATGGATGGGATTAGCATCTTATAAAAGGTCTTGAAGTGGTGAGTCCATATGAGGACACAGCGTTCATCCCCTCTGCAGGAGACAGAACGAGGCGCCATCCTGGAAGCAGAGAGGTGTCCTCACAAGACACCAAACCTGCTGGCACCTTGACCTTGAAGTTCCCAGCCTCCAAAACTGTGAGTAATAAATTTATGTTCTTTATAAATTATCCAGTCTCGGGTATTTTTTTTTTTAACAGCAGCAAAACCAAACTAAGACATTGGTAAAATCAGAGTACAAAAGATTGGATGTTGTCTGTCAAAAGCAATGATTCACCCAAATAAATGTGATTTCAAAATTTAACTAAATAAATGTAATTGCAAATTAAATACAACCTCCTTTAAAACGATAAAAATGTACAAAATGCAAAGGTTATTTAACATGTAGTCTGGAGTTTAAGGTAAAAATATTAATAGGGTTGCGTGAAAATACTCAAGGTTGACCCTCACAGTGAATGTGAACCTGCTAACACAGTCCTGGTGAGAATGCAAATAAGTACAACTTTTCCATATGTATTAAGAACTTTGAAATGGTAACACTCTTCTTACCCTGTTATTCCACTCACAAGAAACAATCTTAGGAACATAAGAAATAGTACACCAAAGTAAGATTGGTCTATTAAGATCTTCATTGCAACATGATATACAGAAGCCAAATATATATATTCAATAAGAGACGAATAATTAACTTCTAGTATATCTACAAAATATAATTTAATGCAGCCATTAAAAATCATGATTGCAGGGCCAGGCACAGTGGCTCACACCTGTAATCCCAGCACTTTGGGAGGCCGAGGCAGGTGGATCACGAGGTCAGGAGTTCGAGACCAGCCTGGCCAAGATAGTGAAACCCTGTCTCTACTAAAAATACAAAAATTAGCCGGGCATGGTGGCAGTTGCCTGTAATCCCAGCTACTCGGGAGGCTGAGGCAGAGAATTGCTTGAACCCAGGAGGCGGAGGTTGCAGTGAGCCGAGATCGCGTCACTACACTCCAGCCTGGGCGAAAGAGGGAGACTCTGTCTCAAAGAAAGAAAAAAAAATCATGATTGTGAAAAAAAGCTTTAATGGGAAAGTTTCATAACAGGCCATTAAGGGCAAAAATGAAATGATGGTAATAGCTAACATTTATTCAGTGTTCAGTAAATTCCAGCGACCTTTTTTAAAGGCTTTACATTTATTTTATCATTTACCCTTCAATATACCTATAAGCAATTAGTAGTCAAGACACTATTGAGCTAACAGATCCTTATGGCTTGTCCTGTGTCCCACAAGTCACTAAGTGACAGAGCCAGGCTCTGCACGCAGGCCCAAGCGACACAAAGCCTGTGCTCCTGACTTCCTCCTCCACAAGAAACTCTCTAAGTAGCATATTGTCAGTCACGTTTAAAAAAAAAAAAAAAAGTACACACACATTTAGAAAAAAAAAAAAATTCCCAGCTGGAAATATACCAAAACCTTAATAGCGCTTGTCTCTGAATGGTGGGATTACAGATCACTTTTATTTTCTTCTTCAAATTAGTCTCTATTTTTAAATCATTCTGGCAATGAACATTCCTCAACAATCAAGAAAAAAAAATTGATGAAACAGAAAGACCATCTTCCTACGCAGATTTGCACCACACCAAGGGGAAAAAAATAATAATTCAAAAGGCAAAGCTAAAAATGGAATTCCAAGTGTTGCCTGGAAATTAGTGGGAGTTCAAAGGAGTTAAATAAAAGATGGAAAATTGGAGATGTTCCATTGCTAAATCTTTAAGCTCTTCCAAGAGGTTTGTGTTTGCGATTGTTGGTTTCTATCTCAGCCCTCAGCTGAACTGATGAGCCTTTACACAATTACTGAGAAGTTACAAGGCCACTCAGAGGCTCTAGCCTTATGAGTCTGCCTTATTGTTGTTATTTTACGTTAACAAATGTGTTTATTGGCCTAAGACATGAATTTACTATCAGCAGGGCCTTTTTTTCCCCTCTTACTTTTATTATTATTATTTTTTAAATCAGGCAACACTTTGTTGAACAAACCTGACCCCAAAGAATGCTTGCTGGCATATTGTCCAAGAAGTCTAGCAGAAGTTTGTATGATTATCCTGATGAGTGAGTGCAGTTTAGTCTAGTCTCTTTTTTGTTGAATAACACCATTACACATAGTCGCCCGACAAGTAGGAGAGCCAGTTTTACCTTTGCTTGGGTGTTCATCATCCAGTGTGGTCCAAAGAGGTCACAGAAGATAACTTTGCACCCTGCAGCAAAGCCACCATAAAGCCATGCACATATTTGTCATCCTCATTCTCACACTTCAGTTTGCCAGTAGCTTCTCTGCAACGTGCTGGAGGACTGTTTCAAGGCCCAACATTCGGTTTCAGGGAAGCAAACTCTACCCCCTAGATTCAGAATTTTTAAAGTGCTCAGAAAAGTGGTATATTAATTATTTAAAACTTCAAGTAATAATTCATTCCTCTGGGCCTCTGTAGATCTAATTTCTATTTCAATTTCTTCACTTTTTAGACCTAAGTAACAACTTACGGAGTAGGAGAAGTGGATACTGCAAAAAGCTGAAGAATTAGAGTTCACCTAGACCTGGGTTTGAATCCTCCTCTGTCATTTACTAGATAAAGTTTTTAGCAAGTGTTTAACTGCTTTGCATCTTGTTTTCCTAAGACTCAGAGTTCTGATATCAAGACGCAAGAGACAATACATGTAAAAACCTAGAATGAAAGTTAGTACATAATATATGCTTAATAAATATGCTCTCCCTTCTCATTCTCATCATTCTCAGAAATGCAGTGCCCCACAATGAGCTCTTTGGGACCTGGGATCAGAAATTAATTACTCAAAGGTTTAAATAATTAATATACTACTTTCAGGCCATGATTCCTTGCTTTTACTTAATTGGAATGGAAATAACCTTCCTTGAGATGAAAACCATTTTATATCTAAAGGAAGAAAGCAGAATTTCTACTAAAATTTCCTCTGGTTCCAGTTGACTTCCATGTTATGTTATGCTCTAAAAATTAGACTGTAAACCATCCAAGAAATTCAGCATTATCTGTTCACTTAGATAACCTACTGGATAGCACCAGCATCTAGAGCCAGTGCCCCAGAGGACTCCAGTCTCATTCTTTTTTCTTCACATCTTGTGGCAAGAGTTGGAGCCACTACAGAGGGTTTTGATCTTCATCTAGCCAACATGGGCCCAAGCTCACTTCACTTGTCAGCTCAATTTCATGCCCTTACTTCACAGCACTCCACATCATCTGAAGTTATCATATCTTCCTGATTCTTTGTAGCAGACAGGATAGGCTGGGTTTTGCTAAGATAACAAAACCCCTCAAATTCTCAGTGGCCTAAAGTGATGAGGGTTTATTTCTTGCTCATGCTATGTATCCATTGTAGAAGGGCCAAGGGCTGTGTTCCAAGATATTCCTACTCTGGGACTCAGGCTGATATATAGTATCTACTCCATGGAACATTGCCAGCATCTGTGACAGAAAATAAAGAGTTCATGCTGCCTCTTGAAACTTACACCTGGATTAATATGTCACATTTCAGTGACTAAAATATGACCATGCTAATAGAATTTGATGGAACAGAGACGTGGACCACCACCACATTTCTTAAAAAAGAAAGAAAGCACCCTCATACCACACCTATCACACAAAGAACTAGGAGATATGTAAATCAGGTAATACTATCCCCATTTTAAAAATGAATATATATCCATGAAAGGAAGAATTGATAAGCTGAACTTTATGAAAAATAACAATTTCTGCTCTGCAAAAGATACTGTCAAAAGAATGAAAAGACAAGCCACAGACTGGGAGAAAATATTTGCAAAAGACACATCCAATAAAGGACTCATATAAAATATACAAAGATCTCTTAAAACTCAACAATAAGAAAACAAACAACCTGAATGAAAAATGAGCAGAAGATCTAAACAGACACCTGACCAAAGAAGATACACAGGTGGCAAGTAAGCATATGAAAAGATACTCCATAACATGTCATCAGGGGATTGCAAATTAAAACAACAATGAGACACAAATATGCACATATTAGAATGGCCAAAATCCAAAACACTGACAGCATCAAATGCTGGTGAGGATGTGGAATAACAGAAACTCCCATCTGCTTCTAGTGAGAATGTAAAATGGCACAGCCACTTTGGAAGACAGTTTGGTAGTTTCTTACAAAACTAAACAAAACACACTCATATCATACAACCCAACAATCATGCTCCTTGTTATCAACCCAGGTGAAAACACTGTCTCCACAAAAATCTGTACATGGATGTTTATAGAAGCTTTATTCACAATTGCCAAAAACTTGAAAGCAACCAATATGTCCTTCAGTAAGTGACTAGATAAATAAACTGCGGAACATTTGATGCATGGCAGGCAATTCCCAAATTGGGGCTTGGCCTTGGAGGGTTCTTGGCTTCACTTAGGCAAAAATTCAAGAACAAGCTGATGGTAGAAGGAAACAGCTTTATTAAGGTGGCAGTGTTATAGCTCCGTGACTGCTCCTACAGAGAGGAACCACTCCCTACATGGTGTATCAAGAGCAGCAGCTCAAGGGCAGCTCTGCAGTCAGATTTATATCAACTTTTAATTACATGCAAACTAACGGGTCTATTATGCAGAAATTTCCAGAAAAAAAAGGGGCATAACTTCCAGATAATCAAGTCATTGCCATGGAAAGGGGAGGTAACTTCTGGGTGTTGCCATAGCAATGATAAACTGATGTGGCACTGGTGGGCATGTCTTATGGAGAGGTGCTTTTGCTTCCTCCATTTCAGCTAGTCCTCAATCTGGTCTGCAGTCTGAGCCTCACCTCTAGAGTCGAGTCCCACCTTTTACCTCACATCCAGACAATGGAATATTATTCGGTGCAAAAAAAAAAAACAAAAAACAGCTATCAAGCCATGGAAATAAATGGTGGAAACTTAAATGCATATTACTAAGTGAAACAAGTCAGTCTGGGCCAGGCGCAGTGGCTCATGCCTGTAATCCCAGCACTTTGGGAGGCCGAAGCAGGTGGATCACCTGAGGTCAGGAGTTCAAGACCAGCCTGGCCAACATGGCAAAATCCCATCTCTACTAAAAAAAAAATACAAAAATTAGCCAAGTGTGGTGGCAGGCACCTGTAATCCCAGCTACTTGGGAGGCTGAGGCAGGGAGAATTGCTTGAACCCAGGAGACAGAGGTTGCAGTGAGCCGAGATCCCATCATTGCACTCCAGTCTGGGTGACAGAGCGAGACTCTGTCTCACAAAAAAAAAAAGTCTGAAAAGACTAAATATTTTATGATTCCAACCACATGATATTCTGGAAAAGGCAAAACTATGGAGAAAGTAAAAAGATCAGTGCTTGCCAAGGGTTGGGTGAGGATGTCAAACAGGTGCAGCACAGAGGATTTTTAGGACAGAGAAACTACTCTTTGTGATACTGTAATTGTAGACACATATTATGCACTTGTCCAAACCCACAAAATGTATAACACCAGGAGTGAACCCCAATGTCAACTCTGAACTCTGGGTGATTATGTGTTAATAAATTGTCAATAAATTGTTAACAAATGTACCACTCTGGTGGATATTGGTAATGGAGGAAGCTATGTATGTGTGGGGGCAGGGAGCATATGGGAAATCTCTGTATCTTCTGCCCAATTTTGCTGTGACCTAAATCTCTTCCAACAAATAAAATCTATTAAAAAATGAATATATGTCTTAGAGGTTAAATGGCTTAGTTAAGGCCATACAAAAGAATGCCTTGCATACGGTAGATAATAAACGTTGAATAAATGAGCGAAAGCGTGTGTGTATTAATGAAAAAGCAAAATGATAAAAGCCAGGTTGCAAATACAGGTAACCTGACACTTGACATAGGGTTCTTTGTGTTTACATCATACCTCCTTTCAGCTCTCCTCTCACCCCTGCCCCCAGCCAGACCTCTAAAAATTATCTTCCACCCCACACCCCCAGGAAAGTGTCTGGGTTTTTCTTCTCTGTGTTTTAAAATAGTTTGTATTTCTAAGTTCTGGAACAACAGATGGCAGGCAATCATCATTGTACTAAAATACCACCACGCACACACAAACACACACACACATGTATGTGCACAAATCATTTTGTGTTGCTATAACAGAATACCTGAGACTTGGCAATTTATAAAGAAAAGAAGCTTATTTAGCACATGGTTCTACAGGCTGCAAAGTTCAGAATTGGGCAGCTGCATCTGACAGTTTGCAGTGAGGGCCTCGTGCCACATCAAAAGATGGAGGAGAAACAGAAGGGGAACCAAGTGTGTGGAAAGAGATGGCACAAAGGAAGTTGACCCACTTTATAACAACCCACTCTCTTAAGAACTAACCCAATTTCATGAGAAAAACATTAATTCATCTTAAAGACCCTACCTCCAACACTGCTACACTGTGGACCAAGCCTCAAAATGAGTTTTGGCAGAGCCAAATTATATTCAAACTGTAGAACCACAAATGTATAATTAGGTCAGCTATGGCATAAGGTAGTTGAAAGAAATAATAATCCATGTAATTTGGACTAAAAGAACTTCTAAGGAAAAAAGCATGATTAAGAATGTCCAAGCCCACAGACTGTTTTTATTTTGAATTTTGTTCCACTTTGGCAGTGATGCTAGGTTTCCAGAGATGCTACTGTCCTAAAGAGGGTTACCTGTGGTCCCTGGGGCTCAACTGAGACCCAGAAGACTGAAGAAATTAAAAATGGAGAGAGAAATGGAGAGACAGAGAGAGAGAGAGAGAGAATGAATAAAGAGAGGGAGAGACAACAGAGAGCATTTGAGTGAAAATGCCTCAAGTACCAAGAACAGAGAGAGTGAAAAATTCCTCATCTATGAGAATCAAAAACTGCACATGAGCCAAATACATCTGTTGAATGTTCCAAGTGACAAAATGCAGCTCAGAGAGAGCATGCACTGAATCATTTTAAAAATTCTTAAGAAACTTAACAAGTACATCTAGGCACAGCTCAAGAATGCACTTGGCTGGCTCATGGAAACATCCTGGGGATGTGATTCAAACGGCTTGGAAAATGCAGCCTCCTTGCTTGGATAATTCACCAGTGGAGGGGACAGAAGGCAGTCAAGGTAACCGTAATTGGGAGTTTCTTGGGATCAGATAAAATCCTCCAAGTTGTGCCTCCATTGAAGTATCAACACACTTGGGTAATGGCCTGTGAGGGGGAAGAATAGAGGAAGCAAAAGTAGATTCTTTTCTTTTACATTTTTAATTTATTTTTAGTGGATAATATAGTCACGTTTCAAAAATTTAAAAATACAAAGCAACACAATGTAAAAATATCCCACGGTGAAAAGTATACCCCCAGCTCTTCTCCTAATCACCCAATTCCCTTCCCAGAGTTACGGATCAATTCCTAGTATATTCATCCACGCATATTTTTATGCAAATGCAAGCAAATAAAGGAATAATAAAAATTGCATTAATTTTTCCTCCTTTCAATTCAAATAGAAACCTACTATTCAAACTACGATGCACCCTGCCTTTTTCAGTTGAAATAGAGCTTGAGATCAAACTTTAATACTGGACACATGTGGAAACCAGTGAAGTAACTCTATCTCAAATTGCTGTCATTTAAGTGCAGAGAATGAAAAAAAGGATGAATTCAAGTACCTTGCGAACTCAGTATATTCTGACTCTATACCCTTGGTGTGATATGTTTTAAAGATAAAAAGAACTATAAAGAAATCTGAATTTTTCTTAGTTTATTTGTTGTTTGGTAATATGGGGGTAGTTATTCTTAAACTATTTTGACTGCATTACAGAACAGAGAAAAATAAATTTGGAAAATTGAATATGGTCAGGAATCAAGGGCTCTTATATGAGAGAAGGGAAATTTTCAAATGGGTGAGATAACAATGAACCTTGTGTTGATGAATTAAAATGAAGAATATAAAGATAAACTAGCTCTATGCACAGACAAGGTCCAGGACTGTGTCCATGCTAGAAGTAATGAGTACACCTTATGAGTGCTTAGGTCTTCGTTTCTAAACTCTCTTATTCACTAAAAGGGGTTAGGAAATCTTGGGGAAATGGCTGTTTCTAGGTCAAAAGCAAAGAAAGTAAAAAGTGGTCTTGGAACATTTTATTATTGTGTGGGAAAGTAGGGAAATACTCAAAGACTGATACACACATTCTAAGGTACACAGGAGCCAGTCGAAGGGGCTTCTGATAATCAGATGTGGAGTAATTACAGCCTCCAAAATATAATAATGGATATTAAACATTTAAAATCAATTAGTGTATAAAGTCAAAAAAGGGAGAGAGTAGGACTCTTCTTTCAGAAGAACACCAAATAATAAAATTAGAAAGGTTAGATTTAGAAAATGACTATTTTTCCATATCCATTGTACTAATTAATTAATTAAGGCAAGAATTAACAGAGACTGCAGGCTGTAAGGTCGCAGGGCTGGTCCAAATCTAAGATTTTATCATTCAAGTTAGTAATTTTTTACAAATTTCCTTGAAGTAGCAATCAGACTCTACTGAGTGAAATGTTAACATATTTATGTGGTCTCAAAACACACCTCAGATGACGTATTAGTTTGCTACGGCTGCTGTAACAAAATGCCATAGACTGGGTCACTTAAACAACAGAAGTTTGTTTTCTCACAGTTCTGGAGGACAGAAGTCCAAGATCGAGGTGCCAATAGGGTTGACTCCTTTTGACCCCTCTTTCCTTAGCAAAACAGTTGTCCATCCTCTTCCTGCCTCTCCCCATGGTCATCCCTCAGGGGCACATGTCCCTGGTATCTCTTGTGGGTTCAAATTTCCTCTCCTTATAAGGACACCAGTCAGATTGGATTAGAGCCCACCTATATAACCTTATTTAACTTTAATTACCATTTTTAAGACTCTGTCTCCAAACACAGTCATGTTCTGAGGTACTGGAGATGAGGGCTTCAGCATGCAAAGTTTGGGGGGACAAAATTTAGTTCATAATAGATGTCTTCCTAAATACAAAGGGAATTACAATGGAAAAGTCTGGCAGACACCATCTGAACCAAATAAGCATTAGCATTATCAAGAGCATATCTGTCATATTTTTCACAAAAATGTTTCATTTGAATCCGGTTGTGAGGAAACAATCAGATAAATCCTGATTATAAAAATTTCTACTAGACAACTTGCTGGTATGCTTCAAAAAGATAATTATTATGAAAGAAAAAGCCAGGGGGACCAAACTAGACAAATGGAAGCTAAAGAGACATGGTAATCAAATTCTAAACCCTGGATCTGGAAAAATAAAAGTCATAAATAATATTTTTGTGATAACTAAGAAAATTTGAACTGTATTTAATGATACTATTATTTCAATGCTAAGCTTCTTTAGGATGGTGCTGTGGCTTTTTATTTTGTATTGCATTTAGTGATACTATTGTTTCAATGCCAAGTTTCTTTAGTATGGTGCTGGAGCTTTGTATTTAGGGATGAAGGCCATGATGTCTAACATTTATTTTCCAATAGTTCCACAAAATGTGTCTGTAATTAACAATTACTGATTTAGATGAAAAGTATATATTTATAATATTTATAATAGCAATTCTACAACTTTTTTGTATATTGGAAATTTTCCAAATGTAAAGTTAGGGGAGAAAGAAAGAGATAAAAAAGGAAGAAAGAAGGGTGGGAGAGAGGGAGGTAGAAAAAGATAGAAAGAGAATATCATATCTTTTGGAAATAACTCTCTAAAGTCTCTATCATACATAAGATGTGAACAGGTTCTGATTTACACCTACATTTTTTTCATTATGTGGATAGCAGTTCTCTATTACTGAATAGTTTGTGTTTAATCTTTTTTTTTTTTTTACTACAAACAATGGTGTAAAATAATTCTGTATATAAATCTTTGAGCATGTGCAAGTATATCTTTAGGATAAATTCCTAGAAGAGGAATTGCTAAAGTTATTTCTTGATAACTGTACAGGAACACTGAATTCCTAGGCAAAAGAGTTATTTTTTCAATTAACTGATGTTCTGAATCAATGTAAAATGAGCTAGTTTTAAAAGCAAGCCTTCTTAATTTGCAGTGAGGAGCTGCTTTCTTTACCTTAAAGGTTTAATTCAGGGCTTGAATTATTCAACTTTAAATGCAAAACATCTAGCATAGTGTGTTATACAAAATGAATATGAGCATTCATCAAATGTGTTTGAATGAATGAGTGAATGAATGAATGAAAGCTTCTAGACACCAGGAGAATTAACTGTGGAACTATAAAATAAACATATCCTCCCATCCCACATTCCAAAGAGGCTGTGAGAATCTTAATGGCATCTCACTATAACACACTCACAAATTAGATGCTGAGACACATCTTCCATGGACCTCATCCAAGTCACCAAAATGACTTCCTTATAATGGACTCTCAAGACAGAATTATAGTGTAGCAGTTGGGAATTTAAAGTTTATAAAACACTGAATTCTCCAGCTCCTTGCCTACTCCCTCCTGCTGCTGTTTTTCTGTCTCCTGGTTTCTAATTTCTCCATCACTTTGTTGCACATCAAAACTATTTAGAGGGAATGGCAGATTTAGATTTCACTCCAGCCTGAGTCCGTTGAGGATAGACAATTAAGGGACCTTGAGCCAAGTCCCTTTATCTCTCTAAGTTTCCATTTTATCATCTGTAAAATAGAGGGGTTGAAACATTAATATTTCTTCCCATATTCTGTAGTTCTTTGGAGAATTTATGTTCTCAATCACACTATGAGTGGTATAACAACAACCACCACATATAAAAAGGGAACAAAATTTGCCTTAAAATGTCAACAAACATGGTGCAGCAAGGTTATTACACACATCAGAGGAGGAAGGTTTTTGTAAGTCAAGTTCCCAAATGAGCTTCTTCTTTGTCTAGTTTTAGTCATTCTGCAGGGAAGTGGGTGGCATACAAGTCTTGAGTATAAACCAGATCCCAAATTCAGAGGTCCATTGTAAGATTGCAATATGCCATCAGGAGCATGTATAAATCATTGTTTTTTGAGGGTTTGCCATCTACAAGTGTTTTGAGTGTTGATGCAGACTAGAAAACTTTCTGAACACAACCTCCAGTCCTTGGTGTGTGATCCTGTCTGAGTGAGCCATCCTAGGAAATAAAAGACAACGACTCACTTAGTTGCTTCTCAAAACTTATTCCCCTGGTGGGAGCTATTTATTATCTATCAACCCTTAGTCAGGTATCCTTAACACTGCAGTTATCCCCGCAGGCCAAGACAGTTTGTCTCAAGTAATCACACACTATGGTGTTCATATTTTAAAAGAAGAATTAAAAATGGATTTCTAGAGTAGAAGAACCAAAGTAATAAGGAGGTTGAGAAGTCATCTTTTCCCAGGAATATTTCGAGGTCTGGCATGTTTAATTCAAAAAGAGAGATTAAAGAAGGAAGATGATAGTTGTTTAAAAACACACGAAGAGCTATAAACAAGTAGTGGCTTCCATGAACAGGTGGAAGATACATGGAACTTCTTTTTTTATTAATCTGGAGAGCAAAATGTCAGGAGGTAAAGTTTTCAGAGTGGCAGATCTTGGTTGGTTTGATGAAGGACTAATGATCTAATTAGAGCACCATCAGAGTGATGATCTTCTAATAAAAAGATATCCCTAATAATAAAATAAACTTTCTGTGACTTATCAAGTTCCAAAACAAGTAAGAAATTAAAAAAAATGTTTGATAGCAATTTTCAGGGATGAAAAATTGAAGGTAATTCTCTCTGGATGAGAGACTTGAAGTTAGTAAATTCTAAGAGTTGGTCCAAAGTCAAGATCCTACAATACTAGTAAGTAATTTTTGACAAATCTCTATGAAGTAATAATAAGATTTTAATATTTTCTTGTTCATAAAAATGGATAGAAAATAGAATTTATTGTTAGATTTTTCAAATTAAGAAAAAAAGCAGAATGTGATAATCCATGAAGAAAATTAAAAGTAATGAAATAAGAATACAAAATTTATGGTCATGCAAATGTATCATAGCAAAAACAATGTGTGAAGGTATATCAAAGATGAAAAAGATCCAATAGTTACAAAAATGTAAATATTGCACAGAAAGCTGCAATATTATGACTTACTGAAAACTGAAGGCTATTTTTTCCAAGAACTCAAAATACACATTTTATTATAAAAGAATTTAAAACTTTTGCAAATCTCAAAGTAGCATAAAAGGAAATAAAAGGAAAGCATTAAAGCAATGAGACAAGAAAAGGAAATTAGAAGGTATATATATTGAAAATGAAGATGTACAACATTTTGTTCGCTAATGACATGATTATCTTTGCAGAAAATCCAAAAAAGCTGACAAAAGACCTCTTGGAACTAATAAACAATTATAGTAAATTTGCAGGATCAAGATTAATTACAAAATACAAGCACTTTTCTAAATACCAGCAATGAAAAAGTGGAATCTGAAACCTAAAATATAATACCATGAGCAAGATTGCAGAATAAGAAGCCCTGGATCCTCCTCGCCACCCCCCATGAATACACTAATGCAATAACAATTCACAGACAGATTCCCTTTTTGAGGAATCCAGAAACTAGTTAAAAGCTCCTGCACCCTTGGTGAGTACAATCCCAGCTATGCTGAAGTTGACAGAAAAATGTGAGATATCTTCTTGCCACAATTCTTCCCCTCAGCAAAATGGCATACATTTGGGACAAAGCCTTCCAGGTCTCAGCTTCTCCCTGGTACAGGAAAATGGTGTATTACACATCCAACACCCCAACTTTTAGGGGACTATCCAGAAGACTGGCTTCTGTCTAGCCTGCTTCAGGGCACTGAGGAGACACAGGACATGGGATAGTCTATCTGCCCAAGGCCAGTAAGAGCAAAGATCATGTTTTGGGCTGGCAGTTACCAAAGTCACTCTCCCTAGCTCAGCACAGAGTTAGGAGTAAAAGAGTTCCAGTTCCCGCCTTCTCCCTGGGAAGGGAAAGAGAGGCACCCCATGTTTAACAACATGGCTTTCCTGAGGGCTAGCCAGATAACCATTTCTGTCTAGCCTGTGTTAGAGTGCTGACAGGACATGGCATGCTCTAGCCACCCAAAATTAAGAAGAGCAGAGATCATGATTGAGGCTGGCAGGTGCCATAGCCACTCCCTCCAGCTTAGCACAGAATGAGCAGATAAAAATCTCAGCTCCTAGCTTCTACTTGGGGAGGAAAAGAGGTACACTGTGCATCTAAATACCCAACTATGTGGGGCCTGCTTGAGGAATTGGCTTGTTTCAGAACACTAATTAGATTTGGTATATTCTAGAAGTCTGAGGGCCACTAAGAAGAAAGAAAGTAGGAGGGACTAGCAAAAAGGTTTGCGAGATCTCCAGAATCTCTGATCAGGCTGATTGGTAGTCTTCTCGAGGACAAGGTTAGTTTGTGAAGAGTAGGAGAGGTTGCTGTTTTGTCTAATGTGCAGACACCAACACAGAGTATTAAGGAAAATGAAGAAACATAGAAATATTCTTCAAACAAACAAACAAGATAACTTCAGAAACTGACCCTCATAACATAGAGATATATGGATTTTTTTGACAGAAAATTCAAAGTAACCATCCTAAAGATGCTCACCAAGGTCAGGAGAGCAATATGTGAACCAAATGAGAATTTTTAAAAAGAGATAAAAAACTTTAAAAAGTACCAATCAGAAATCATGGGGCTGAAGAATACAATAACTGAACTAAAAAATTCACTGGAGGAATTCAACACTGGATTAGACTGAATGGAAGAAAAGATCAGCAAAGTTGAAAACAGGTCATTGGGAATTATTCAGTCAGAGGAGAAAAATGAAAAGATAAAGAGAATAAAGGAAGTCTGAAACGTATGGGACATCGTCAAACAGATTAATATAAGTTTGAGAGAGAGAGAGAGAGAAAGAGAGAGAGACTAAAAAGTTTGCTCAAATAAATAATGACTGAAACTTTCCTAATCTTGGGAAGAGAATGAACATGCAGACCCTTGAAGTCCAAAATACCCCCAAAAATTGAACCCAAAGAAATCCACACTGAAACATTATAATCAAATTGTCAAAACTCAAAAATTTGAATTTTGAAGGCAGCAAGACAGAAGGGACCTGTTAAGTACAAGGGAATGCCCACATGACTATGTGCATATTTTTTAGCAGAAACCTTGCAGGCTAGAAGGCAATGAGATAATTATTTGAAGTGCCGGGGGAAAAATGCCAATCAATAATACTATACCTGGCAAAACTGTTCTTCAAAAATGAAGGATAGATAGGCTTTCCAAGAGAACCAAAAGCAGAGGGAGTACATCACCACAAGACCTGCCTTAGAAGAAATGCTAGGATCGGGAGGAGCCAAGATGGCCGAATAGGAACAGCTCCGGTCTACAGCTCCCAGCGTGAGCGACACAGAAGACGGGTGATTTCTGCATTTCCATCTGAGGTACCGGGTTCATCTCACTAGGGAGTGCCAGACAGTGGGCGCAGGCCAGTGGGTGCGCGCACCGTGCGCGAGCCGAAGCAGGGCGAGGCATTGCCTCACCTGGGAAGCGCAAGGGGTCAGGGAGTTCCCTTTCCGAGTCAAAGAAAGGGGTGACGGACGCACCTGGAAAATCGGGTCACTCCCACCCGAATATTGCGCTTTTCAGACCGGCTTAAAAAACGGCGCACCACGAGACTATATCCCACACCTGGCTCAGAGGGTCCTACGCCCACGGAATCTCGCTGATTGCTAGCACAGCAGTCTGAGATCAAACTGCAAGGCAGCAGCGAGGCTGGGGGAGGGGCGCCCCCCATTGCCCAGGCTTGCTTAGGTAAACAAAGCAGCCAGGAAGCTCGAACTGGGTGGAGCCCACCACAGCTCAAGGAGGCCTGCCTGCCTCTGTAGGCTCCACCTCTGGGGGCAGGGCACAGACAAACAAAAAGATAGCAGTAACCTCTGCAGACCTAAATGTCCCTGTCTGACAGCTTTGAAGAGAGCAGTGGTTCTCCCAGCATGCAGCTGGAGATCTGAGAACGGGCAGACTGCCTCCTCAAGTGGGTCCCTGACCCCTGACCCCCGAGCAGCCTAACTGGGAGGCACCCCCCAGCAGGGGCACACTGACACCTCACACGGCAGGGTATTCCAACAGACCTGCAGCTGAGGGTCCTGTCTGTTAGAAGGAAAAATAACAAACAGAAAGGACATCCACACCGAAAACCCATCTGTACATCACCATCATCAAAGACCAAAAGTAGATAAAACCACAAAGATGGGGAAAAAACAGAACAGAAAAACTGGAAACTGTAAAACGCAGAGCGCCTCTCCTCCTCCAAAGGAACACAGCTCCTCACCAGCAACGGAACAAAGCTGGATGGAGAATGATTTTGACGAGCTGAGAGAAAAAGGCTTCAGACGATCAAATTACTCTGAGCTACGGGAGGACATTCAAACCAAAGGCAAAGAAGTTGAAAACTTTGAAAAAAATTTAGAAGAATGTATAACTAGAATAACCAATACAGAGAAGTGCTTAAAGGAGCTGATGGAGCTGAAAACCAAGGCTCGAGAACTACGTGAAGAATGCAGAAGCCTCAGGAGCCGATGCGATCAACTGGAAGAAAGGGTATCAGCAATGGAAGATGAAATGAATGAAATGAAGCGAGAAGGGAAGTTTAGAGAAAAAAGAATAAAAAGAAATGAGCAAAGCCTCCAAGATATATGGGACTACGTGAAAAGACCAAATTTACGTCTGATTGGTGTACCTGAAAGTGATGCGGAGAATGGAACCAAGTTGGAAAACACTCTGCAGGATATTATCCAGGAGAACTTCCCCAACCTAGCAAGGCAGGCCAACGTTCAGATTCAGGAAATACAGAGAACGCCACAAAGATACTCCTCGAGAAGAGCAACTCCAAGACACATAATTGTCAGATTCACCAAAGTTGAAATGAAGGAAAAAATGTTAAGGGCAGCCAGAGAGAAAGGTCGGGTTACCCTCAAAGAGAAGCCCATCAGACTAACAGCAGATCTCTCGGCAGAAACCCTACAAGCCAGAAGAGAGTGGGGGCCAATATTCAACATTCTTAAAGAAAAGAATTTTCAACCCA
The DNA here is from genome assembly GCF_000001405.40 of Homo sapiens. Lineage (NCBI taxonomy): Eukaryota > Metazoa > Chordata > Mammalia > Primates > Hominidae > Homo > Homo sapiens. Next base: position 12,454,193 of record NC_000017.11, on the reverse strand, counting down.
GAATTTCATATCCAGCCAAACTAAGCTTCATAAGTGAAGGAGAAATAAAATACTTTACAGACAAGCAAATGCTGAGAGATTTTGTCACCACCAGGCCTGCCCTAAAAGAGCTCCTGAAGGAAGCGCCAAACATGGAAAGGAACAACCGGTACCAGCTGCTGCAAAATCATGCCAAAATGTAAAGACAATCGAGACTAGGAAGAAACTGCATCAACTAACGAGCAAAATAACCAGCTAACATCATAATGACAGGATCAAATTCACACATAACAATATTAACTTTAAATGTAAATGGACTAAATTCTCCAATTAAAAGACACAGACTGGCAAGTTGGATAAAGAGTCAAGACCCATCAGTGTGCTGTATTCAGGAAACCCATCTCACGTGCAGAGACATACATAGGCTCAAAATAAAAGGATGGAGGAAGATCTACCAAGCAAATGGAAAACAAAAAAAGGCAGGGGTTGCAATCCTAGTCTCTGATAAAACAGACTTTAAACCAACAAAGATCAAAAGAGACAAAGGCGGCCATTACATAATGGTAAAGGGATCAATTCAACAAGAGGAGCTAACTATACTAAATATATATGCACCCAATACAGGAGCACCCAGATTCATAAAGCAAGTCCTGAGTGACCTACAAAGAGACTTAGACTCCCACACATTAATAATGGGAGACTTTAACACCCCACTGTCAACATTAGACAGATCAACGAGACAGAAAGTCAACAAGGATACCCAGGAATTGAACTCAGCTCTGCACCAAGCGGACCTAATAGACATCTACAGAACTCTCCACCCCAAATCAACAGAATATACATTTTTTTCAGCACCACACCACACCTATTCCAAAATTGACCACATAGTTGGAAGTAAAGCTCTCCTCAGCAAATGTAAAAGAACAGAAATTATAACAAACTATCTCTCAGACCACAGTGCAATCAAACTAGAACTCAGGATTAAGAATCTCACTCAAAGCCGCTCAACTACATGGAAACTGAACAACCTGCTCCTGAATGACTACTGGGTACATAACGAAATGAAGGCAGAAATAAAGATGTTCTTTGAAACCAACGAGAACAAAGACACAACATACCAGAATCTCTGGGACACATTCAAAGCACTGTGTAGAGGGAAATTTATAGCACTAAATGCCCACAAGAGAAAGCAGGAAAGATCCAAAATTGACACCCTAACATCACAATTAAAAGAACTAGAAAAGCAAGAGCAAACACATTCAAAAGCTAGCAGAAGGCAAGAAATAACTAAAATCAGAGCAGAACTGAAGGAAATAGAGACACAAAAAACCCTTCAAAAAATCAATGAATCCAGGAGTTGGTTTTTTGAAAGGATCAACAAAATTGATAGACTGCTAGCAAGACTAATAAAGAAAAAAAGAGAGAAGAATCAAATAGACACAATAAAAAATGATAAAGGGGATATCACCACCGATCCCACAGAAATACAAACTACCATCAGAGAATACTACAAACACCTCTATGCAAATAAACTAGAAAATCTAGAAGAAATGGATACATTCCTCGACACATACACTCTCCCAAAACTAAACCAGGAAGAAGTTGAATCTCTGAATAGACCAATAACAGGATCTGAAATTGTGGCAATAATCAATAGTTTACCAACCAAAAAGAGTCCAGGACCAGATGGATTCACAGCCGAATTCTACCAGAGGTACAAGGAGGAACTGGTACCATTCCTTCTGAAACTATTCCAATCAATAGAAAAAGAGGGAATCCTCCCTAACTCATTTTATGAGGCCAGCATCATTCTGATACCAAAGCCGGGCAGAGACACAACCAAAAAAGAGAATTTTAGACCAATATCCTTGATGAACATTGATGCAAAAATCCTCAACAAAATACTGGCAAACCGAATCCAGCAGCACATCAAAAAGCTTATCCACCATGATCAAGTGGGCTTCATCCCTGGGATACAAGGCTGGTTCAATATACGCAAATCAATAAATGTAATCCAGCATATAAACAGAGCCAAAGACAAAAACCACATGATTATCTCAATACATGCAGAAAAAGCTTTTGACAAAATTCAAAAACCCTTCATGCTAAAAACTCTCAATAAATTAGGTATTGATGGGACGTATTTCAAAATAATAAGAGCTATCTATGACAAACCCACAGCCAATATCATACTGAATGGGCAAAAACTGGAAGCATTCCCTTTGAAAACTGGCACAAGACAGGGATGCCCTCTCTCACCGCTCCTATTCAACATAGTGTTGGAAGTTCTGGCCAGGGCAATCAGGCAGGAGAAGGAAATAAAGGGTATTCAATTAGGAAAAGAGGAAGTCAAATTGTCCCTGTTTGCAGACGACATGATTGTTTATCTAGAAAACCCCATCGTCTCAGCCCAAAATCTCCTTAAGCTGATAAGCAACTTCAGCAAAGTCTCAGGATACAAAATCAATGTGCAAAAATCACAAGCATTCTTATACACCAACAACAGACAAACAGAGAGCCAAATCATGAGTGAACTCCCATTCACAATTGCTTCAAAGAGAATAAAATACCTAGGAATCCAACTTACAAGGGATGTGAAGGACCTCTTCAAGGAGAACTACAAACCACTGCTCAAGGAAATAAAAGAGGATACAAACAAATGGAAGAACATTCCATGCTCATGGGTAGGAAGAATCAATATCGTGAAAATGGCCATACTGCCCAAGGTAATTTATAGATTCAATGCCATCCCCATCAAGCTACCAATGACTTTCTTCACAGAATTGGAAAAAACTACTTTAAAGTTCATATGGAACCAAAAAAGAGCCCGCATTGCCAAGTCAATCCTAAGCCAAAAGAACAAAGCTGGAGGCATCACACTACCTGACTTCAAACTATACTACAAGGCTACAGTAACCAAAACAGCATGGTACTGGTACCAAAACAGAGATATAGATCAATGGAACAGAACAGAGCCCTCAGAAATAACGCCGCATACCTACAACTATCTGATCTTTGACAAACCTGAGAAAAACAAGCAATGGGGAAAGGATTCCCTATTTAATAAATGGTGCTGGGAAAACTGGCTAGCCATATGTAGAAAGCTGAAACTGGATCCCTTCCTTACACCTTATACAAAAATCAATTCAAGATGGATTAAAGACTTAAACGTTAGACCTAAAACCATAAAAACCCTAGAAGAAAACCTAGGCATTACCATTCAGGACATACGCGTGGGCAAGGACTTCATGTCCAAAACACCAAAAGCAATGGCAACAAAAGCCAAAATTGACAAATGGGATCTAATTAAACTAAAGAGCTTCTGCACAGCAAAAGAAACTACCATCAGAGTGAACAGGCAACCTACAACATGGGAGAAAATTTTCGCAACCTACTCATCTGACAAAGGGCTAATATCCAGAATCTACAATGAACTCAAACAAATTTACAAGAAAAAAACAAACAACCCCATCAAAAAGTGGGCGAAGGACATGAACAGACACTTCTGAAAAGAAGACATTTATGCAGCCAAAAAACACATGAAAAAATGCTCATCATCACTGGCCATCAGAGAAATGCAAATCAAAACCACTATGAGATATCATCTCACACCAGTTAGAATGGCAATCATTAAAAAGTCAGGAAACAACAGGTGCTGGAGAGGATGTGGAGAAATAGGAACACTTTTACACTGTTGGTGGGACTGTAAACTAGTTCAACCATTGTGGAAGTCAGTGTGGCGATTCCTCAGGGATCTAGAACTAGAAATACCATTTGACCCAGCCATCCCATTACTGGGTATATACCCAAAGGACTATAAATCATGCTGCTATAAAGACACATGCACACGTATGTTTATTGCGGCATTATTCACAATAGCAAAGACTTGGAACCAACCCAGATGTCCAACAATGATAGACTGGATTAAGAAAATGTGGCACATATACACCATGGAATACTATGCAGCCATAAAAAATGATGAGTTCATGTCCTTTGTAGGGACATGGATGAAATTGGAAACCATCATTCTCAGTAAACTATCGCAAGAACAAAAAACCAAACACCGCATATTCTCACTCATAGGTGGGAATTGAACAATGAGATCACATGGACACAGGAAGGGGAATATCACACTCTGGGGACTGTGGTGGGGTGGGGGGAGGGGGGAGGGATAGCATTGGGAGATATACCTAATGCTAGATGACGAGTTAGTGTGTGCAGTGCACCAGCATGGCACATGTATACATATGTAACTAACCTGCACAATGTGCACATGTACCCTAAAACTTAAAGTATAATAAAAAATAAAAATTAAAAAAAAAAAAAAGATCAGGAGATCAAGACCATCCTGGTTAACACAGTGAAAAAAAAAAAAAAAAAAAAAAAGAAGAAATGTTAAAGGGAGTTCCTCAAGTTAAAAAGGAAGGACACTAAAAAGCAACACAATAGCTTAAGAACATCTAAAATCTGATGAGAAAGGTAAATTCATAAACAAATACAGAATACTATATTATTGTAATGGTGGTGGGTAACTTAATTCTGATATAAAAATTAAAACTAAAAGCATTAAGATAACTATAAATAAAACATATATTAATGGATACACAATACAAATAGATGTAAATTATAATATCAATAATGCAAAGTGTTGAGGGATGAGAGGTAAAAGTGTAGAGTTTTGGTACACAATTAAAGTTGTTATCAGCTTAAAATACCCTGTTATAACTGTAAGTTACCAAAAAAGCAAAAATACCTATGAGAGTTACACAAAAGAAATAAAGAATAAAACACACAGGAAGACTGCAACAGATGCAAAGAGGAACAAAAGAACAAGATAGACAAAGAGCAATTATCAAAATGACAACTGTAAATCCTTTCCTGTCACTAATTATTTTAAATGTAAATGAATAAAGTCCCCCAACCAAAAGACATAGAGTGGCTGAATGGATAATAAAACAAAATCCATCTATAGTTTGTTTACAAGAAACTTACCTTCTATTTAAGGACACACATAGGCTGAAAGTGAAGAGGTGGAAAAAGATATTCCATTCAAACAGAACCCAAAAGAGAGCAGTGTGGCTATACTTATACCAGCCAAAATAGACTCTAAGTCAAAAACTGTCACAAAAGATACAGAGGGACTTTATATAATGAAGAATCATCAGTTCAACAGGAACATTTACAATTATAAATATATATTTACCCAATATGAAAGTATGTAAATATATAAAGCAAATATTGATAGAACTGAAGGGAGAAATAGATAGCAATATAGTAATAGTTGGAGATTTCGATATTCCATTTTCAATAATGAACAAATCAACCAGACAGAAAATCAACTAAAAAACAGTGGACTGGAACAACACTACAGACCAAACGGACCTAACAGACATACAGAATATTCCACCCACCAGCAGCAGCACTTCTTAAGTGCACATGAAACCCTCTCCAGGATAGAGCACATTTTAGATTACAAAACAGGTCTTAACACATTTTAAAAGACTAAAATCCGGTCAAGTATCTTTTCTGACTAAAATGGAATCCAACTAGAAATTATTGATTTCTTTCTAGTTTCTAGAAATCATGTGAATGAAAGTGAGAAAATGTACAGATGTGGAAATCAGGCAACATACTTTCAAGCAACCAATGGATCAAAGAGGAAATCAAAAAGGAAATTAGAAAATATCTTTTAAAAATAAAACTGAAAATACAATATCCCAAAATTGATGGGCTCCTTCAAAAACATTACTAAGTGAGAAATTTATAGGGATAAATTCCCATATTAAAAAAGAAGAAAGATCTAAAATAAACAGCCTAACTTTTTACCACAAGGAACTAGAAAAAAAAAAAAAAACAACCACTAAGCCTGAAGTTAGCAAAAGGAAGAAAACAATAAATATAGTAATAAATAAATAGCAGAAATAAACAAAATAGAGATTAGTAAAACAATAGAAAAATAAAAAATACTGAATTAAGTTTTTGAAAAGAAACTAAGTTGGCAAACCTTTAACTAGACTGAGTTAACTTTTTGAAAAGATAAACTAAGTTGGCAAACTTTTAACTAGACCAAGAAGAGAGATTTAATAAAGAAATCAGAAATAAGAGACATTAAAACTAATTCCACAAAGATAAAAAGGATTATAAGAGATTATTTTGAACATTTATACACCAACAAATTGCAAAACCTAGAAGAAATTAGTAAATTCCCAGAAATATACAACCTAGCAAGACTGAATTACAAAGAAATAAAAAGACCGAACAGACCTGTATGTAGCAAAGAGACTAAATCAATCACCAAAAATCTCCCAACAATGAAAAATACAGGACCAGATGGCTTCACTGATGAATTCTACCAAACAGCTAAAGAAGAATTAGTACCACTCCTCAATCTGTTCCAAAAACTAAAGAGGAGGAAACACTCCCAAACTCATTTAATGAGGCCAGAATTATCCTCATACAAAAGCCAAATAAAGACTCCGCAGGAAAAAAGAAGTTACAGGCCAATATACCTGAAAAAATAGGTGCAAAAATCCTCAATAAAATGCTAGCAAACCAAACTCAACAACACATTAAAAGAATCATATATCATGATCAAGTGGGATTTATCCTTAGAATGCAAGTATGGTTCAACATACACAACTCGATTAAAGTAATACACCATATTAACAGAATGAAGGTAAAAAAAAATCATAGAATCATCTCAGTAGATGCAGAAAAAACATTTGACAACATTCAGCATCATTTCATAAAAACAATGCTCAAGAAACTAAGTATAGAGGGAATGTACCTCAACATAATAAAGGTCATATATGAGAAGCCTACAGCAAACATAATACTTAACGGTGAAAAACTGAAGATCAGGGGTTTTTTTGCTTTGTTCTGCTAAGATTAGGAACAAAGCAAGTATGCCCACTCTCCTTACTTCATTGTAAGTCCCAGCCAGAGCATTTAGGCAAGAAAAAAATAAAATAAAAGGCATCCAAATTGGAAATAATTAAAATTATCTGTTTGTAGATGACCTAGTTTTTTGTATAGAAAACCCTCAAGATTCTACCAAAAATCTTTAATAACTGAAAAATGAGTTCAATAAGGTAGCAAGATACAAAATCAACATACAAAAAGCAGTTGCATTTTTTACACTAATAATTTGCTATCAGAAAAGGAAATAAAGAAAGCAATTCCATTTAAAGTAGTATCAAAAAGGAAAATATATTTAGGAATTAAAAAGGGGGAAAAGACTGCTTCTCTAATCTCACAACACTTCTGACACCAAATGTGTGGATATTTTTCCTCACAGTAAGCAATCCACCATCTCTCCAGACACCAACTGTGTGTTTTACAATTCATTTATGACACTGACTACCTGGAGTTAATGCAGACCTCACAGGTTAAAGGCTTAGTCCATCAGACTCCCTCCCCAGCAACTTCAGACCATCCGTGAAAAAAAGAATTGGTAAACTGGAGTTCATTATGATTAATAATTTTGGCTCTGTGAAAGATACTATCAAGAGAATGAAAAGACAAGACACAGACTGTGAGAGAATATTTGCAAAAGACATCTAATATAGAGCTCATACAAAATGTCAGAGTTTTGAAAAGTACACAACAAAATAAGAAAATCAACAATACAATTTTTAAAACGGGCAAAAGATTTGAACAGACACCTCACAAAAAAGATATATGGCAAATAAGCAAAAGGAAAGATGTTCCACAGCGTATGTCAGTAGAAAAATGCAAATTAAAAAAGCAATGAGATACCACAACACATCTCTTAGAATGGCCCAAATCCAGAACCTTGACAATGGGAATGTGCATTCACTGCTGATGGCAATGTAAAATGGCATAGCCACTTTGGAACACAGTTTGGCAGTTCCTACAAAACTATACACACACTCTTACTGTATGAACCAGCAATCCTTTTTGTCACTTACCTAAATGAACGGAAAACTTAGTTTCACACAAAGCCCTGAAGACCAATTGACAGCAGTTTTGTTCATAATTGACAAAACTTGAAAGAATCAAGATGTCTTTCAGTAGATGAATGGGTAAATAAACTGTGGTATTTCAAGCAATGGAATATTATTCAGTGCTAAAAGGTAATGAGCTATACAGCCATGAAAAGACATAGAGGAACCATAAATGCATATTACTAAATAAAAGAAGCCAATCTGAAAAAGACTATATATTGTATGATTCTCCTTACATAATATTCTGGAAAAGGCAAAACTATGGGGGCAGTAAAAAGATCAGTGCTTGGCAAGGGTTGAAAGAAATAAATAAAAATTTTTTAAAGTGTATTGAATAAAAGGGAAGGACAAAGTTTTTATAGCTCTTGGTAAAATTCTAAATTTTTCTTCATCTAGGCAAAGTACATTTCTTGCTAGGTTTATTTTTAACAATAATGGTAACCAACACTTGTATAGTGTTTTGTTCTTAGACTTTACATGTGTTAACTCATTTCATTTTACAGCAACATGATGAAATAAGTACACTGACATTCTCAGTTTACAGATGTGGAAACAGAGAGACAAATAGGTTAACTTGCTCCAGGTCCCACAGGAGCCAATCTGGGTAGCTGGGGCTCTTAGTCTCTCCTACACTGCATCACACTGCTTCTTAGGGCATTTATCTTCTTGTTATTTAAGAGATGGGATTTTTTTTTTCATTGTAAGATTGTTTAGAGTATTAAATGAGTTCATACACTGAAAGCATTTACAAGAACTTTGGCACATAGGAAGCATTTCAAAAATGTTAGTCATTAACATGATTAACATTCATGTATCTTCTAAAAAGCTATCATATGTACGAAGGAAAGCCTGGATATGTCTAAATTCTCTTATTATTTTTAATAGGTTCCATGTAGATTCTCTTATGTTTTCCTGGTATCTAATTTTCAAATGGCAATTTTATTTCCTTCTTTCTTAGTATCTCCTCACCATTGTATTTTCTTGTCTAATTGCATTGTCTGGAGTTTCTGGAGCAATGCTAAGTAAAGGAAGTAAAAATGAGCATCTCATTTCTGTTCCTGAACTCAATCTTCATGAAAATGGGCATATGTCTACAATTGCTTGGTTAAGCATTTGGATAAGTTTTAGGGAGTGTATGTGTAAAATAGTGGCAAGAAACTATCCTTCCACTGTTATTTTACCAAAAGGTTCTTATTAAAAATGTATGTTTATCTTATCAAATATATTTTAGGCATTAATTTATCTGATAATATACTTTTCCCCCTTTGACTAATTAAAATGATGATTCAATTAGAGAATTTATTATTCTCTAATAGAGAACCATCCTTATTTTCCTAAAATGAAATGCACTTGGTTGTGATGTCATATTCTATGAATTTATTGGTGAATTACATATTTTTTATTTTATTTTAAGTTCCAGGATACATGTGCAGAACGTGCAGGTTTGTTACATAGGTAAACAGGTGCCATGGTGGTTAGCTGCACCTATCAACCCGTCATCTAGGTTTTAAGCCCCACATGCATTAGGTATTTGTCCTAATGCTCTCCCTCCCCTTGCCCCCTACCCCCCAACAGGTCCCAGTGTGTGTTGTTCCCCTCCCTATGTCCATGTGTTCTCATTGTTCAACTCATTTATGAGTGAGAACATGCAGTGTTTGGTTTTCTGTTCCTGTGTTAGTTTGCTGAGAATGATGGCTTCCAGCTTCATCAATGTCCCTGCAAAGGACATGATCTCATTTGTTTTTATGGCTGCATATATTCAGGACATGGGCATGGGCAAAGACTTCATGACTAAAACATCAAAAGCAATTGTAACAAAAGCCAAAATTGACAAATAGGGTCTAATTAAACTAAAGAGCTCCTGCACAGCAAAATAAACTAGCATCAGAATGAACAGGCAACCTATAGAATGGGAGAAAATTTTTCCAATCTATCCATCTGACAAAGGGCTAATATCCAGAATCTACAAGGAACTTAAAGTTACAAGAAAAAAAAAAAGCAACCCCATCAAAAAGTGGGCAAAGGATATGAACACACACTTCTCAAAAGAAGACATTTATGCAGCCAACAAACATATGGAAAAAAGCTCATTATCACTGGTCATCAGAGAAATGCAAATCAAAACCACATGGGATACCATTTCACACCAGTTACAATAGTGAGGCTGTGGAGACATAGGAATGCTTTTATGCTGTTGGTGGGAGTAAATTAGTCCAACCATTGTGGAAGACAGTGTGGTGATTCCTCAAGGATATATATTATAATATATATTATTATAATTATTATAATTATAATTATTTTTATTTTATATATTTATATAATTATAATTATTATAATTATAAATATAATATATAATATGATGTATAATATACATTATATGATATATGATATACATGATGTATAATATACATTATATGATATATGATATACATGATGTATAATATACATTATATGATATATGATATACATGATGTATAATATACATTATTATGATATACATGATGTATAATATACATTATATGATATACATGATGTATAATATACATTATATGATATACATGATGTATAATATACATTATATGATATACATGATGTATAATATACATTATATGATATACATGATGTATAATATACATTATATGATATACATGATGTATAATATACATTATATGATATACATGATGTATAATATACATTATATGATATACATGATGTATAATATACATTATATGATATACATGATGTATAATATACATTATATGATATACATGATGTATAATATACATTATATGATATACATGATGTATAATATACATTATATGATATACATGATGTATAATATACATTATATGATATACATGATGTATAATATACATTATATGATATACATGATGTATAATATACATTATATGATATACATGATGTATAATATACATTATATGATATACATGATGTATAATATACATTATTATATGATATACATGATGTATAATATACATTATTATATGATATACATGATGTATAATATACATTATTATATGATATACATGATGTATAATATACATTATTATATGATATACATGATGTATAATATACATTATTATATGATATACATGATGTATAATATACATTATTATATGATATACATGATGTATAATATACATTATTATATGATATACATGATGTATAATATACATTATTATATGATATACATGATGTATAATATACATTATTATATGATATACATGATGTATAATATACATTATATGATATACATGATGTATAATATACATTATATGATATACATGATGTATAATATACATTATATGATATATATTATATGATGTATAATATACATTATATGATATATATTATATGATGTATAATATATATTATTATATGATATATATTATATGATGTATAATATATATTATTATATGATATATATTATATGATGTATAATATATATTATTATATGATATATATTATTATATGATGTATAATATATATTATTATATGATATATATTATTATATGATGTATAATATATATTATTATATGATATATATTATTATATGATGTATAATATATATTATTATATGATATATATTATTATATGATATATATATTATATGATATATAATATATATTATATGATATATAATATATATTATATGATATATAATATATTATATATTATATGATATATAATATATATTATTATATAATATATAATATATATTATATAATATATAATATATATTATATAATAATATATATTATTATATAATATATAATATATATCATTATATAATATATATTATATATCATTATATAATATATAATATATATCATTATATAATATATAATATATATCATTATATAATATATAATATATATCATTATATAATATATAATATATATTATTATATAATATATAATGTTTTCTTGAAGTTTTAGTTTAGTTTTCATAGTTTTACGTCTTCAATTTAAGTCTTCAATCCATGTTGATTTCATTTTTGTATATGGTGTGAGCTAGGGGTCTAGTTTCATTCTTCTGCACATGGATATCCAGTTTTTTCAGCATCATTTATTAAAGAGACTGTCTTTTCCCTAATGTATGTTCTTGGCACTTTTGTCAAAAATGAGTTCACTGTAGTTGTATGGATTTGTTGATTGGCTCTCCATTCTGTTCCATTGGTCTATGTATCTGCTTTATGCCAGTACCATGCTGGTTTGGTTACTGTAGCTCTGTAGTACAATTTGAAGTCAAGTAATGTGATTCCTCCAGTTTTGTTCATTTTGTTCAGGGTAGCTTTGGTTATTCTGGGTCTTTTGTGGTTCCATATAAATTTTAGGATTGTTTTTTCTATTTCTGCTAAGAATGTCATTGATATTTTGATAGGGATTGCACTGACTCTGTAGATTGCTTTAGGTAGTATGAACATTTTAACAGTATTGATTCTTTCAATCCATGAGCATGGAATATCTTTCCATTGTTTTGTGCCCTCTTCAATTTCATTCATCAGTGTTTTATAGTTTTCATGTAAAGATCTTTCAGCTCTTTGGTTAATTCCTAGGTATTTATTTGTGGCTATTGTAAATAGGATTACTTTTTAAATTTCTTTTTCAGATTGTTCAATGTTGGCACATAGAAATGCTACTGATTTTGTGTATTAATTTTGTATCCTGCAACTTGACTGAATTTATCAGTTCTTATAATTTTTTGGTAGAGTCTTTAGGTTTTTTCATATCATTAGCAAAGATAATTTGATTTATTCCTTTCCAATTCAAATGTTCTTTATTTTTTTCTCTTATATAATCACTGTAGCTAGGACTTCCTCTTCTTTTTCTTTATATTAGTGATTCCATTTCAGCTATTTCTATCTTTCTTTCTGTTTGTAATGTGTTTATTGTCTTCCAGTGGTTCTCCCACCCTTATTTTTAATCCCCCATGTATTTCTTTAGTTTGCAGTTTCCCCTTTTTATCTAATCTTGTTGTTTTATTACATTATTTATTCTTTGTTTCATAAGTTTTTTTGGTCTGTTTAAATTCTTTTAGAGGAGTAAGAATTTGTTGCAGAATTTTAGTCATGTTTCTTTGAGTACAAGTTGGAATGGATTTTTCATCAGCCTTTTTCAGGCTAGATAGCTTTTGTGGGTGTAAGGGGTAGGGAAACTCACTGTGTTTTGGCCTGGCCACCAATGTGATTTCTATTCATCTTATTCACCTTGGCTTTAGGAAGCTCCGTGTGGACTTTCTCTAATGCAGAAGTGTGTTTTTTTATTTGCTTGGTGACAGGGTTTGGTGGTGGGAAGAATAAGGGGAAAATTATCTGGCACCACTGACTGTAAGAGAACTCAGTGTCTGTTATTTTTTATGATACATTTGTAAAAATTTCTATGCTAATATTCCCTCTATCTAGTTAGGGAGACAGCTCATGTCCATCAATGGTACCCTTATGCCTGGGAATTTTTTCCCCAATTTAGCAAATGCCATCAAGTCTTCATCTCTGATAGAAAGAATCCTGAGCATATCCTCTATCAGTTTATTGCCTCTTCTCATAACTGGAGCCACTTCCACTCCCTTAAGAGGCAAATGGCAGAAAAGGTGGGAGACGTCTTGGTGTTGACTTGCACTGCTAATGAACAGGTTAACTTGCAGGGGGCTGTGCAAATGCTTTTTCACATGCATGGGCACTTCTTCCATGGCTCTTGAATTGTTTCTTTTCTCTTTGCATTCTGATAAATCTCAGTTCATTGTGAGAAATAATTACCTCTGGGAGATTTGCCTGCCCTTCTCCCATCCAGGTAAAAACAGCATAGTTAATCCTGGCAGTTATATTTTGTCAATCTCTCTTGATTCACAGTTTCATCATGGCAGTCAGAAAGAACTTCCATTCTGAAGAAACTTGTTTCATGCTTAGTTGGTTGATTTATTCTTCATCTAGATCACCTTTTTATTCTTCTTAATGAACTTCTGTGGTTTGGGGCATACTCGTGATATTTTGTTGTTATTGTTGTTGTTATTTTTGTTGTTACTTCTTCCCTCCACATGGTTAAGGTGTGGTTGTCAGATGTTGACTCCCATAGTGGTATTACAGGAGTTATTAAGAAATTATTTTAGGCAGATAGGAAAAGGAGTCCTTGGGAAGTTTTGTTTCTTTTTAAAGCAGCTCCAGAAATGTTTCTTATCTAGAAGGAAAGCCCTGGCTCTTAGAGCCAGGCTGGCAACCTTCAATATGCAAATGCCGGCCATTAGAAACTGCGGCCACCCAAACATGGCAATTCTGCCCTCTTCTCCTTGCCCTTGATCCCACACGCACCTGGCAACATGGCCACCTCCACATATCCCTAAGTGTGTAGAACATCATGGCGCCTTGTATTTGCATATTAAAAGGCTAGGGTGGGAGGGCCAGTTTTTTCCTGGGCTAGGTGAGTTACATACCTGGTCAAACCAATCCCCTGAGCCCTATGCAAATCAGACACCACCTCTTCCACCCGCATATAAGCAGCCACGTTTCTGTCGCACTCGGGGTTTCCTCTCTTGGCTTTGGAGTCCCGCTCCCTCTGTCTCTGTACAAGGGAGCTTCTTCCTTCTTTCTTCTCCCTTCTTTCTTGCCTATTAAACTCTCCACTCTTTAAAAGCACTCCACGTGTGTCTGTGTTGTTTTATCCAATTCGGGGTGATATAAGAGCCCTGGTGTCTGATGAGAGCACTCATCAGAGCTTTATCAGTGGCCGGTTTCTCTGTTTCAAGAGAAATCAACATCTGACATCCGCGGCCTAGTTGTGCTAACTCAGACTGGGGGCTGGGAGGTTTCACAGTGACTCCATAGCCAATTAAGTACTTACAAATTCACGGTTTATTGGCAGACTTTCACACACCAGCAATCATGGAAATATACTCAATACACACAGGTGGTAAAGAGAGGGGGAAAGGAAGCACAGGGCGTAACTGAGGAGATCAGCAGGCCGACAGACCAATGGGAAAGTCTGGGTTTTCACCAAATAGGAGATTTTCACCCTAACCGGGAGAGGGGTCACTGGTCTTCTCCCAGCAGAGCTTGCAGCAGATAGAAGGCCTCAGAGTTCTTGGGAGGAGTTCCTGAGGCGTCTGGTCATGGTCAGTTTCTTTGCTGTTATTTATGGCCCTTTTCAGGAGTGTCTAAAGCCATTATCTTCGGCTGCCTTTTGGCTTTACTATCTTGTCAGGTCTCCAGGGTGTCTGGCCACAGCAGGTGTCTGTCATCTTATCACCATACATGTGCTTATCAGTCTGAGGGGTCAGCAATTTCACTGGAGGCTGAGTCACTTGTCATAAGTGACTCCATTTTGAGACATTTAAGATCACAAAGCATCATTATATATCAATGACACTTTCCAAGATTATGGATGTGAGACTACCCACTCTTTGACATGAGGGCTACTTATTTTCTTTATATTTCAAAAACGTACATTTTGTTCTTTTGTTGGAGTGGCAGAGGAAAGTTTACAAACACTGCTTCTAAGCAGCCACGTTTTTCTAGTATAATAGTTCTGGGATTTGCTCAAATTGAGGGCACCCAAAGGACTTTTACTTACTTTGGTTATTTTTAATTAAACACTGATTCACTTAGAGGAAATACTTAATGAATATATGTTAAATAATTGAGTGGCGAAGAAACAGTTTCATGGAGGAAAAAACTATGGGAAAATCAAGGACATAGCGACTAAGCTAAAGTAAAGCCTCCAAAGAAATTCACTGTCCGTGAAATGCTGATAACAAAGAACAACAATGAAGAAAGAAAAATGACGATGAGGAAACTTTGCTGGCCTCAAAGATAATATTCAAATTAATACCTCAATTATTCCAACGCTTTGTGAAATTGGGAAAGTCTTAACATCTCTAAGCCTCAGTTTTCTTATCTTTAAAGTGGAGATAATAAAAATGCCTACATCATAGCCTCGTCTTTAGGGTCAAATGAGATAAAATATACAGTTCAACATAGTTTGTGACACATCCAATAGATGTCAGCTAATGCAAATTAATGAAAAGTAAATGAAAGTATTGTCATTTCGGTTATGTCTTTGAAAAAAATCAAAGGGAATAGACAACCGTTGCAAATTATGACGTCCCTGTTCTTTTATCCTTAAGTATGTGTTCAAGGTCTCACGAGTGTATAATATTATTGTGTCAACCAGACTTTGTGACTTAACCATCTTTTCCCTACAATCTGCCTAGCAAAGGATCTGGTGCTTACATACAAAAAATGCTCCTCGATTGCATCTATTGGATCAACAAATACATGGATTTAGGATCACCAGGCACAAAAAACAAGGCACTAACCCCAGGACTTGATGAATAAAAACTGATTTGATGCCTACATTTTTGCATTGATTGTGAAACCGGGGAGAAATAACTATTCTCCTAGATTCTGAGTCAAGAGAGATTCAGGGCACTTGAAATAGCTTAACAATTTAGACGGAAACTGGACCCACAATGTCAGACCTCCCTCAGGGCATTTCGACTGTTGACAACCAACATGCAGAAGTTTACAAACAATCCCCATAAAATGAGGAGTCCTAATACAAGGTCCAGTGGGGGTGGGGGAAATGGGGTACACAGAGCAGACATTAACATTCTTCAAAAATGAAACAAGGGAAGTGGGTGGAGTATTAAAAAAATCAGCACAACCAATTACAGAAGCCCAGAAGTACCAGAGTAAAAACAAATATTAATATTATCAACAACAGAAATAATGATAACAAGCATTCACATAGCATTTACTGTGTACCAGATCTTATTATAAACAGCTAATAGCTATTTCTTTATTTAAATCTGTTCCTATATCTTTATCTATCTATTCATTTAATCCTTTCGAAAAAAATTATTTATAGATGAGGACAACTAAGGCATAGAGAAGAATCAAGTGCCCAAGTCACACACCCAATGGCCAAGTAAACTTGGGATCATGTTAGCTTTTTCCAGGAGCCAAGTTACGATTAGAGCCTCCTACTGTCACACTTAGACTTACCCTGAGGATCAGAAGAAACCACTGCGATGCTTGACCAAGAAAGTCAGATGATGAAAAATCTGGCAGTGGTGTTTGGGATGGACTGAGGAATAAAGAGATTTGGGAAAGGAAGGACTACGATGGTGCAATATCACAAAGGGATGAGGGTAGATTAGGACAAGCCCCTTCCCCAGGCTAGGACTCAATTTTCTCTTCTGTGAAGTCGGTGCATTGGACTACATGTTCCCTGAGGACCCATTAACTGTTAATTATTTTGTAATTTAATGAGAGTAAAAGAAAGCAATATAATAGAAAAATATCAGTTTTTGCTAGAAAATTATGTATTTGTAAATTATTTCTATACATACACATCCATATATATAAGTATACATATATGTATATACGTTTGTATATAAGTGTGTGTGTGTTTATGCTTTGTATATATAATTTCTAGTCCCTCATGAAGTACATTTTAGTAACCTGAGAGAGCTTAGTTTGCAGAAAGATTTGGTATGCATGGGATGTGAGGTTATAGAGAAAATAAATGACTCAGGCCAGAATTAAATAAGTTGACTCAAAAAAAAAAAAAAAGGGAGAGAGATGAGGAGGCATCCTGAGCCAGGATGGTGGACGGCAGCCCTCGAGTAGCAGGAAGGCTGTGGAGGGCAAGGGTCCAGGGCCAGAAGACTGGCAGCTGGTGGTCCAATATGAACTGAAGAAAAGAAAGAAAATTGTCTAATGAGGACTTTAATTATGCTGTTTGTTGGGAGCTATGCTATGTCTCCTCCGTCTTCCCAGGAGTGATTTTTTAAAATATGTGATATAATGTACTGGTTAGGGAGTAGGGACCCTTGAGCTCGAATACCTAGGTGGATTCCTCCTCTTTCTCTTATTAGCTGTGTGACCTGGGGTTCCTCAGCAATTCAATGTTAAGGAATATTTCCACCCTCCATCCACTAGCACACACTTCTCTAATGCCTGGCTTTCATATTCCATTTCGAATCCATCAAGTTCTGCAGGTCTTAGCTTTTTTATGTATGTGTGACAGAGTCTCACTCTGTTGCCCAGGCTGGAGCGTACTGGCTCGATCTTGGCTCACTACAACCTCCACCTCCTCGGTTCAAGCAATCCTCCTGCCTCAGCCTCCCTAGTAGCTGGGATTACAGGCATGCGCCACTATGCCCAGCTAATTTTTGTTCTTTTAGTAGAGATGGGGTTTCGCCATGTTGGCCAGGCTGGTCTCAAACTCCTGACCTCAGGTTATCCACCCGCCTCGGCATCCCAAAGTGCTGGGATTACAGGTGTGAGCCACTGCGCCCGGCCCTGGTCTTAGCTTCTGAATATCTCTCAGGTATATTCCTTTCTCATCTTCTCCACTAGCACTACCTTACCCAAGCCAGTTAGCTGCTGTATAAACTTGGGAAAGTCATACTCTTTGTGTCTTAGTGTCTTCATATATAAAGTAAGCATACTACCTACCATCTTTGATCATTTGTATTGATATAAAGGAATAGCTGAGGTTTGGGGTAGTTTGTAAATAAAAAAGGTTTACTTGGCTCATGGTTCTGCAGGCTGTATGGGAAACATGGTGCCAGGATCTGCTTGTAGGGTACACTTCAGGATGCCTCTATTCATGGGGGAAAGTGAAGTGGAGCCAGTATCGCACAGCAAGAGGAAGGAAGAGAGAGGAGGGAGGTGCCAAGCTCTTTTTAACAATCAGTTCTTGCAAAAACTAATAGAATGAGAACTCACCCATTATCACAAGGATGGCACCAAGCCATTCATGAGGGATCCACCCCATGATCCAAACATCCCCTTTTAGACCACACCTCAAACACTGGGGGGTCAAATTTCAACATGAGATTTGGAGAGGACAAAGATCCAAATTACATCACCTAACTCAAAGAACTTTGTGAAGATTTAATACATTTCTGCTTGGATTAGTCAGAGTTCTCCAGAGAAACAGAATCAATACAGACATATGTATAAGAATAAATTTATTATAGAATTGGCTCACATGGTATGAAGACCTAGAAGCCCCATAATATGTCATCTGCAACTGGAGAACCAGGAGAGCCAGTGGTGTGATTCAGTCTGAGTTTGAACGCCCAAGAACCAGAAGTACGAATATCCAAGGCCAGGAGAGGATGAACATCCCAGCTCAAGAAGAGAGAGTGAATTTTCCCTTCCCTAGCCTTTTTGTTCTATAGGGCCCTTGATAGATTGGAAGATGCCTCCCCATATTAGTAAGGATAGGCCTTCTTGACTCAGTCTACCAATTCAAATGCTCATCTCTGTCAAAAACACCCTCACAGACACACCCAAATATAATATTTTACCAGATATCTGGGCATCCCTTAGCCCAGTCAAGCTAGCATATGAAATGAGCCATCACGATGCTAAAAAGAATTTAGAACAGTCTCTAATGCATAGTAAGAGATAAAAATATATTAGCCCAAATAAGCTTTCTAAGGTTCCACTGTCTCCACTTTTTTCCTGCTTGAATCCATTTTCTGCACTGAAGCCAGGATGCTCTTTTCCCATGTCAGTTTTGACTCAGTGTCTGCCTTACTTAATTTTTTTTCTGGCATTCTCCTTGTGCTTAGGGAATGAAAATCTTTGCCCAGTGTGGCTCCACCTCTTTCCAAGTTCACCTCCCACTGTGCTACACCCTTGCTCTTGATCTATTACCTGCTCCGATCTCCTGCCAGGTCCTGGGATGCCCCACGTTTCTTCCTGCCACATGCTTTGTTTTTGTGGCCCCACTGCCTGGAATGATTTCCCATCTCCTCTCCTCCTGTCCCATCCTTCGGATCTTCCTCACTTCTTGGGGAGGTCCACTCTGATGCTTGCCCACCTGCCTCAAATCGAAGTCAGTTTCTCTTGTGCATACACTCTCTTAGGATCACATTCTGCACTTACCTCATTCATTCAAACCTTTTTTAAAAAAAACCAGTCTTTCCAATGAGACTGAAACGATAACACAGGGGGAACCCTCATAACTGTATGTTCAGTATGAGTTTTCTCATAACCCATACGAAATGCTTCCTAAAGTTCCATTTCCTCCCCTTGCTTCTCAAACTTCATGTTTACCTTTCTCAGAAAAAAATAAATCTGTACTCAAATCTCCACTGTGAGCCTTTATATCAAGCTTTCTAGATACACCACCCCATATCCACCCAGACTGGTCATATGCCAAAAGTCATGGCCTGTTCCCCAGCAGCACTTGTCTTCAAATCTAAGTTACTCAAGCTACAAAAGGCTCCAGGGGATGGAAGCAAACATTTCAAAGCCTTGACACTTCCAGTCCTGCAGAATAGTCTGTTCTTATGCGTATGCATATGGAGGAGGGGATGGGCAAGGGTGAAGGGCACTTCAGAAGGAGCAGCTGAAACTTTGGGAGGCTGAGGCATGTGAACCACCTGAGGTCAGGAGTTCAAGACCAGCCTGGCCAAAATGGCGAAACCACACCTCTACTAAAAATACAAAAATTAGCCAGGCGTGGTGGCACGTGCCTGTAGTCCCAGCTACTCAGAAGGCTGAGGCAGGAGAATAGCTTGGACCCAGGAGGCGGAGGTTGCAGTGAGCCAAGATTCGGCTACTGCACTCCAGCCTGGGTGACAGAGCGAGACTCTGTCTCAATAATAATAAAACTAATAATAATAATAATAATAATAATCAAGAAGGAGCAGCTGGAGATAAAGGAAGCATCTCTAGCCCTTTCATTTGCAAGATGACTCACAGACTTTCTTTTCATCCTCTAATTATCTAGAAAGTAACTTTTTTTTTTTTTTTTTGAGATGGAGTCTCGCTCTGCCCCCCAGGCTGGAGTGCAGTGGCGCGATCTTGGCTCACTGCAAGCTCCGCCTCCCGGGTTCACGCCATTCTCCTGCCTCAGCCTCCCAAGTAGCTGGGACTACAGGTGCCCGCCGTCACGCCTGGCTAATTTTCTGTATTTTTAGTAGAGACGGGGTTTCACCGTGTTAGCCAGGATGGTCTCGATCTCCTGACCTCGTGATCTGCCCGCCTCGGCCTCCCAAAGTGCTGGGATTACAAACATGAGCCACCGAGCCCGGCCTCCAGAAAGTAACTATTTAATCACATACGTTACCACCACTACTACCATCACAAACTAGCACCAGCTCCCAAGAACAAGCATTAACTTTCAGATATATTACAGTCGAAACCAGAAATCACAAACTGGAAGTCCCTTGGCCAAATCCAACACACAGTTTGCATGAAAAAGTTATAAAATTGCACGTGAAAATCTAGATTTCCAGATGCCTCAGAAAAAAATGAAAAATGTTGATTGTCCTGGAGCTAAGCAGTGGCAGCCCCTTTGCGTAAGCCAGGCTCTCTGCAGCATGCCATGGTCTCAGCCACTCCTTTTCATCTGAAAACAGCCTGCAATGCGCGTTGACTTTACCTACCTGTCCTCTGCAAGTGGGTGAGTTTTTTAGCCTTACTCTTATTCCAAAGGTGGAGAAGAGCTATTTTCCCATCCCCTTCTAAGTTTGCAAGGCTATACCACTCACAATGGAGTTAGTACTTTCCACTGTTGCACAGAATTGATACGGTCCTTTGCTTATCCTTTTTCTCATTCCCTTTTATATTGTATTCCTGGAGACTGGCAAGGAGTAGACAATGGTCCCTTGCTGAGTCTCATATCTCTTAATAGCAAACTCTTAGCTTCAAAAATGTGGTTTGAGTTGTAAAATGACTACTTATAAGGTCCAAGCTAAATTCTAAAATTAGGCTCATCCTTCTCCCCAGATGATTCTGGTTGCTCAACAGAATATAGATTGGTGGGGAATGACTGGAGGCTGGTTAAGGGAGAAGTTAGGAGGCTGCTGTCATGAAGACAAGCAAGGGGTTGAGGGGCTGAGCCCCAGAGGTGCCCACAGGAAGAAGAGAAGGGGATATATACTATGGGTTTGCTATCAAGATGACAGCAGTACTGTCCACTCTCTGACAACGACACACCAAGTGACTGTCATCACATCCTGTATTTACAATATTTTTCCCCCAGCAGATTTTAATAATTATTTTTTCTCTTTTCTTGGACCTAAACGTTTTTAAAATCTGTGTGTCTATAATGTAATGAAAACATTTACAGGCTCAATTTAGACTTGAATGAAAACTATGACTTTGGCCTCTAACCAACTAGCTAAATAACCATAGCAATCAAAATCCAATTTAGGGGCAAGACAGTGACTATAAGTTGTAGTTAAATTAAACACAGAATCTGGCTCTTATGAAAGAGAGAGGGAGAAAAAAAAAAAGTTCTACTAAACAGCCTGACAGTATTTTTTTATCCTAGTCTTGTTCTTCCTAGCAGAACACAGCTAACGTACATGTAAGTCCACTTTCAAAATTTTACAATGAATGAACACTATTCTCTACTCCAACTAAAACAGGCTTGGAGAGGAAATAGTGGGCATTCAATCAATATTTGTTGAAAGAAGTAGAGAAAAGAAGAAAGGCAGAGAAAGAACTAAGAAACATAGGAGGCCTCCAGCTATAAGTTCTTCTTCCTGGAGAAATGAGAGTCTTGAAAACTAGTCTTTGTTAAGAAACAAAAAAGATTACAAACTGCCAAAAGTTCCTCTGACATTTTAAAGGCAGAGTTTGGAGATTCAAATATCAAGTTTTGCTATAATTCATGAGTAGATAAAACTCAATACTCTGTGCGAGAAGTACCCGCTCTGTCTAAGGAGGAAGTGAAGAAAGGGTGTACAGCTGCAGGTGGAAGGAGTACAGGGAAGGAGAGGAACAAAAAGTCAGACATATGAGTCACGACCATCCTCTTGAGTTTAAAATGATCATCAAAGAATTAATAGGGGAAAAAAAGGTGAATTTTGAGGGGAATTCCAGAGCAGGGCAGTTTGTTCCTCACTTCTCTGGCCACATACTAGGACCATTTTAAGCCTCATTTAAAATGCTTCATACTTAACTGGGTGCCAGAGCAACGTGGAGCCCAGGAGCTGAGGTGGGCATCTATGCAAGGGGCTTGGAGGTAGACTTTGGGTCTTCCATACTTGATATGTGGTGTGGAGGAGATTTAGAGTGTCTTAGAAGCTCTTGTGAATGAGTGGGTATAAAGAGGCTGGAAATACCAGTGGATTATTAACAGAGGGGCCAGAACAGAATACAAAACCTTCAAGAGCAAAGTTGAGGAGCAAGATATCAATAGTCAATGTGAGCATGCTGTTGCAAAAGGCCAGATGGGCTTGGACTGTGTGAGTAGACATGGATGTGAGTGCCCAGGGATTAGACCAGATCAGTCAAGCCAGGGCAGAGACCACCGTGGGTTCAGAGATGATTATAGACTCAAGGCCCCCTGTCTCACTGCCATGAGGACCCATTAACTTCCCATTATTCCCATATGTTAAGTTGACCAGAAGAGAGAAGTGAAGATAGTTGTAAGAAGATGAAGAGGAAAACGATGGAAGACATCGCTTTCCCCAAAGAGCTCACTTTTAACTGAAAAGGGCTGCCTAAATCCTCCCAACATAAGCAGTGGCAATAAAAACTCAAAAACAGGTATAGATACGCACATACAGAATGATCTGAAACATGGAAAATATAGATTGTAAATGTCCGACTTTGCTAAAAAAATGAGATGATGATTAAAGGTAGATTATTTCAGAAACAGGAAAAAAAATAAGAAAGCACTGTTTTCTTCCATCATCAACAGATGACAGGAAGCAAAATGCAAAAAAAAAAAAAAAAGCTTAAGAGACAGGAAGAAATGTTGGTTTTGATCTTAATGACATAAGCTTGCCTCATTTATCCTCAGCACAATCAATATATTGTAGGATGAGAATAGTATGAGAATACCAAATTAAGATGAGGAAACAGAAGCTCTTGACCAGGAACTTAAAGCTAAGGGATAAGTCTGCATAGCACCCCACATACCAATAGGAAACAGATGGGACCATCAGCGGGATTAAGAGATGGAGCGGTGGCTCACGCCTGTAATCCCAGCACTTTGGGAGGCTGAGGCAGGTGGATCACAAGGTCAGGAGATCGAGACCATCCTGGCTAACATGGTGAAACCCCGTCTCTACTAAAAAAGTACAAAAAATTAGCTGGGCATGGTGGCGGACGCCTGTAGTCCCAGCTACTTGGGAGGCTGAGGCAGGAGAATGGTGTGAATCCGGGAGGTGGAGCTTGCAGTGAGCTGAGATCGCGCCACTGCACTCCAGCCTGGGCGACAGAGCGAGACTCCGTCTCAAAAAAAAAAAAAAAATGGAGATGGAGAAGGTGAGTCACCTGGAGACCAGCAACAGTGAGAAGCCGTTAACATCTCTTGACCAAAAGGGACAATGGGAGGGAATTGTGTGGGAGAGGATGAAGAAGGTGGAGGTATGGAAGAGGCACCACCTGTAAGGTGACCTGTCTCTTCCCCTCTTTACCTCCTGTCTCTTGCTTATGGCTCCCATCGGTCAAATCCAGTGGAAAGTCAGAGGTGAGGGGAGCCCAAGTGATGCAATCCATCGGAATCAGTCTTCCAGGGAGCAGAAAGAAAGAGAATGGATCCACGGGGTAAATGGATCCATTGGGTAAATGGAGAAAAGCCAGCACAGTCTGATACACAGAATGACACCAAGATGCCTTGTGAAACACAGGAGATTTAGAATGGGGGATGCCTTGTGCAGAGTCTCTGTATTTCTGTGTGATTTTCTAAAACCAGAAAAGAAAACTTGGGTGGCCAATCAAGTACCTGAAAAGAATGTGTCTGTGTTTTTTAAATTTTTCAAAGAAATTAAGAAATTTCCATCATCCTCCCCAAGGCTGTGATGTCAGACTGTTTTAGTCTCAGCTAAGCTACTTCAAACATTGTCACGTATTTCTATAAACTTGAGCTATGGGAGTTCTACTTTCACAGTTTCAATATACAACGTGGAGGCAAAGACTGTATCTATATGTCACGGATGTTCTGGTCACAAGACACACCACCGTGCAGCTGAAAGGCAAGCCAACAGGCCGAGCCAGACCAAGCTGACCTCATTTTGCAAGGCTGGCTTTGGGGGATTTTATTTTAAAACCTGAATATTTATACAGTTTGCATTCTTTAGGAGGTGATAGAGTCTATTAACCTTCAAGAGCTCTCATTTGCTTTATCTTTTTGCTAAGAGAAGACAGCCTGCCTGGCCGGGAGGACCTAGCTGACTTGGCTTAGTTTAGCCATACCTGTTGTTATTAAACACAGAGCAGAATTATTTTAAGTTCAATTTTTACATTAAACATAATAATTTTGCTATGTTTAGATTCCTGAGAGTTCTTTGGACACTATGATTTATTTCGTCGTTCTGATGCCGCTCTGCCCCGACTTTGGAATTCCTTGTTCTATGCTGAGGGAGTTAAAGGGAAGGGGTGAGTAAGGGCCAGCTGCAGCAGAGGATAGGATAAGAAGAGGATGTCCCCAAGTCCTCTGGTCCCCTGTGGAAGGGATGAGAGGAAGAGGCCTAATTACTTTGACTAGAATCAGGACAGTACAGTTGAGAGAAGTAAGAGGTTATCCTTCCTTCCATTCTCTTTCCATAGATAATTCATTTGAAATCTAGTAACTTTGGCAGAATTATTTTCACAGCCTTTTTGGCAGTTTCTAGGCCTACAGCATAGGTGCTGGAGTTATTCTGACCTACAGTGGACATTCAGGTCTTACCTGCTGCATGACCCTGGGCAGGTTACTTATCTTCTCTGATGGTCACGCACCTCTTGCTGCCCAAAGATGACGCGTGCTGCACAGACTGGTGCTGAGCCGTGCACTGTGCATCACTGGCCATGCCGAAGGAAGCATGTTAACTGAAAGCTGTCAGGCATGGTGGTGAGTACCTATACTCCCAGCTACTTGGAGGCTGATGCTAGATGATCACTTGAGCCCAGGAGTTCAAAGCTGTAGTGAGCTATGATCCCACCACTGCACTCCAGCCTGGGTGACAGAGGGATCCACAGTCTATTTAAAAACAAACAAACAAACAAACAAACAAACAAAAAAACTGGGCTGGGCGCGGTGGCTCACACCTGTAATCCCAGCACTTTCGGAGGCCGAGGCGGGCAGATCTCAAGGTCAGAAGTTCGAGACCAACAACCAACATGGCGAAACCCTGTCTCTACTAAAAATACGAAAATTAGCCGGGCGTGGTGGCACGCACCTGTAATCCATTAGTCAGGAGGCTGAGGCAGGAGAATCACTTGAACCCGGGAGGTGGAGGTTGCAGTGAGCTGAGATCATGCCCCTGCACTCCAGCCTGCGTGAAAGACTGAGAGACTCCATCTCAAAAAAACAAACAAAACAAACAAAAAAACCCTGAAACCTTTTTAGCAGCTTGACGTTGCTGCAACACCCAAGCACGTGATCCTTGAACCTGTCTCATTGAACAGGATATGGACCAAAATACAGGTGTGTGACAATATGGGGAAGGAAAAAGCAAAAACATAAAACAACAACAACAAAACCCACCTGGTATTTCTCTAGAGAAAGTTCCAGAAGTGCTGGTACGGATGGTGTCATCTACCTCTCTCAGAGAACGTACGTGGATCTTCCCCTCATCCCTTCTACGGGGGACCAGGGGGCTTGGGGACATCTTCTTCCCATCCCCCCCATTATACAGCAGGGAGTGGCATATTGTAAGTGCTCAGGAAAGGTTGGTCCCTCCATTCCTCTGTTTCCCAGAAGACTCAGAATCCTGCAGTCAATACACGAGAACCAAATTCTTATCTCGCTCCAACAGAAAATATGAGGATGAGCCCTACCAACATGCTGCATTTGGAGTCTCTGGGAGGAAAGATGTGCCTGTGACGCTTGTCACCAAATTGATTGTGAACCCAGCAGGGTCCAAGTAAGAAGCCACTCTTCTGTCACCCTAGGAGGGGCCCCATCCCATGGGATCCATAGACAATATTTGCTCCAAATCAAGCTTTCATTAATATAGCCATCCTTCGTATCTATGGAGGATTGGTTCCAGGACCTCCTGAAGATACCAAAATCCACAGATGCTCAGGTCCCTTATATAAAATGGTGTACTATTTGCATATAACCTAGGCACATCTTCCAGTATACTTTAAATCATCTCTAGATTATTTATAACATCTAATACAATATAAATGCTGCGTAAATAGTTGTTATACTGTATGTATTGTGTTTATTTGTATTTGGGTTATTTTTTATTGTTGCATTATTTTTTAAATATTTTCGAGGGATTGGTTGAATTGGCAGATGAAGAAGCTACAGATCCAGAGGGCCAACTGCTTAATGTGGTCATTTCCAAGGAGCTGAGAATTTTTCCCCACTGAATCCTGGATTTTCACTACAGGCAATTCGATCAATTGCATTGAACTACCTCATTTAGGCATCATTTAAAAAAAAAAAAAAAACCTTTGAGTAGCAAAGAGGAAACAAGGGTTCCCTGTAGGGGACACTGAAGGCCAACTCCCTCACTTTTCATCACAACTACGCCTTTGGTATATTTCTTTTTTTAAAAAAAATTTATGTTTTGGAGCAGTCTTAGTTTCACAGCACCATTGAGAGGAAGATGCAGAGATTTCCCATATATGCCCTGCTCCAAACATACACAGCCTCCCCGATTATGAACATTCTCCCACAGTGCTACACTTGTTATGACTGATGAACGCACATTGACACATCATTATTGCCCAAAGTCCATAGTTAACATTAGGGCTCACTCTTAGTGCTGTTCATCTTATGGGTTTGGACAAGGGTATAACCACATGAACCCACCATGATAGTATCATACACAGAGCTTTCATGTATTCTTACTTTGGACTCTGACATATACCTCAATTATGAGATGTCAAAGGTGCAGGCAGATTGCTGATCCAAAGCGGCATAAAGTATTCTTTGGACCATGTCTAATCTTGTGGAAAAAAAGAAAACTTTCCAATCCTATGACAAGTTTGCTAATGGAAGAGAAGCTTGTCTTGAAACTGCCTGGCTCACCGGCTCCATCAGTGTCGTCTTGTACATCTCGCACGGCACATGAAGAAGACTGAAGGAACTTGGACATTTTGGAAAGCTGGAAAGTTCAGCAAAGCCCTGACCAATATATTTGCTAAACCTGCTTTCCAATGACTGCTTGTGTACACCACTTCAGAGAGAAATAATGAGCATGAAATTCAATTATACAGGCACCTACTTAACCATCTCAACCAGAATTGTGTCCCTAATCTTTTATTTTGAAGATAAAGTGAAAATCTAAAGCTACTCTCCTTATGACAGCATTTTATTCTCTTTGTAACTCGGCCAAGAGAATTCCCTTCAACCTAAGGCTCTAAACTTCAAAGTCAGCTCTCTTCTTAGCTGCTGTCCTGCTTTTGAACCTGAATTTATGTTGTCTGTATGCTGAGAGGAGCAGACCAGACCTTAACCCAACAACGGGACCTCAGGAGCATGGCCCTAGGGAAATGCTGGGGTGAGTTTTGCAGAGACAGTGGGCACCTCCTGTTCTGCTTGAGCAGCCACTATGCCTGGCAGGAGAGTGGCAGTTGTCCCTATGATATTATCCTTATGAGTTTTAGAAGGCCCTGGTTCAGACATGGTGTGCCCTAGACTTAACTTGAATCTGATGTTCTAGTGCATCCTGAAAAGGAGCTTCTCTGAGGATACTATTTGGCACTCCTTTGCAACCTTCTTGTTCCACCTTTGTATGTATCATTCTACGCACTTGCGCACCACCCACAGGACTCTGATCTCACATCGCCTGCCCTGCTTGTGGGACCATGTCTCATTCACCTATATGCATGAGACAGCACCAAGTGCAACGCCTGGCCCCTGGACATTGCCATTAAATGTTTGCTGAATGGATGTCTGCACAGCAAAGCTTTCAGATACAGTGCCTGTGCCCTCAGGAATGAGGTTATGATGCTTGCAAACACAATACCTAGGGAAATGGCTCTTTCCAAAGCTTTCTTGCTATACTTTTCTTACTATCTCTCATCCCATGAAAACCCAGAGAGTATACCTAACAGATATCCGGAACCATCCATACACCTAAAACACAAATCTGCACTCCTAGAATCATTTAACATCATTTTAAAGAAAAGATGACATTGAAAATACAAGCATTACTGGTTTTCACTTGCAGAGTCTGTTTTTCCAAATGTGAAGATTTAGAATGGATGATGAGTAGAGTTTGTAGCGTTTCTACTGAATGGGAGATAAAGGTGGGCTGAAATGAGTGAAGGAAGAAGTTCAGCTTTTAGGTCAGACTTCAAAAAGAACTTCCGATGGTCTAAGTTCTGATACGCTAAATAAGACCATTAAAGAGCTCTTTCTAAATAAGCTTATGAGTTTGCACTAAAAAAAAAGTTTAATCTAAATGTGGTCCTTCCAAAGCTAAAGGATGGGTTGCCTTCCCTCCTCACTCAAAATGTTCATTTGTCAAAATCCTTCCCATCCTTCAAGACCCACCTCAGATGCCCACAAAATATTATTTTCACCCTCTCTATGGCATTTATGATTCATCAACACATACATATTGAATACCTACTATGTCCAGATACTCTCCTAGTTTTGGGGTACACACAAATGATCTTGAGAGATTAGGTCCCTACTGTCATGGAGTCCATAGTACCAAGGACAGGGGACATCTCAATGATAAACAAGGAAACAAATACACAAAATACCTTTAACTAGTTTTGGATGTATTGGGAAAATAAAACAGGGTTAGGTAATTGAGAGCAACTGGGGCCTAGAGGGAAGTTTCCATGGGATGTGACAGAGCCCTCTGTGAAGAGGTGACCACCAGCCAAGGGCTAAGAAAGCCAGCCATACTTAGAAGAGCACAAGGTCATTCCAGGATGGAAGAACAGCAGGTGAACTTAGCATGTTTGAGAAACACACACGAGGCAACTTGAGCGGTGCTCTCTGAGCTAACGTGAGAGAGGGGAGAAGCAGGCTGCAGCCAGCTGACCTCTGCAGGGTAGGTTTTGGTCCTTTCTTCCTGGCTGTTGTGTAAGCATCTTGAAGGTCCATTGCCTCCCACAGAGTCTTTTTATGGACTAGATGCATGTGATCTCCCAAAATTAATATGTTGAAGCTTTAACCCCCAATGTGATGGTATTTGGAAATGAGGCCTTTGGGAGATAAATGGGGCCTTGAGGCTAAGTGAGGTCAGGAGGGTGGGGCCCTCATGATGAAATTAGTGCCCTTATAAGAAGAGACACCAGAGAGCTCTCTTGCTCTCTCTCTCTTTCTTCACCATACGAGGACACAGCAATAGGTGGTTGTCTACAAGCCAAGAGAAGAGTCTGCAGAATAAAACCTGCCTTGCCAAAACTTTGATCTTGGACTTCTCAGTCTCCACAATGCTGAGAAATAAATTTCTGTTGTTTGAGCCACCCAGTCTGTGGCATTATGGCATAGCAGTCCGAGCTGGCTGATACAGGTCTACTAGGGTGTCTGGCACTCCATAGAAGATATATAAATTCCCTTCAATAACTGAGTCATGGAGGCAGAGGACCATAATTCACATTCCCTCAGTCCTCAGTGGCTCATGCCACCCCGTATAAGAAAGGCCTCCAATCTCCCACTCAAACTTTAACCACGTATTTTCAGGAGATCCTCAGAGAGTCTCACAGCCATCCCAAAAGTGCCACGGCATGTTCTTCCACTCCAGGCTCTGTTCCTTGCCAAGTCACTTTCAAAGCTGGGCCCCACCACTGTCTCTGTAGCTACGACAGGCTGAGAGCGACAGTAACCCTCTGTTCCCAAAGCTATAAGCCACTGAGGTGCCAACATGAGGCTGTGCTTCCTGCAGATGCCACTGAGTTAGTTACAGGCACAGAACTGGGGAAAATCACTTCTTCCATTCAGCGCTTTTCTCACTGGGAGTCCTAAGAAATCCCACTCGTGCCTTAGTGCTGAGTCTTTTAAGGAAATGGATCCTTCAGCTTCTGCCTGCAGCCCCTGATATCATCCACTAAATCCACCTCCTCATTGCATCCGTCTCAGGTAAGCACACACCTGTGGGTGCCACCAACTTGTCATTTATGTCCCCTGTGACCAAGTCCTAATGTCAAGCCACACCTTGAATCAAAGATCTAACACCCCTGAATTCTTGGACCCCACTCATGTCTAGCCATGAGCTCTTGGAGGCTTTCTAGTTGACAGAAAAGAGAATACTGAAGGCGGAGAGCAAACTGACTCTTCCCGGTAAAGAAAGGCCTGTGTTTGTGTGTGTGAGTGAGTGTGACAGTGTGTGAGTGTGTGTGCTCTCTGGGGCTAGAATCAAGATATATGTCCTCATTGTGCTGTTGCCAGTAGACATTTGACCAGCACCCCTACACGTGACATGTGTTTGTTCAAATGTCACACAATTCAGGGTCCGTGTGGGAGCGTGGCGGTGCTGTGACACTGAGCAGCTGAGGACTCCCGCACTTGGCAGCCTCCCCAGCATGCTGCACTGTGGCAGACGGCCAGAGACCTGCACTGCAGGGTGTGTGGATCCGTGCACACAAGTACACTCCGCACACACACGAGCAAGCGCACACACATAAGAGCAGGTGAGGCACTCTGTCATCGGTGGATGCTTCATTTCTTTTATGTAATTTCTACCCCGGCGCAACTGTGCTATGTACAGTCTTGTCCTGGGGTCTTGGTTTCTTTCATGTGGTTCTTTGTGCTAACAAGATTAAATCAGTTCCAATAGGTACTGGTTTAATGGAGATGATAAACTTTTATTGAACTTGAGCACATTAAAATGAAATGTAAGCAATAGGTGATTTTGGCATTTGCCTGGGGTCTCTTCCAATTTGAATAAAGCCAGTATGCCTTCTCTGGAAAATAACAGCTCCAAGCCCGGCTCACTTTATGTGCTTAATTAAAATCTATTTTTGTGGTACAAAAAGGAGCTAAACAATGTAACGTTCCTTCTCTTCAACTATGAAAACAAAGATAGACGAATACTTTCTGCAAAACGGAGCTCTACCTTTTGCACAAAGAGCAGGTAATGCGCTGCTTTTGTTACAGCAGCCTGTCTGCTAATCCGTGATCTGTTTTGTCTGTGAACGGGATTATCATGGTGGTTTATTGAATAAGAGCCAAAAACGACGTTAAGTAAACTGTTTACACGAAGCCACTGGGCTGAAAAATCCAAACTCAGACTCATTTCAGGTTTTAACCACAGTAAACTTTATTATAGTTTCAACCGGACAGTTAAAACCTTTCAGGGCCTGTGCAATTGCTGAATGTGTAAAACACGAGACCACGGCTCTCCGTAGAAATTGGGGAAGTGTAAATATCAAAGTCAGCCTCTGAAGGTTGCCTTTCTCTGCAGCTCTCTGTGGGGCTTTCACTGGGGCCCGGATTTCAGCCAGGCTCCACGGCCAGGCCCCTGTCACTGTCTTTGCCAGTCCTGTAAGTCAAGAGAAGGAGGTTTGGCTGTCCAGTGTGGCAGGGGGCAGGCATGGAGCCTGTCACTAATCCCTAGCCTGATTCCTCGGGGCAGACATCTTTATGTCTCTAGGGGGCTGGCAGGAATACACCTGCCCTCTTCTGACCTCCATGGTGGCCGCCAGTTCGAAAGGGTCAAAATGAGTTTTTTATTAATGTCTACTCATGCCCTTTGTGCATCTTAAATTCTACTCTGGGGCCAGAACATTTCACAAGACGTGCTTTGATCTGTTTGAAAACAGACAAAAGACCAAAAGAATAGAAACATCAACCAAGGAAGCGCAACTTTAACACATTGTTTTGTCTCCTTGTGGACTCTGCAGAGAAAGCCAAATGGAGCGTTCCCGTCTGTGTGCAGCATGTAAACAGAAGTAACTCTAAAGATCACTTCTCCGGGACGTTTTAGTTGACAGATCAGGAAACTGGCACTCAGGAAAATGTTTCTGGACTGTTAGATTTTTTTTTTTCTGAGCTCAACTTTCCCAGAATTGTCTTTTGCAGTCCCTTGGACTACAAAAAAGCTCTGTCCTTTTGACCTCATACCAGTAATCTTTTAACTCCCTTAGTCTTCATTCATTCATTCATTCATTCATCCATTCATTCATTCAAGGTCCATCTAGGTGCCAGACACCGTGTTAGATGTGGGCAATGCAAAATAAGACAGGGCATCCGACCTCAAGGGCTCCCAGGCAAGTTGAGCGACAGGTGGATAAACAGGTAATTATAAAACTGAAAAACACATGGTTAAATAAAGGAATTGAGTCTCCTGGGAAGACAGGTGCCTCTTCTCCAACTCCTTCTCAGCTCTTCCTGCTCTCCTGACATCTAGATGCTGAAGGTCCCACGGACTCAGTCTAGGCCTTCTTTTCTCCTCTGTCTACACTGTTCCCCTGGGTGATCTCCTCCAGGCCCAGAGCTTTGAATAATTCTATACTGATGACTCCGTTTTTCTGTCTCCAACTCTGACTCCTCCCTGGAGCTCTACCTTCTTATAGCCCTCTTCCTGTTTGACTAGATCCATGTGACTGATTAAAAAGACATCTCAAGCTTATATCCAAACTGTAACTCCTGATCTCCGCCTGTCCACAATGCCCACTTCCTTCCCTGGCTTTCCCCATTGGCCCAGTTGTTCTAGGAAACACCCAGGAGGTAGCTTTAACTCCCTTTCCCCCCGACCCACTCCACATCCAGTTTATCAGCCAGTTCTCTGGGTTCCACCTCCAAGTGGATCTGGAGCCACCCTCTGCCCCCGTGGCCCTTGAAAAAAAAAATCCCTCTTCAATTCCTAGCACTTCCTGCCTGCATTCCTACAATAGCAGACCTGTCCTCCACTTCCCATCTGCTTTCAGATGGAACAGCAGAAGAGTGATCTTCTTAACCCTTGGATGATATAACACCACTCCTCCACTTGAAATCCCCCAAAAGGATGAAACTTCCATTTTTGATAGCGTCGGAATAACAGGGACTAGCCTTATGCTCTAGTATGAAATAACTAAAACACTACACAAAGAGTATAAAACAATGGTATACAAAACATTCAACCGAGATTCAAAACAAAGGAAGAGTCCTTCGATTGCCCCAGCTACTGCCCCAAGAGAATTTGTTTTGTTTTTGTTTTTTTGGAGACGGAGTTTCGCTCTTGTTTCCCAGGCTGGAGTGCAATGGTGCGATCTAGACTCACCGCAACCTCCACCTCCCGGATTCAAGCGATTCTCCTGCCTCAGCCTCCCAAGTAGCTGGGATTACAGGCATGTGCCACCACACCCAGCTAATTTTGTATTTTTAGTAGAGACGGGGTTTCTCCATGTTGGTCAGGCTGGTCTCGAACTCCCGACCTCAGGTGATCCGCCCGCCTCAGCCTCCCAAAGTGCTGGGATTACAGGCTCCAGCCACCGCGCCTGGTCTGAAGAGAATTTCTAGGGAAACCAGGCAGGGCTTGGTGGCCTTGTGGAGCTGAGGAGACAATACTAGTAGTCTGGGAGGCCAAGGAAGTCAGAGTTGTGGGATTCAGGGGAGAACGCTGGAGAAGAGAGAGCTGCAAGACAGCTCCTGAGACCTACACAGGGTCCCCTCAAGTCTTGTGCTGAGTGCTGCCCAATGCATATCTGTGAGGAAACAGAGGCCAGGGAAAGAACTACTTGAAAAGATTAGAGGGAACAATTCTTTTTTTTTTTGAGGCGGAGTCTCGCTCTGTTGCTCAGGCTGGAGTGCAGTGGTGCAATCTCGGCTCACTGCAAGCTCTGCCTCCCAGGTTCATGCCATTCTCCTGCCTCAGCCTCCAGAGTAGCTGGGACTACAGGCTCCTGCCATCACGCCCTGCTAATTTTTTGTTTTTTAGTAGAGATGGGGTTTCACCGTGTTAGCCAGGATGGTCTCAATCTCGGGACCTCATGATCCGCCCACCTCGGCCTCCCAAAGTGCTGGGATTACAGGCGTGAGCCACCAGGCCCCGCCCCTAGAGGGAACAATTCTTTAGAATTCACATGAGACTGGGAATCATTCCTGTTTCCACCAGCTGGAGTGGAAGACCTAAAGATGGGCCTCAAATCAAAGACCTTAGCTTTCTTCTTAAATAAACTAGAAAAGAACATGTTAAACTCCAAATAAAAAAATGAAATAATAAAAATAGGGCAAAATCCAATTAGATATGAAACAGAAAACATAGTGGAGAAAATAAATGAGATCAAAGGGTGGTTATGTGAGAAGTTCAATAAATTTAATAAACCTCCAGCCAGACTTATCAACTTTTGGGGTGAAGGGGATGCAAACGAAAGATATTAGAAATGAGAGATCAGTAAAAATGAGACCTCACTAAAAATTATACAGAAAGTAAAAGGATGATAAATGCTTATTGTGAACCACCTTATGGCAATAAATTTGAGAACTTAGAAAAATAGGCAAATTCCCTGAAAAACATATAACTAATGTTTGCTTAAGAAGAGAAAGAGAACCTGAATAGATAATCCTGTATCTATTTTTTAAAGTTGAATTTGTAGTTTAAAACCTTCTAACAAAAAACCCTCCAGCCTCAGGCAGCTTCCCTAGTGAAGTCTCCCAAACATTAATAAGAAATAATACCAGTTAGAATAAACTTTTAAAGAATAGGGAAGAGAAGGAATGCTTCCCAACCCATTTTATGAGGCCAGCATTACTTTGACATCAAATCCAGGCAAAGATATTACAAGAATAAAAAAACCACATACATGCAAATTTTCTAAACAAAATCTTAGCAAATTCAATTCAACAATATATAAAAAGCATAATAAATCATGATCAAGTAGGGATTATTCCAGGCATGTAAGTTTAGTTTAACATTCCAAACAATCAACTAATAGTCTTAAAAAGAAAAAAAAAAAGCAAGATGATCATCTGCAAAGATAGAGAACAAGCACTTGATAAAATACAGCACCCATTCCTGATGAAAACACTCAGCAAACTAAGAATAGAAGAGAGCTTAGCCTGATAAAAGGAATCTATGAAAACCTACAAGCCACACACACTTACACAAGTACATACTTTATGATTTCATTTACATAAGATTCTGGAAAATAGAAACTAATTTACAGGGACATGAAGCAAATCAGTGGTTGCCTGGAGCTGGGGTCAGGTAGGGTTTTGAGTGGGGTTTTGAGGACCATGACAAAACTTTTGGGAATGATGGATATGCTCATTATCTTGATCATGATGATAATTTCACGGGGGTATAATTTGGTGTCATCTCATGGTGTGAGATGATTTGCATGTCTGTCCTCTCCAAATCGCAGGTTGAAATGTGATTCATAATGTTGGAGGTGAGGCCTCGTGGGAGGTGATCGGATCATGGAGGTGGAACCCTCATGAATGGCCTAGCACCATCTCCTGGGTGATGAGTGAGTTCTTACTCAGTTACTACATGTGAGATCTGGTTGTTTAAAGAGTCTGGGACCTCCTCCCTCTCTCTCTTGCTCCCGCTCTCACTGTGTGACATACTGGTTCCCTGTCCCCTTCCGCCATGATTGCAAGCTTCCTGAGGCCCCACCAGAAGCAGATGCCAGCACCATTCTTCATGTAAGGCATGCAGAACTGTGGGCCAAATAAACATGTTTTCTTTATACACTACCCAGCCTAAGGTATTTACTTACAGCAATGCAAGAATAGCCTAACACAATATGTCAAAACATATCAAATTGTGTATTTCAAATATGTTGTTTATTGCATGTCAATTATACCTCCATAAAGCCATTTTTTAAATCCTTCAAAAGTTTAACATTGCTTTTAGAATAAAACTCAAAGTGTCCTCATGGCTCTACATGACCAAGTGCCTACTAATTTTCAAGCTAATCTTCTACCACTCACAAATGGCCCAGAAAAACTGCTGATCAAATGTGCAAAGCTATTTCCTGCCCCAGGTCCTTTGCACTTGCTTCTCTCGCTGCATGGTGTGCTCATTCTCCAGCACCTTATTTAGTTGGCTCTGTCATATTTTCCAAGTCACAGTTCAAATACCAGGTCTTAGAGACCTTTTCTAATCCTTTATATGTTAAATAGATCCCTCCCAGATACTCTTGTCTGCTATTGCCTTATTTATCACTTTTACAGTACTTACACATTCTTTATCTTTTTAGTCCTTTGTTTGCTTGTTTATTCTTTATTTCCCCCAGGAGAATGTAAGCTCCTGGAGGGCAGAAATCCACTCTGTCTCATTCATGCCTCTACCCCTAGGAACCAGCACAGTGTCTGGCATAAAGTACATTCTCAACACATACTTACTTACGAATTAGGGAATGAGAGCAATGAACTGGGAAGAAATTGAAAGAGAATTCATGGAAAAAGTGACATGGAAGCCCAGCTTGGGAAGAATTGATATTAGGAAGGCATAGGGTGAATAGGTGGCCCTTGGCATTGACAGATGCAGGTTCATTCCAGCTTGAGCCTTATAATTATGCAATTCTGGATGAGATATTTTAAATCATCTGTTTCCCTATTTATAAAATAGGGCTGCAAGTAACTATTTTAGAGGGTTACTGTGAGAAACGAATGATGTATATGTAAAGATATGTGTTGCAGTGCCTGGAGTGTGGTAGCGACTCAACAAATGAGTTCTATTTTCTTTCCCAATTTCAGCCAGAAAAACATCAAGGGGAAAATCATGTTTACAAGAAAGGGCATGAAATATGTTATGCACTAAATGTTTGTGTCTTCTCTAAATTCATTTAGTTCCTAACTCCCAGTGCAATGGTATTTGGAGGTGGGGCTTTGGGAAGTGGTTCCATCATGTGGGTCAAACCCTCATGAATGGAGCTAACGTCCTTGTAAAAGAGGACTGAGGGCTGAATGCGGTGGCTCATGCCTGTAATCCCAGCCCTTTGGGAGGTTGAGGTGGGTGGATCACCTGAGGTCAGGAGTTTGAGACCAGCTTAGCCAACATGGCAAAACCCCGTCTCTATTAAAAATACAGAAAAATTAGCCAGGTGTGTTGGTGGGTACCTGTAATCCCAGCTACTTGGGAAGCTGAGGCAAGAGAATTGCTTGGATCTGGGAGGTGGAGGTTTCAGTGAGCCGAGATCATGCCATTGCACTCCAGCCTGGGCAGCAGAGTGAGACTCTATCTCCAAAAAAAAAAAAAGGAGGACTTAGGGAGCTCATTGTCCCCTTCCACCATGTGAGGACACAGTGAGAAGACAGTGGGTCATCTGTGAACAAGGAAGCAGGTCCTCACCAGACACCAAATCACCTGCAGCCTCAATCCTGGACTCCTCAGCCTTCAGAACCGTGGGAAAGAAATGTTTGCTGTTTAAGTTACCCAGTCTATGATACTTTTGTTATAGCAGCTAGAATAGGCTAAGACAACATATTTGGAGGATCATGAGAAAGTTGAAAAATTTAGGATTATAGCTGAGAGAAATGGAAGTCAAAACTGGAAATGCCCCCAAAGCACCAAGCCATTCTGGACTTCAATCTGTGGATCACAGGAAACCATGAAGAATGGGGTGAGGTAGGGAAGAATTAGGCTGGGGTGATCTCAATTATAAGAGTAACTCTAGTAGCTGTGTGACTAAGAAAGTAAAAGGAGGTGAAGCCTGAGGGAGATTGGAAGCAGAGAGAAGAGTCAGAATGATTTCAGTTGTCTAGATTTTAGAGTGATGAAGGGGAGAGCTATAAATTCTGACTAACATCCTAGAACCTCCCCGCCACATGTCTTCTACCTTAGCCATCACCACCTACCTCTCTTAGCATTTCCCAAATAACTCTCAGCATCAAAGCTGAAACTGTGAATTAGGACAGAAAGCTTTTTACCACTGGTAGAAGACAAAATCAAAATAGCAGACCAGGAAAACATTTGAATGGCCAGGAACTTTTGATGTAATTTTTCATACCCAGAGGTTACTGATGACAGCCATGGAGAACTTCCATTCTCTGATTAAGGAGTAAGAGAAAAGAGTGAAATGTTTAAAATCCCCAAGACTACCAAGACACAAAACAAGAGAGTTGGCAGCAGAGACCCAAGGAGTCAAGCCTAGTAAAGAACAAGTGGATAAACTGGTTAATAAAGGACTTAGCATCGGAACATAGAAACCATGGGGTTGAAGGTTGTGAGTCAGGCTTTCCTAGCAACCCTGTTAAACAGGGACATTCCATAACAATGGACTCAACAGAGCGCTGACTAGTAGACCTGGAGGTGGGGTTTCACTATTCAGGAGCAGAGATAGAGAAGCCCTCTTGACAAATAAATACAAATAAGACTTTGCTGGAATTTACTCCCAATAGAACTACTGGGGAGACTGAAATTTTTAAGTTTGAGTTCACGAGACTTGCCCATCAGGGGCTGTGTACGTCTTTCAAGGTGGCATTAGTATTTCTGACCAGCCACCACCAGGAGATCGTTGAACTTACTTGTGCAAGAGCATCAAAAGTGCAGTTTGATAAGAACACCAATGGCCTGGAGGCTGATTTAGTAGGTCTGGAATAGAGCCTGACATCTGAATTTTAAATAAGTCCCTCAGGTTATATTTGATGTACTGCCAGGTTTGAGGACCGCTGATATAGATCATGGCTTTGTCCAAACAGAGAGATTTTACACAGGCATAGAAAACCAAGTGTTAGAGAGTCTAGCCTGATTTTTCTTTACATTTGTAAGGAGAAACATCATACTTAATGCCTGTCTTGCATATATAACTTTAAATATTTGTAGTGACATCGTTTAAATGAAGATCATTAAAAACCTAGGTATACTAAAATCATTGAAGAATTCTTCTTACTTTTCCTTAACTCTTAAAAAATGTGTTATGTGATGCTAGAGTGGAAGTTTTGATTGTGGAACTTGGAGGAGATAGAAAAGATACCCAGGAATGTTCCAGGGGGAGCATTTCCAAAGCTCTTCTCCAAAGAAATGGAAAAATATTTCCTGAGAAAGAAATGTCTTTCTGTTGAAGTTCATTGCCCACCAAGAGGGCACCTGTGGGTGGCGCTTCCTTCTAAACACAAGCCTAGTGAGAGAGGGCGAAATGGTTAACTTTTCGCAGCATGCTTTTCAATTCCAACCACCTCCTCTCCAGAAACCTCAAACTCAGGGCCAACATTCCCCTCTCCTAACCATCCCAGGGCCAGGTCCCAGACATCTGGGGATGGCCCCTACGCCCCAGAGTCCACTGAAATTATTCAAACCACGAAATCCTAAACCTGCTCACCCTACCTAGCCCATTTCCCGACGGAAACCACAAGAAAGGCAGGCTCCTGCCCATATGCCCCCCTGTCCCTCTGCCTCCTGACCAGCCTCAAACCTCCTGACCGGGTTTAAGATGTACTTCCTGTAGGTAGGCAGCACCACGGCCCAGAATCACACAGGGAAAGGCAAAGCGGCGAGTGGCAGCAGTGGCGAGGTCAACATCTAGAAGTGACTGGGCTTCTCCCCAAAGGAAAGGGATCACCTATAGGTCTTAAATAAGAATGCTGTCCTAGAAAAAAATCATGGCACTTGCAGCAACTTGGAGGGAATTGGAGACAATTATTCTAAGTGAAGTACTCTGGAATGGAAAACCAAACATCGTATGTTCTCACTCACAAGTAGGAGCTAAGCTATGGGGATGCAAAGGCATAAGAATGATACAGTGGACTTTGGGTACTTGAGGGCAAGAGTGGGAGGCGGGTGAGGGATAAAAGATTACACTTTGGGTAAAGTGTACCCTGCTCAGGTGATGGGTACACCAAAATCTCAGAAATCACCACTAAAGACCGGGCGCGGTGGCTCATGCCTGTAATCCCAGCACTTTGGGAGGTTGAGGAAGGCGGATTGTCTGAGTTCAGGAGTTCAAGACCAGCCTGGGCAACACAGTGAAACTCCGTCTCTACTAAAATACAAAAAAATTAGCTGGGTGTGGTGGCATGAAGCTGTAGTCCCAGCTACTCAGGAGGCTGAGGCAGGAGAATTGCTTGAACCCAGGAAGCGGAGGTTGCAGTGAGCTGAGATTGCGCCACTGCACTCCAGCCTGGGTGACAGAGCGAGACTCCATTTCCAAAAAAAAAAAAAAAAATTCAAAAAATTAGCTGGGCATGGTGGCGGGCACTTGTAATCCTAGCTACTCAGGAGGCTGAGGCAGGAGAATCGCTTGAACCTGGGAGGCGGAGTTTGCAGTGAGCCGAGATCGTGCCATTACACTCCAGCCCAGGCAACAATGCGAGACTTCATCTCAAAAAAAAAAAAAAAATCAACACTAAAGAACTTATTCATGTAACAACAACAACAACAAAGAATGCTGTCCTAGAGCTATTTTAAATCCTGCACTAGAAGACTGCCTGAAAGAGTTCCACAGAGTAAATGTTGTGCAGAGAGGACAACCAGAAATCCAGGGGCTGAGGGTGTCCCCCAGAGGGACAGCCAAAAGAGACGTCCAGGGTTTGAAGTTAGCAAGGCCCCACAGCAGCAGCATCTCTGCAGAGCCACAGATGCCCTCTTTGGAGCAAGAGCCAGCTTTTGTCCTTCTCAGGACGAGAGCAAAGCCATCTTGTGACAATATCAGTCAAGCGAGAAATCACAGTACTTCTCTCTTCCTCTCTTCCTGTGTTCCAGCCCTGGAAGGAACGAATGCTAAAGTTAGCAGGATGCTGGTAGAGATCAACCAGAAAGAAAGAAAAAGTTGACTACAACCTTCCTCCCAGGCAGCAGGTGGTCGAGTCGACTGAAGCCATTCTTAGAAAAGAGGGTGGGGGGAGGCGGGAAAGACAATGCTAAGTCAGGTTTGGAGTTTTGGTGACTACATGGAATTGGCCATTCTAATAACTGAATTCAGATTAGCATGAGAATCACAGTGCACAACCCTGGGTCTTGCCATTTTCATCCAAAGGCAAGCACAACTTTAAAGGGACGGTGAGAGTTAAAATAAAGATGCTTTCCGATTTCTTCTTACAGGAGTGCATGTTCAATGCATGTGTTATGAGAGTTTGTTCTAAACTTTGTCTTCCCTAAACTCTTTCTCCCTATTCCCTTTAAGGAAAACAAACACAAAACCTTTTTTTTTTTTTTTTTTTTTTTTTTGAGATGGCGTCTTGCTGTGTCGCCCAAGCTGGAGTGCAGTGGCACGATCTTGGCTCACTGCAACCTCCACCTGCTGGGTTCAAGCTATTCTCCTGCCTCAGCCTCCCAAGTAGCCGGGCAGGTGCGCATCACCATGCCCAGCTAATTTCTTGTACTTTTAGTAGAGACGGGGTTTCACCATGCTGGCCAGGCTGGTCTCTAACTCCTGACCTTGTGATCCGCTCACCTCAACCTCCCAAAGTACTGGGATTACAGGCGTGAGCCGCCATGCCCGGTCCTGCCTTTTTTTTTTTTTTTTTTTAACTTACCATCCTCTTCATCTCACAGTGAGAAATCCCTTAGTTTGTAGGGATGACTCTGATTCTAGAGCTGCAATAAGTAAATCAGAAACAAAAACAGAAAAATGCAAAAAATGAAATAAGTCAAAGAGAGAGTGGTTCCAAAGGCAAGGAAGCTGATACTTTCCAAAAATAAGAGTAGATATATTTTAAGTACCTGGGATCTGTTTCAGTTAGGTATGGTAAGACATGCAGACATGGAAAGGAAGACAATTTTATACTCACAGATCCCTAGAAACAAGAGCACTACACTCGACGTAAGACCACAAGGAGAAGTACCAGGGCTGGTCAGGAGGCAGAGGGACAGGGGGGCATGTGGGCAGGAGCCTTCCTTCCTTGTGGTTTCCATCGGGAAATGGGCGAGGTAAGGTGAGCAGGTTTAGGATTTGGTGGTTTGAATAACTTCAGTGAACTCTGGGGCGTAGGGGCCATCCCCAGATGTCTGGGACCTGGCCCGGGGATGGTTAGGAGAGGGGAATATTGGCCCTGAGTCTGAGGTTTCTGGAGAGGAGGTGGTTGGAA
This sequence comes from Homo sapiens, assembly GCF_000001405.40. NCBI lineage: Eukaryota > Metazoa > Chordata > Mammalia > Primates > Hominidae > Homo > Homo sapiens. The sequence goes on along the minus strand of NC_000017.11, from coordinate 12,411,463 downwards.
TTGAAAGGCATGCTGCAGGGAAAATTATATTCTATCTCTAGGGATTGGCAAGTCCTGGAAGGAAGCATCATCCAGGCTCAGCAAGCCACAGATATCAAAGCACCAAAAACCAGAAAATAGACATGGTGAATACAATGGACAACAACATGTAATAATATCAAATGCTGCAAAGAGGACCAAGGAATAAAAAATAGGTATTGTATTTGCCAGGCAAGTAGCTGACGTGAGCCCTTTTAGGAAGTAATTCGGGCAGGGTGGTCAGGGCAGAGAGGATTAAGAAGTGGGTGAATAGTGTCTAAGATGAAACCACCGCCTTGTAAAGATATCTGCGTCCCATGTTCCTTACAGCATTATTACAATAGCCAAGATATGAAAACAATCTAAGATTCCATTGACAGGTGAATGGATCAAGAAAATGTGGTATATATAGATATATATGCAATGGAACATTTTTCAGCCTTTAAAGAAGAGACCCTGCCATTTGCCACAACATGGATGGACCTAGAGAACATTATGCTAAGTGAAATAAGCCAGACACAGAAAGAAAGATATTGCATGATCTCACTTGTACATGGAATCTTTCAAAGAAAAAAAAGAGGTCAGCCGGGCGCTGCGGCTCATGCTTGTAATCTTAGCGCTTTGGGAGGCCTAGGAGGGCGGATCACCTGAGCTCAGGAGTTCAAGACCAGCCTGAGCAACACGGTGAAACCCTGTTTCTACTAAAACACAAAAAAAAATTACCTGGGCCTGGCAGCGTGTGCCTGTAGTCCCAGCTACTCGGGAGGCTGAGGCAGGTGAATTGCTTGAATCCGGAAGGCAGAGATTGCAGTGAGCCAAGATCACAGCACTGCACTCTAGCCTGGGCAACACAGAGAGACTCCAACTCCAAAAAAAAAAAAAAAAAAAAACAGGGGCGGGGAGGAGAGGGAGAAAATGGGGAGATGAGGGTCAAAGGACAAAAGTAGTAGATACGTAGCATGAACTAGCCTAGATATGTAATGTACATCAAGAGGACTACGGTTAATAACACCGTATTGTTGTTAGGGCTTTTTGTAAAATAAATAGATTCTACTTGCTCTTACTACAAAAATAAAAGTAATTAAGTGAGATGTTAGATATGTTAATTTGCTTCACTCTAGTAACCATTTTACAATCTCTATATATCCCATAACATCATGTTGTAAACCTCAAATATACACAGTAATTTTTCTTTTTCTTTTTTTTTTTTTGAGACAAGAGTTTCACTCTTGTTGCCCAGGCTGGAGTGCAATGGCGCGATCTTGGCTCACCACTACCTCCGCCTCCCAGGTTCAAGCAATTCTCCTGCCTCAGCCTCCTGAGTAGCTGGGATTACAGGCATGTGCCACCACACCCAGCTAATTTTGTATTTTTAATAGAGACGGGGTTTCTCCATGTTGGTCAGGCTGGTTTTGAACTCCCAACCTCAGGTGATCTGCTGGTCTCGGCCTTCCAAAGTGCTGGGATTACAGGCGTAAGCCACCGCGCCCGGCCACACAGTAAATTTTTTTTTTTTTTTTTTGAGTCTTTGTCACCCAGGCTGGAGTGCAGTGGCGCGATCTTGGCTCACTGCAACCTCCACCTCCCGTGTTCGAGCAATCCTCTGCCTCACCCTCCCAAGTAGCTAGGATTACAGGCACCCGCCAACACACCCGGCTAATTTTTTTGTATTTTTGGTAGAGATGGGGGTTTCACCATCTTGGCCAGGCCGGTCTTGAACTCCTGACCTCGTGATCCACCCGCCTTGGCCTCCCAAAGTGCGGGATTTTAGGCGTGAGCCACCGCGCCCGGCCAGTAAAATTTATTTAAGAAACAAACTGTCTGATAATGTAGCATCCTCTGCAGATGTATGAAAACAAAAGACAAACAGCAGCACTACAGTATGATAGTAGGATAAGAGAAAAGTTATTTTGCTTTGTTAGATTTGTTTTTGTTTTAGTAGACAAGAGATATGACTATGCTTGCAGGCAGAAAAGAAGAAACTAAGAAAGATAGAGTTATAAGAGGTTGGACTGAAATTCTCAGAGACTTCGACCAGTTTTGATTTCTAACAATGTACAAGTACACGTAAGGCCTTGTGCTTATCCAACCTCACTTTGCATTCAAGTGTGTGAGTCAAGATTGGAATCAGCTGCCCCATGCACAGTGCAATGACACTACACAGAGCACAGCAGGCTTCCTTGAGGGCTTTTTATCAGGGGACTGTCCTCATTGGAAGTGTCTGGTTTTCTGCAAGCTTGGGTACAGAAGACAAAATAGACAAGAGAAAAGACCTAGATTTTCTTCTGATGTGAGACGGATACATCATTGTGTTTCTCCCTTATTTCCATATGGATAATATGTTTCTGCAGGTCAGGCTCTCTGTAAACACATACAGCGTAAAAGTCGATCAAAATTTGCTTAGAGCAACCATAACGAGTTGGCCAAACCATACTGGTTTAATTAAGAGAGCCCTCTTCAAAAACAGCTACTCCAGGTCAGGTGTGGTGGCTCACACCTGTAATCTCAGCACTTTGGGAGGCCGAGGCCAGTGGATCACCTGAGGTCAAGAGCTTGAGACCAGCCTGGCCAACATGGTGAAACCCCATCTCTAATAAAAATACAAAAATTAGCTGGGAGTAGTGGCTCGCGCCTGTAGTCCCAGCTACTCGGGAGGCTGAGGCAGAAGAATGGCTTGAACCTGGGATGGGGAGGTTGCAGTGAGCCAAGATCGCACCACTGTACTCTAGCCTGGGCACAGAGCAAGATTGTCTCAAAAAATTAAGCCCTAAAATAAAGAAACAAACAAAAAACAGATTTTTTTGTTTGTTTCCAAAAAAACAAACAGCTACTCCAACAGATTCACTTCTTAGAGAACAGACGCTAATGAATCTCCTAAAGCCAAATTGCATTTGATATGTATGCCCTCACCAGGTAGTTCTGCTGCATGATACTTTCTTTAAAAATAGAAAATCACCTCTCAATAGATGCATTAATTCAGCTGGTATAGGTGAGAATCACATCTTATCTGTTCAATCAGCCATCCCATAAGGATTCATTATCTCCACTCCATCGAGAAATCATACTAAGCCTGAGGAACGAGACAATAAAAAAGTTCCTTTTGAATACGCTTCTAGAATATACCAAGTTATTGCGTTTAAATCTCTGTGAGCATGATCATGAATGCCATTATGTCCATTTGATAGAGGCAAAAACTGTGATTCAGAGCATTTATGTCATGCACAAGAAGGCACAGTGCTGGAACAGAGCAGAGAGTGAGGGAAAACTTGGGATTCACAGGCTCATTGATGGCAACAGACCAGGAGACCAAACCTAAGATACTCTTCCTCATAGGTTTCCCAAGAGAAGGATGTATGCGCAAAGCACTGGCAGATGGGCTGTAAGCTTAATTCCTGATGCTGAGTTCTCTGCTCTACCCTGCTGGAGCATGATACTGAGGCTAGTTTACATGGAGTGAAAGAGGAGAATAGAGCCAGAGAGAGCCCAGACAGCCAGGGAAGAGCATATATTTGTTATATTTGCCATGAATAACCAGTACTAGCTTGGCCTAATTTCCAATGAGCTCCTGGCCACATCCATGTGGGCATGTAGGGGATAAGAATGCAAAGAGAAGGGTACCCCTCCCACACCTTCAGGTGCTAAGCTTACTGCTCCAGCTGCATAGGAGGAAGGAAGGAACAGGGTAATGCACACACACACGCACACATATGTAAACACACACATAAACACACATGCACATGTGTACACATGCACGTGTGTATGCACACAAACGTGCATGCATGCACATGAGCACACACACACACATAGACACATGCACATACACACACACACACGTACACACACTCACCTGTAAACTTGGACCTTTTAACACATGGCTTACCTGTCAACCTAGCCCCTAGTATCTGTCATCTGAAATATATTAAGATTTTGTTCTCTTGGGAAGTGTTAGGTGGAGAATAAAAGGGCTGTTTCCCTCCTCAGCAATGTTAAAACCAGGACAGCAAGACAGGCCCTCTGAATCAGATCCTGGACTTTTTATACCAGGAAGACAAAAAGAAGTATAATGCAGGGCCCCTGTCCTCAATAACTTAACAATTAGGAGAGGAAACAATGCAATCAAAAACAGAACATAGCAGAAGGAGCCCAAGTCAGTAACACAGACAAGCAGTTTGGAAGAAGAGGAGCTCACTTTGAATTTGGCTAATTGAGAAGGCCAGCGGGAAGAGACAAGGTTTATACTCATGTCTGTCTCGGACCAACCAGCACAGTTTCCATCCACCCAATGCAGGGCCCATCTTCTGAAAAATGGAAGTGACTATTGTGGCCCATTTCCCACCCTGAATTCTGCGTTGCTGGAACTCTAGGAGAGAACACCCCTTTCTCAGGAAGCCGGAATATTCACAGCAGTAAGACTCTAAGTTGGAAGGAACTTTCCCTCCTGGAAAAAAATAACCATGACAGAGTTTGGCACAGAATTGGGGCCAAAGCGCTAAACATTCAGAGCCCTAATCATTTGCAGGCATTTTAGGAACCGTCCTGTGTGCTGGAGGATCCTCAGGAAGTAAACAGGGAGAGGATCTTTCTCCTCACAGGGGCCTCTTCACCCTGTTCTCATTTGCCCTGACTAATCATCTTGGTAGGTGTTGGGTCAGAGTCAACAAGGAATCTGACTAAGGTCATTTACTTGCTTTGTTTACACTGCTAATTTTATCACTGCTTGAAAGGCTAATGGTGTTATTTCTACTTTAACTGTGATAAATGTCCAGCTACAGCAGGGCTGGGGCAAGTTACAGACCAATACAGCAAATCCAAAGCTTTTTGGTGCAAAAAAATTAATATTTTCCAATTCCCCATTTTTTCCAGAATCCTTTACTTGATGATGATAAGCAGTCCTTCTAGCCTAGTGCTTCTCATATTATAGCTTCTGGATAATTGATATCAGAATCCCTAAGAGAAATGGAGTGTAAGTCCCAAGAATCTGCCTGTGAACACTTATGTCTGGTTGTTCTTGTGCTTGTTGAAGTTTGAGAGCTTGGGATATACTATCTCCAAGGATGATGCTGAGAGCTGCTGGAGAAATGAAGGTTCGAAGTAATGACTTAAAGGCCAGTTGTCAAGTACATTTCAAAGCCTTCTGTTCCTGCCTTAGACTTCCAAGGACATTTGCGCTTTTAATAAACTGTGTGATTGAACTGGCAGTGTTCATCAAGTCTTAATGTATATGCAAGTCGTCTGGGAATCTTGTTCAAATAGAGATGGGAATCTTGTTCAAATGGAGATTCTTTTTTGTTGTTGTTGTTGTTGAGACAGAGTCTCGCTCTGTCGCCCAGGCTGGAGTGCAGTGGCATGATCTCGGCTCACTGCAAGCTCTGCCTCCCGGGTTCACACCATTCTCCTGCCACAGCCTCCCGATTAGCTGGGACTACAGGCCACCACGCCCGGCTATTTTTTTTTTTTTGTATTTTTAGTAGAGACAGGGTTTCACTGTGTTAGCCAGGATGGTCTCGATCTCCTGACTCGTGATCCACCCGCCTCGGCCTCCCAAAGTGCTGGGATTATAGGCATGAGCCAACACGTCCGGCCTTTTTCTTTTCTTGAGATGGGGTCACGCTCTGTTGCCCAGGCCGGAGTGAAGTAGTACGATCTCCACTCACTGCAACCTCCGCTTCCCAGGTTCAAGTGATTCCCCTGCCTCAGCCTCCTGAGTAGCTGGGACCACAGATGCCCACCACTACGCCTGGCTAATTTTTGTCTTTTTAGTAGAGACGCGGTTTTGCCATGTTGGCCAGGCTGGTCTCAAACTCCTGACCTGAAGTGACCTGCACACCTCGGCCTTCAAAATGCTGGGATTACAGGCGTGAGTCACCACCCCTGGCCTCAAATATAGATTCTGTTTCAAAAGGTCTGGAATGGGGCCTGAGATTCTGCACTTTCACAAACTCCTGCATGATGCTGATGCTGCTGGCCCGTGGACCACTTTTTTTTTTTTTTTTAGACAGAGTCTCACTCTGTCGCCTAGGCTGGAGTGCAGTGGCACGATCTTGGCTCACTGCAACCTCTGCCCTCTGAGTTCAAGCGATTCTCCTGACTCAGCCTCCCGAGTAGCTGGGATTACAGACGCCTGTTACCGCACCCAGCTAATTTTTTGTATTTTTAGTAGAGATGGGGTTTCACCATCTTGGCCTATGGACCACTCTTTAAGAAGCAAGTTGAGGCTGGGTGCAGAGGCTCACGCCTGTAATCCCAGCACTTTGGGAGGCCGAGGCGGGCAGATCACAAGGTCAAGAGATCAAGACCATCCTGGCTAACATGGTGAAACCCCGTCTCCACTAAATATACAAAAAAAATTAGCTGGGGCGTGGTGGCGGGCGCCTGTAGTCCCAGCTACTAGGGAGGCTGAGGCAGGAGGATGGCGTGAACCTGGGAGGTGGAGCTTGCAGTGAGCCGAGATTGTGCACTGCACTCCAGCCTGGGCAACAGAGCAAGACTCCATCTCAAAAAAAAAAAAAAAATGAAGCAAGTTGAAAGTGCACTGGAGGATAGGGATATGGCTGAATATATGTATTGCATAATGCCTCAATGAGTGTCCTCAGCTGAACACTCAAAACTTGCCTTCCCACAGTCCTCTCACTCATGGTCTACACCCTCCAACACTGGCTTTCTTTATGCTTTCTGAACAAACCACATGATTTCTCTTCTCCAAGGATGTGCTCACATTATTCTCCCTTTCTAGAATAGTTTCCTTTGGGCCACTTCTAACTATAGAACTTCTACCCTAACTTCAAGACCAATCGCAAATTCGTCTTCCCCTATGATGACCCTGCTCTTACCCTGGGTGAGGTTTTCTAGCTACCTCCCCAGGTTACAGGTGAGGAAACTGTGGAGTGGCAGAGCCAAAATCCAATTTTCAGCCTCTGTATTGGTAACTATGAGTTTCAAACATTGCCAGGGTAAAGCAGTATAAGCCAAGGACTAAGTGAATGTTGAGGACCACAGTGCTTAAAGGTGTCTTGGGGATGAGGAAATTGGGGGTTAATGAAAGCGAGATGGGGAGTGGGCAATTGGAGATGCCAAGGTGGGAAGGCAGGCAAGGGCACCTACATCCTAGGAGAAATGGGAAATACAGTGCTGCCTTATAAGTAGCTGAGCAAATACACCCAAACCCCTTTCCCACCTCATACTTCATCTGCTGCAAATTTTAGGTTGATGCAAAAGTGATTGTGTTTAAAACCAATAGCAAAAACCGCAATTACTTTTGCACCAGCCTAACCAGAACCCTGCCGGGGTATGTGGCTTCCTGCTCCTGAGTTTAAGACAGTTGGGTGCCAACTGTAAAAGACTGTAGGAGAAAGGGGTGGAAACTAGTCAGAGCTCCAACATCTGCGGTCATCGGTTGTTGGCAAGGAGGTTTGCTGAGATTTAAAGACCTCAGCCTGTGACCTCTCTCTCATTTCTCATGACCAGGTGGTGCAGTACAGGATCCCCAACCCCTCTGATACGATTATCTGCCTACATTTTAGGCCTTTACAGCCTATTATTCCAGTTTCTTTGTCCAGAACCTTCTCTGGGCATCCAACGAGAGCATCTTAAATTCAGGAGCAAGAAGCCACATTCCCCAGCAGTAGTTCTGCTATAGTGTGTGTTTGCAGCTGGTGGGAGTGTGGGGGGAGTTTGGGGTTATACTGTTTTAAAATCAAGATTACCTAGTTAAGATTGTAAACCACTCAACAGCAGAAACTATATCTTAAATGTTTGTATAACTTTAGCTCCCAAGCCCATTCCCTGAACATAGAAGGTGCTCAATAAATGTCTTTTTGCAATGAAGAAAGAATTGTTGAAAGAAAAGATTGTTCGTATGCTAGGTATCCCATGAACTTAGACAAGGAAAAAATCTACCTTTGAAACATAGGAGGGAGATGAATCAAGAGAAGGATGTAAAAAGACAGACAAATGGAGAATTTGTGCGTGAAATTCTTTTTAGCCTGCTCTGAAGAACCTGCCCACACTTTGTCCATTGACTCGAATGGTATGTTCTGGCCTGTGGGAAGTTGTTACATGGAAAAATTCCAAGATCCTCTCAGTAGTAACTCGCTCTGGAGCCCCTTTTTCCAAACCAAATTCCAAGGTAGAAGAGTATTTCCAACAGATCCCTGGGAATGGAGATTCATCCTAGGCTTTCTCAGAGATGTGTTAGGTCTGATCAAATGTCCTCCCTCCCCTTCCCTGAGTGCCAGTCTGGTGGTTGAGATGCTTGTTTGCTCTGGCCTCTTGGGAGGTCCCTCATACCTCCTTGGTGATCTAATCATTAGTCCCTGAATCCTCATGTATTTATGTGAGTCACCATCTGGGCAAGATAAGTAATTTCTCTGGAATATAGAAGCAACCCCACCAATAATACAAATTAAACACAGGAAATGTATTTGTTCGCTAGTGTTCAGTAGAAAACTAAATATAAGCTAGAGAATCATAGGAGAGTAGATGCTCCTATTTGTTGAAAATCATAGAAAATATTTTGGTCAAGACTTTAACAGAAATGACTGAACATGCAAAAGTTAATTTTACAGAAAAATTATAAAAATTATGTAAACAATCATACTGCCAATGTACTTCATATTTTCCACAACTGAAATTATGACAAGCTTCCCCTAATTCTAAATCTATGTCTCTATGTATTCAAGTATTCTTTTATATCCTTCAGTAAATTGGTATATATTGTATTATTTTTATTACGGTTTTTTGGTTACTTGTGTGAATAGGATGTTTTCTCTGTTACCTTTTCAAATTATAATTGTTTTATTATAATGGAGTTGAGTTTTTTAATATTTATTTTATAATTGACCGTATTACTGTAGTTTCTTATCAATTCTAATATTTTAAGTGTATCTCTGATTCCTTACATTTTTATAGTCAAGCATATTTATTATTATTACCATAATTATATTAACTAAGAAACTGAGTTCAGAGAGTTTGAGTGTTTTTCCAACATAAACTTTAAAAAATGATAGAATATGGAACAGTTTTTACATCATAGAAATTATCTGTTCCTTGAAAGTTTGAAAGAATGCTTCTATAAGAGTGTCTAGAATTGGATCCTCTATTGTTGGTAATAGCTTGACTTTTTTCCATTTTTCCCTTGACTAAATATTTATTTCAAGTTTTCTACTTCAGTAAACTTTTCTAATTTATATTTGTCTAAAGTTTTCAAATTTAATAGCTTTGCGTGCGCCTTATCATTTTTTAGTATTTCATCTACTTCATATCTGTGATTATATTACTTTCTAATGCCTAAATGTATGTTTTTGAGTGATCTCTATTTTTTCATTAGACAAGCTAAATATTTTACTATTTTATTACTGTATTATTTGTAAATCCTAATTCACTAATTTTCATTTTTATATTATTCAATATATTATTTTATTTTCCTATTTCATTTTCCTTATTTCGTGATTTATTTTTTGTTTTCTTTCCTTTTTTTCTAATTTCTTGAATTAGTACAGTTTATTTTGATTTCACTTTAGTCATTAAAATACCTAAGATTATGAGTTAACTTTGAACAGTGCTTTCTTAGCTATTTCTCATAAGCTTTAATTTATAGTGTTCATATTCTCATTGATTTCTAAATATAATTTAATTGAAGGGCTGATGTTTTCTTTTCTTCCAAGACATACTTAAGACACTGCATTAAAATTTTCAGATGACGGATTACTTTATTATTATGTTTTGGTTACTTATTTCTAGTAGCATTCCTTAATAATCAGAATTCATGTGCCATACAATTTCTGTTTAATAGATGGCATGCCTATTAAATCCACCTTATTTTGATTTTTTTTTTGTTTTTTTTGAGATGGAGTGTTGCTCTGTCACCCAGGCTGGAGTGCAGTGGAGCGATCTCGGCTCACTGCAACCTCCACCTCCTGGGTTCACGCCATTCTCCTGCCTCAGCCTCCCTAGTAGCTGGGACTACAGGTGCCCGCCACCACGCCCAGCTAATTTTTTTTTTTTTTTTTTTTTTTTGTATTTTTAGTAGAGACGGGGTTTCACCGTGTTAGCCAGGATGGTCTCGATATCCTGACCTTGGGCCACCCGCCTCAGCCTCCCAAAGTGCTGGGATTACAGGTGTAACCCACTGTGCCGGGCCTAAATCCACCTTACTAATTGTATCATTTAAATTCTAAATCCTTTCTCCTTTTGTTTATCCTGTTTAATAATGACTAAGAGAAATACTTAATGTCACAAAAGTTCCTGTGTTCTAGCAATTATTCCTGCAATTTGCAAGTTTTTGATTTATCTATTTCAATGGTGTTTGGAAGGTGCAAATATTTATGATTTATATTTTCTTTATAAGCTTCACTAAAAACAAGAAATATTTGCCCCATATATTTCTTGCCTTGAATTCTACTTTAACATCACAATGTCTTGGTTTATAGTTGCATCATTTATTTTAGTGCAGTTATATATGTTGTAGATAGCACTCAGCTTTATCCAGGTGAATTTGTGATTTTGCTTCCTTTCTTATTTTTTGAAGACTTGCTAAGAGGAAAATAAAAATAAAAATGGCTTTAGATTACCATCTTGAAACAGGAATTCCCAATCCCCTCATTATAATAACCTTTATTTTAAAAATTATTATAAAAAGTCATATATATTTTATAAAAGATAAAATTAACAAAACAAATGAAATGCATGCCACAGAATGTTCCACACAATATTACATCACTCACGTAAATGTTTAAAAGCACATAAACCTATTTTATACAGTCGGCCCTCTGTATCTGTGGGTTCCACATCTGTGGACTCAACCAACTTTCAGATGTAAAATATCCCCCTCCCCAAAATTGCACCTGAACATGCACAGGTGTTTTTTTCTTGTCATTATTCTCTAAACAAGTAGTATAACAATTATTTACATAGCATCTACATTGTATTCGATGTTACAAGTAATCTAGAGATGATTTGAAGTACACAGGAGGATTTAGAAAGGTTATATAGAAATAGTACACTATTTATTTCAAGGACTTCAGAATCTGTGGATTTTGGTATCCATGAGAGGTCCTGGAACCAATCCTCCACAGAAACAAAAGGACAATTGTATATACATACACATATTAAGTACATTTGTGTGCATGTGTGTGATACATACTATATAAACATATATAAACATATTTATATATGTATGTGTATATATACATACATATATACATATATTATACACATAATAGCAAAAGTATAGAATTTGAACACGCATACGTATTTGAATACGCACCAGATTTATGATGCTATATACCAGATTACCTCCAGGAAAGAAGAAAGAATGAAATAGCTATTTTAGTAATTCAGGCATGAAAAGGACCAAAAATTAGTGTAAGAAAAATGAAAGAAAATGTGACTATAAGCACTATTTGAAAGAAGTAAACTATAAGACTTGGTACTTCATACAAAAAAATGGAGAAAGTAACATTTCTACCTTGGAGATTTAGAGATATAATGATGATACCTTTTCTCGATACTAGAAATTTGGACATAAGACCTCATTTTAGTAAAATAATAAAGAATTTAGAACATGTTTACATCTGAATTTCATCACATGGTACCCAATCTTTGTCGAGCATCGGTGTGTACTCAGAGCCTAGCATAGTGCCAGGCACACAGCAGTTTTTCAGTTATTAACTGAATGCTCGAGTCTGAGGCACACTGCTGGAGGCTGGGCATGCAGGAGTGAATCAGGCAGGCTTCAGGCTATTCTTAACAGTGCTTCAGTGCATAGAGGATATAACAGACATTAGAAGGATGGCTACATATATACTAGGTGCTGAAAACGTGGATCTTCAAAGTTGCCTTAGTTTATTTAGGCTTCTATACAAAATTCAGTAGATCAGGAAGTTTACAAACAACAGATTTCTCACAATTCTGGAAGCTGGGAAGTCCAAGGTCAAGATGCTGGCAGATTCGGTGCGCAGTGAGGGCCCATTCATCATAGACAGTCATCTTTTCACTGCAACCTCACATGGTGGAAGGGCACGAATCTTTTATAAGGGCACTAATCTCATTCATAAGGGCTTCATTCCTATGACCTAATCACCTCCCAACAGCCCCACCTCCTGAAACCATCTCCCTGGGGATAAGGATTTCAGGATATAAAGTTTGGAAGGAACACAAGCATTCAGATCACAGCACTTGCACTGACTACAAAGGCCAATAACAAGGGAAGGTCAGGTCGTTTGGGAAGACTTAAGGAAGGCTTCAGTACAAAAGTAGCCTTTAAGTTGAGGCTGGGGAGACACAATCTGCCTCACCTTTTGCAAAGGCCCTTCAGAAAAGATCAAGTGTTCAAGCGGATAAAGCAGATGGAAGAAACAGCCACCAGATAAAGGGGACACTTCTGCAAGGACTCCTCGGTGAAAGACAGAAGGCAGGTTTCTGGACCTGAGAATTAGTGCAGGCAGAGCTGAAAAAGAGAAGAGACGAAGAGCAGTCATGGAGCGCTTTCTCTTCTACCTTGAGATAAAGGCTTTTCCTGGGGCATGCCCGACTTTGGCCTTGTTGCAGTTGGATAGAGGGTCTTGCCAACTGTTGCAGCACTTGGATGTCTGGGTGATGATTTATAGATGAAAACTCAGCCTTCCTGAGGTCAGAGTCATTGTGAATAACAAAACGTTTTGTCCCACTGTGCAAACTTTACACTTGACGTGTTCTGAGGCTGTCAGTGCCTCATCAAAGAGATGGGAGAGAGAAAGAGCAAAGGAGGAGAAACAGCTGGATTCAGTTACACTTCAGATCCATATAGTTTAGAAATAAATTATCTGTCAAAGTATGTTTTGTTTCTTGCTTATTCCAGCATGTTTGAAAACGTTTGAATTGTTTGGTTGAGGCCAGAATTCTCTAAGGATCAGACTTTCGCTTTACTGCATGTGTCTTTTAACACTTACGGCCCTTTTCTCCCTGGTTTCATGTGATCTGAATCAAATAAAACAAGTGACTAAACTAACAGTTGATTTGATGAAGCCCTAGATCTCCAAAATAGATTGTAGCAAACCTGTCATATATCCAACAGCAAATGCTGATGCCACAACCTTAATAGAGAATACGGAATCCTACAATTTCTCATCACCTCCTGTTATTAGCTGCGTCTAGGCCACCATTAACTCTTGACTGGTTATTGCAATGTCTTCCCAAGTGGTTTCCCCATTTTGACCCTCGACCTCCTTTCTTACTTTGTTTTGCGTTTCCATAAAAGAATACCGGAAGCTGGGTCATTTATAAAGAAAAGTGGTTTATTTAGTTCACAGTTCCGCAAGCTGTACAAGACGCGTGGTGCTGGCATCTGCTCGGCTTCAGGTGAAGGACTTTGAACTGCATCAAAACATGGTAAAGAAGTCCAAAGGGAAATCGAACACAGGCAAAGAGGGGCCAAACCTGACACGTCTCTGGGCTTTATTACAACCCACTCTTGTGGGAACTAATCCTGGAGCCAGAACTCACTATCACAGAACAACCCAAGCCGTTCTTGAGAGATCCGCCCCCAAACCCAACACCTCCCACTAGGCCCCCACCTCCCAGCACCACTCACTGAAGACCAAATTTCAACATGAGCTTTGGTGGACACAAGAAATCCATATCCAAATCATAGTACCCCTCTACAAAAAGTTTATCTCAGCAACCAGAGATGTATTTAAAGCAGATTCTATCCCACCTCTATAACCTTCCTGTATCAGTGAGGGTTCTCCAGAGAAACAGAACCAACAGATTACATATATGTAGAGAAAGAGGTTTATTTTATTTTATTATTTTTGAGACAGAGTCTCACTCTGTCACCCAGACTGGAGTGCAGTGGTGCGAACTCGGCTCACTGCAGCCTCTGCTGCCTAGGTTCAAGCGATTCTCCTGCCTCTGCCTCCCGAGTAGCTGGGATTACAGGCATCTGCCACCGCACTGGCTAATTTTTGTATTTTTAGTAGAGATGGGGTTTCACCATATTGGTCGGGCTGGTCTTGAACTCCTGACCTCGTGATCTACCCACCTCGGCCTCCCAAAGTGCTGGGATTACAGGCTCGAGCCACCGCGCCCAGCCAAGAGGTTTATTTTAAGGAATTGGTTCATACAATTATGGAGGCTGGCAAGTCCAAATGTGCAGGGTGGTCCATCAAACTGGACACCTAGGGGAGAGCTAATGCTATGGTTCAAGTCTAAACGATGTCTGCCGCAGAATTCCCTTTAACTTGTGGGAGCTCAGCCTTTGGTTCTATTGAGGCCTTCAGCTGATTGGATGAGGCTCATTTGCAGTACAGAAGGCAGCCTGCTTTACTCAAAGTCCACCAATTCAAATGTTAACCTCATCCAAGAACACCCTCAGAGAAAGGTCCAGAGTAATATTCAACCACCTATCTTGGCACCATGACCTCTGCCTAGTTGGTACCTACAATTAACCAGCAAATATCCTAGCAATGACCTAAAGCCCCTCATTGCTGGTCCTCAGCCCTAGTTGAACATGGGAATGACCTGGGGGGCTTTAAAAGCCACTGATCTCAGGGTCCCAACCCCAGGGAATCTGATCTGGGGTAAGGCCTGGATATTGGGATTTTTAAAAGCCTCACAAGTGGTTTTAACGTGCAGCAAAGTTTGAGAACGATTGTCCCACATAACCCGCCCTTTCCAACCACCCGCCCCACCACTACAACCTGTCACTCTCCTCCTTGCTGGATTCCCCACAGCCACTCTAGCTGATTCTCTGAGCACTCCACACACACACACACACACACACACACACACACACACACACACACACTAAAAGAGGTGCACGGTTCACCTCCTTCAGAGCTCATCTCAAACACTATCTTATCTTTGACACCTTCCTTGACCACCCTGTACAAAAAAGCAACCTTACTCCATACCTCAACTTTTTCTCCATCACACTATCATCACCTGAAACACTGTTATGTTTCCTTATTTGTTATACTTAACATCTCTTTCCCTCTAGAATGTAAGTTCCAAGAGGGTAGGGATTATATTTGTTCTAGTTATTGCTGTGTCCGCATGGCTTAGTTAGAACAATGCCTGGCGGCTGGCAGAAACTCAGTAAATATTTGTTGAGTGAACAAAGAAGTGACGGATTAGGTGCAGAATTTTTTCCCTAACAATTCAACATTCATATTTCCTAGAGCCCCTCACTGTTATGCATTGGAGCTGTAGCTGCTCCCCACTAGTGGAAGTTTTCTCACATAAGGCTAGGTCCAAACATGTGAAAGCTTTGGACAAACCAACTATTTGTTGCCATAGCCAGGCAATTAGAGGTCCTTCCTTTAAACCAGTTTTCGGTTCTTTCAATAACACTCATCTTGCTGGGGCAGGGGCTGGATCAGAGAGATTTCTGTGCTTGAGTGCTATCTTCCTCAGCCCAAGAGGAAGCACGTTTCCATTATGTAAAAAGTCATACGTGGAAACCTTAATGAATTAGCAGTCATGTTTCCATCTCAATCCTGTGTTAGTTGGCGCCCCTACTGGATGGATGTGGCAGCTGCACTGACTCAAGAATCCAGTCTGGTTATCACAACTGGGAATCTCCCAAGGACAGGAGCCTTCAGTTCTGCAACTTTATCTTCTTACCCTATAGAAGGCTGTCACTGACCATTTGTTAAAATTGTATGTTACCTTGTTTAATGGTTTCAAAATCTTTTTGGAAAGCTTTTGAGGTAACTAACTTAACCCACCACTGGTTAGAGCCAGAGCTAGAGCTTGGACCAAGATTCTTGACTCTGTCCATTTCTCTCCTTGCCTCTTTAGAACACAAAGAAAACTTCCTGGCTTGGGGAATTCTATAATCTCCACTGACTTTATCGGGGAGTGCCAGAATCCAACTACCTTTTCAGGTTATCCTGAAAAAAACCATCTTAATAAAAAAACTTGCCCAAAATCCTTGACTCAGATTTTCTCCTGGGAAACCAAACCCAAGACATCTAGCACCAAATACAAAGCAGTTGATATGAATGAATAAATATATGAATAATTCTTTTTCCTTAAAACTCAATCTCAGTGTCACCCCGTTATAGAATTCTTCCACTTCAAAAGTGGGCACATGTGATAATGCAGATACAATTGAGGAAAAGGTAGTTTTCTCATAAGCTACACATGAATAGATATAACTTCCTTGGAAATTAAGCTCCTCTTTCTACCCTTATTTGTTCTTTTTGGTGCATTGATCAGGTACTGCAAGGCCTACTGAACTGTTTATTTATAAGAGAGAACTGCATTCTGAACTCATGAAACATAATACCTTCTGGAAAGTTGGATCCTGTAAAGCTGTAGAACGATGTGTATTGAAGGTACCTGCCTTTGCATTTTTGCTCCATGCTCCTTGCTTTTTGAATGTCCTTTGGTCCTGAGACTTAGGGGATCATTGTGCACTTCTTTCTTACCCTCATTTCTTAATATCTTCAAGCAGTAGTATTTTGGATCAACCAGTCAGCCTTTGGAGGCACCAGATTCTCTCTCTGTGAGTATGTGGGTATGTGTATGTGTTGGGACTGATGTGATATAGTAATAATGCATGGGGCAGATGGATGAAATGCCAGAGGTTCAAGGTGATTGAAGAGTGGGGAGAAAGAGAAGTGAGTTCAAGGCTGGAGTCTTTAAGGAGATGATGATGTGGGTAAATACAAAAAGTCACAAGGAGGTAATTTTCAGAACTAGAAATGATACAAGCCAGGATTTGGATGTATAAGAGTGACAAAGAAGTTACGTTGGAATAAAATATGGATTAACAAGAATTATTCCATAGGTTCATTCAGGCTCCAGTATTTCACTCCTTCCCACCTGGCATCTTCATTAACTACCCAACTCCAGCTTCAATTCTTACCACCAATTAAGGTAATCTGAATTGAGAATAATCCTGGGTGCATGCATTTTTAAAAGCCACATTCCTTATACTTAAGAGGTGGCTCAGATCACACTTGCCTTGTTCTCAGCCCAAGCCAATAAAAAGAAAAGGAGTTGGGTCTGTCAGAGAAGGGAATACCCAGTGTCAAATCCTTCTAGTGAGGGAGGAAGTGCATGCTGATGAAGGGAAGAAGAGATCAATCAAATGTCTGTAGCTATCGTAGGGCCAGACATTCAACAGAGATCTAAAAATGTGAGGCAACAGGGAAAACATTGGTACTTGAGAAAACAGAAGAGAAGACTTTGTAGTCATATTGGAATAATCATACTAGAGAGATAACGTAACTCCCAGTGAAACTTTGCTTGAGATGGAGAAAATTGGAAGTGAATAAAAATGAGAAAGAAATAAAACTGTATACACCAACATTTACTACACAAAAAAATAGCCTGGGGAGAAAAAAAACTGACAGAAAGAAAGATTTCCTGCAATTCAGGGCAGGAAATGGCAGCGCCTTTACAGTGGAGGCATCAAAGGGAAATAACTTGCTGTGTTCATTATTTACTGCTACGTGAGAAAGTAATTCAAAATTCAGGGGCCAAAAACGTCATTCTATTTATTTGATCACAATTCTTCAATTAAAAAGCAGGGCTCAATGTGGACAGTTTGTTATGGATGGAATTGTGTCCTCCAAAAAGATATACTGAAGTCCTAATCTTCAGTGCCATGAATGTGACCTTATTTGGAAATAGGGTCTTTGGAGATGTAATAACGTTCAGATGAGGTCATTAGAGTGGGCCCTAATCCAACGGCTGGTGTCCTTATAAGAAGGAACTTGGGACACAGCCATAGAGGGAAGATGGCCATGTGAAGACAGAGGCAGAGATTGGCTTTATTGACACAAGGAATAGCTGGGGCTACCAAATGCTGCAAGTAGCAAGGAGGGATACACCCCTAAAGCCTTAACGGGAATACGGCCTTGCTAATACCTTGATTTCAGACTTCTCGCCTCCAGAACTGTAAAAGAAAAAGTTTCTGTTGTTTTAGTCACCTAATTTGTGTTTCTTTGCTACAGAATCCCTTGAAAATGTACACACAGTTCACCTGCATTCCATGTGGCATCAGCTGAGGAGGTCTGAGTAGGGGCAAGAGGATCCACTTCCAACATGGTTTCACATACATGGCTGAAGAGTTGGTGCTGGCAACTTGCTGGGAAACAGCTGAATTTGTTGCCTGAAGCCTCATTTCTCCTCCACATGAACTCTCGGCTCAGCTGATTTGGGCTTCTCACAGCATGAAGGTCTCAGGGTAGCAGAACTTCTTGCATGGTAAATGGCTCCCCCTGACACGAAAGCAAAAGGTTCCAGGGATTCTGAAGACTTAAGTGGAGAACGACATCAGGGCCACTACTTCCCTGAGCTCGTGGATAAAGCAGATCACAGGGCAGCTCAGATTCAATGAGAGGGTGCACACTAGGGCATGAATGCCAGGAGCCACAAAGTAGCAGTCTATCACAACTGGAATTCAAAATCTTAGAGAGAGAAGTGGTGTATAATAAATAGAGAGGCTGGGTGCAGTGGCTCACACCTGTAATCCCGGCACTTTGGGAGACTGAGGTGGGTGGATCACGAGGTCAAGAGACCAAGACCATCATGGCCACATGGTGAAACCCCGTCTCTAATAAAGATACAAAAATTAGCTGGGTGTGGTGGTGGGTGCCTGTAGTCCCAGCTACTCAGGAGGCTGAGGCAGGAGAATCACTTGAACCTAGGAGGCGGAGGTTACAGTGAGCCGAGATTGTGCCACTGCACTCCAGCTTGGCGACGGAGCAAGACTGCATCTCAAAAAATAAATAAATACATATAAATAAATAAATAAATAAATAAATAAATAAATAGAGAACTTACTAAGAAATGACTGAGAGAGGGAAGAGGACGTGACCAATAAAGCAGATGAATAATAATCATTATTCCTTATATCTGCATAGAATTTTAAAAGCTTACTAAGTGATTATCTTAGCAAATCCAAATCCTTCCTCCCCAAGTCAAGCTTCCATGCTCACACATAAATAAATATCCAGTGACTAGACAGGCTATTAATAACTATCTTTCAACTGACTTGACTAATCTTAGAAGGCTCCTACCTAGCAGGTATAAAAGTATTTGTATATGACATATTATGGAACTATAATATACATGTACTATTAGTAGTACTTTCCTAGAATTATATATGGAAAAGTGTGCTGGGTTGGCATATTGGATCAGAAATGAAAACTCTGTGAAAATGGCAAAAAAAAAAAAAAAAATAGCGTCTCTTGTTGAATTTTTTAGTTTCCGATAAGAAAGAAGTCCAGCTAGTGATGATTTTAGGAAATGAAAATGAAGAGCAGTCTCCCCCACACTGGGCATTTTTAAATCAAAGCCAATTGTCGGACTTTGAACCAGGACATGCGAATGCATAAGACGTTTCCCAGATATTGGGCCTCGCAACTAAAGTCAAGAATTTGATTGCTTGGTACCTATGTGAATTGCCACAACCTATTTTTGGAGGGTGAGACAACAGTCCTCCAACAGAGATCAAAGATCTTCTCAACAGCCTCCTTCCTGCACCCCATACTACAGTGTTAGCAAACCATCATGGTTACTTATGTAGATGTTTCCACCCTCACTTTCTGTCCCTTGTCCCAATGTGGCTTCTGAATTCCTTTCGATTTCAAATAAGAATCATTCTCTTTCTGAAATTTCCCGGATGCTGAAGACAAAGTTTTAAACAGTTTTAATCAATTAAATTCAAGAAACATCTACGTCCATTAACTAGGCATCAGGAACTGGTAAATTGTCCTTGGGCCAAAATAAATACATAAATCATGTTTGTGGTGGCATCCAAGCAGCCTCAGAGAAAAAAAAGACCATAAAAGTTTGCATTTTTCTATGTGGCAATCACCTTCTCCCACCAGCCCATAAAAATCCATTTAACATATAATATGTTCTTGCTCCACATGACTGACTTACAAACAAATTTTTAGCAGGAGTCAGGGTTTGCCTGTGCTGTGAACAGACCAAGCCAAACGTTGGAGAGTGCCTTCCTTCTCTCCCTCTAGTTTAGCAAGTTACCGTAGGTCCCAAAAATGTCTGTTCTTTCAGATTCTGACAACCTAGTGCAATGTGTTCCCAAAGCATGGTACAAATACAAGAGATGATTCTTCAGAGGCACACAGACAAATGTTTTCTATTTTGACAGTTATGTACTCATTTTAATGTGTATCTAAAAATTATTACTAGTAAATTAAGTCAGTTTATCTTGAATACTATTACTTTGAATCAAGTTAGGGAAGTTCTTAAAATTCAACAAAGAGTCTATTTAAGGAAAAGCATTGAATAAGCAATATTACAGATGGTGCATACCTAAAAAATCAAAAAAGTGGCAAAAAAAAATGACTGAAGTTTGGGAAGCATGGACATAAATTTTGTCCAAAGTTGCAGCATAATGTTGGCATCTCTCAAATGGCCTCTGTGATAAGAGTGGAAATATCCACATTTATGGTGATCGACTAGGCTAGATTTGTTTAATATCTTGATTTCAAATATTCTGTTTATTATTTCCAGACATCCCTGAAGTGTCCTGGAACTTTAGACATTTCAGCAACTAAACTATTTTTCTGAGACTACCTCTGGGAGAGATGCGTCAAGCCGCACATGCATCCTTTAAAAGACTGTGCACCCTGAAATTTGGAAATGTAGACACATTCATATGAAGTCATGGAAAGTTTCCAGTGAGGTCTAGAATCCAAGTTCATTTTCGGTGTGCATGTGGCCAACCTTCCTCTTCCTGTTCTGGAAGTTTTCTACATCTGTTCCTCTTACTCAGAAGCTAGATCAGTTTTAATACATTTTTCTTCAAATTAAAATAATACTTCGCTTCCTCTTGTTACAAAAGCAACTTATGATCAGCCTATGAAAATTAGACAACCAATATGAACAAAAAATTATTTAAACCACCTATAATTCTAGCACCCAGTTAACCACATTAAAGACTTTGATGCTTGTTCTTCAAGTCTCTTACTACACATATGTTTTACACACATGTATTTATGTAGATCATTTTAACGAGGTCCTACTTGAACTTACTGCTGTATAACTGACATTCTCCACTCAGCAAAATATTGTGAAAATCTTTTCATGTCTTTAAATATGCATATATGGCATATCGATGTCTCTATAATATGGATGTACCATAAATAATTTAGGCAATGTGTCCTACAATCAATGTCATTTCTATTTATCACTATTATAGACAATACATCAGCAAAATCTTTGCCTCCTTATTATTGCCTCTGGATAAATTCCTAATGGTAGAATCTCTGAATCAGAGGGGTCATGGGTTGGTTCCCTGGAAATAGACTAAGATAATGATTTTAGTATAGAAAAGTTGTTGGAGGCCGGGCCCAGTGGCTCAAGCCTGCAATCCCAGCACTTTGGGAGGCCGAGGTGGGTGGATCACCTGAGGTCAGGAGTTTCAGATCAGCCTGGCCAACATGGTGAAACCCTGTCTCTACTAAAAATACAAAAAAAAATTAGCTGGACATGGTGGCGTGTGCCTGTAGTCCCAGCTACTTGGGAGGCTGAGGCAGGAGAATTGCTTGAACCCAGGAGGTGGAGGTTGCAGTGAACCAAGATCATGTCACTGCACTCCAGCCTGGATGACAGAGCGAGACTCCATTTCAAAAACAAAGAAAAAAGAAAAATTGTTGTAATGGCCTCAACATCATCACCTGTTGGATATTGAGGAGTGAGAAAAAAAGAACTGGACAGAAATAGTTGTTGAGCTGCAATGTAGCTACAACAAAGGCGCCTCAGCAGATCTCACAGGGAGCTCTGGAACTATAATGGCCTTTCAGAATGATCCCAGCCTGAGGCAAACAGGTGGGTCTTTTTACCCAGTCTACAGTGCACAATTGGTAGATGTGGACTGCTCCGAACTACAGAAGCAGCTCTTATTAATTCCCAGAGAGCAACTCAGCAGAGGGTGTCAGCACTCTCAGCAGCCAGAGAAAGGAGTACCTGAGTGATGCAGAGGTTGGGTCCTGAGTGATGGTGGGGTCCTGAGAGGTGGGGTCCTGAGTACCTGAGTGATGCAGAGGAGGGGTATTTGAACAATATTATGGGATGCAAGGGTGCACATATTTTACAAATTTGACATTTTTAAACTGTTCACCAAGAAGGCTCTGTCAATTCTCATTGCCATCAATTTTGTAGGAGAATGCCCTGTTCCCTGCTCCCTCACAGTATCTGGGGAGGGGTAAGACAGAAATTTCCATGGGATCATGTAGCAGGGGATCCTAAACTACCAGCAACATTGACCTCACTCTTCTCTGTCATTCTTTAATGATTGATTTATGGGTCTTGCTAAAAACTATTTATGACTATGAACCTCAAATAGGTCCCTTAATGGTGTTTCCTGGCCATGATAAAATATTTCACTATTTCATTCTCTTCCTACTTCTCCTAGGTAAATATTTTACAACTCTTTGTTCTTAACACCCAACACTATGACCTTGTGTCCCACTGTACTGAGAAGTTTGAAACAATCAGAACAAACTTCCACAAAAACCCACCAACACATTTCCACATCTACTAGATTCTATAATCCATATTTGCTTTGTTAAAATGATGACCTGTACTTGTTCTTATCCAAGGCTAAAATACCCATGGAGATTTATACCCATCACTTCTTGACTACGGTAGGGTAGGCTGGGGATCCAGAAATTATCCTCTCTCAAATCTTCGAGTTTTCTCTGCTTAGGGAGGGAAATGATGGATTATTCCCATCGGCCAACAAATTGCTATTACTTCTCACAACTAAAGGAAAAAACACCTCTCTTGTCTTCACTTCCCATCTAGCTGTTACTCTGCTGTCGGCTCTTCTTTGCAGCAAAATGTCTCAAAGAAGTTGTTTTTCCTCCCTGTCTGCATTTACTTTCCTCCAATTCTCTCTTAAATCTGATCCAATCTGGCTTCGCAGACACAACTTTCTCTTGGCTTTCCTTCTCTTCACTGAACACTTTTTCTGCATCCTCTCTGTGGGCCTCCTCTTCTCCCTGACTTATAAATGTTGGAGGCCCCAGGGCTCAGTCCTTGGAGCGCTTCTCCTCTCCCTCGGCATTCCTCCCCTGGTGATCTCATTCTGTCTCATGGCTTTGAAGCATGTCTGTATGCTGAGGATTCCCACAGTTACATCTCCAGCCCAGGCCTCAGCCCTGGACTCCAGACTCAGATCCTACTTCCTACTTTGGCATCTCTTCTTTTATGTCCCATATTCACCTCAAACTGTAAATGTCCAAAACTAAACTCTTGACCTTTCTCATTGAATCTGTGCCCTCTATTGCCTTTCCTGTTTCACTTAATAGCAGCTCTATTATTCAGATTTCTGAAGCCAAAATACTTATATTCCTCCTTCACTCAACTCTTCCTTTCATCATTCACATCCACTCTATTGGGACATCCCATTGGCTCCACCTTCAAAGCATATCCTGAATCCATCTACTTCTCATCACTCCCACTGCCACCACCTTGGGCTCAGACACCCTCATCATCCTCCTTCCAGTCAATTATCAATGTAGGAACCAGAATGGGTTGTTTCAGTGTAAGTCAAATCATGGCATTCCTCTGCTCAAAACCCTCCAATGGCTCACCATTCCTTACAGTAATTCACAAAGCCTACGTGATCTGGTCCTCTGCTACTCTGACCTCATTTTTTATTACTCCCATTCATGCTTACCCCATTCTAGCCACTCAGGTCTACTCAATGTTCCTTGACCATGCCAGATGTCCTTAGACATTGCCTTATGTACGGCCCTCTGCACTGGCACTACCTCTAGAGAGCCACCCCTAACCTCTTTCAAGTCTTTGTTTATACATCACTTACACAGTGAAGCCTACAATGACCTCATCACTTTACATTTTAACCCCATAGTGGACACTTAGGGTATATGACACAAATGCCTGCAGCCTTACAAATACCTGTAGGTCAAATGTGGCATAACTGTCCATTGAATTCAGTGTGCTCTGGCAACATTTGCAGTGCCCCAGGCTCCACCTGTGCCCAGACATCTCTGTGTTTTGCTGCTTTGAAGTCACAGAATATCCTTCGTGCTTAGTAGACACAATCTGAATAGTTTAGGAGAGTTGAAGTTCCTCACTAGCAACCTTTAATCAAGGAAGGATAAAAGGCCTAAGCTCCCCATTTTGCCACAGGACAATGCTAGGGTGTGTTCTACATGGCCCCCGGAGGACTCCCAGGGGAACTGAGCCCCAGGGTAATCAATTATTTAATATGTCCATTCTTGTCCTTTCTCCTCACCTCGAGTCACTTTCTGCACGCCCTTATTTTGCTTCCTGAGATCACCTCCCAGATAAACTACCCACTTCCAAGTCCTTGTTGCAGGCTCTGCTTAGGGAAACCCAAACCAAAATAAACTCTTCCACAACATTCTTGAAACCCATACATAGCTCTATCTTTTTTTCCGTAGCAACCACCAACTTCCTACCTATAATGTTACTTGTGTTATTGTTTCTTTTCATTCTGTCGTACTAGATAATCTAGTTGCATGATTTTATTGCACTATTTGATTGCACACATTTAAGCACCATGAAGACAGGGAATTTTATCTGTTTTTCCCCATTGATCCATCTTCAGTACTAAGAACATTTCCTAACACCTCATAGATACTAAACAAGTATTTGTTGAATGTTAAACTACCTTGCCCACTCTTCGAGAGCGAGAATACCATGTTCCAATACAATGTTAGACAAACTTCAGTTTAAATTTCAGATATGCCACTTATAAGCCAGGTGACCTTAAGTGAACTAACCTCTCAGAGACTCAGTTTCCTCACTGGTAAATGGAGCAATGAAGTTCATTTTGCCATCAATGCCTTCAACTGAAGAAAGCAACTAGGACTGTTCTGGCCCAATAATGCATGTTCCCTTCTCTGCTCTCAACCTGCTCCCCTTGATCAGGGATTTAAGCCAGCTAAATTCATGACTCAGCATCTTCTCCCTCTGTGAATCTTGACCATGTGAAGATTCTTCTGAAGCATCTCCTGACACCCAGCAGGAGGTCAGGAAGCCAGGCTTCTTTCAATCCCCCAGCAAAATGCCAATTAGAAGGACATAACCAGCAGGAAGAGCTACTGGAGAAAACCACACACTTGTTCCAAAACAAAGATCACTCTGCATGTCATAAAAGCTCAGAAATGTCTTCCAGATGTTGTATACTGGGCCTGCACAGATGTTTCCGATGTCAAACCATAAATGTTGGAAACATAAAACATTTGTGCCCCACAGATGTAGAGATTTAATTACACAATGAATGTGATAAATCTTTGGGTAATAAAAGAAGACCACAGACTGGCCACATTACATTTTTTAAAATCTGATTCCCCGCCCGCCCCCACAATACACACCTTGGAGTTCTACTGGGATACTCCAAGGTTTTTGTTTTGATTGTGGTCTCAATATTTGGGCAATTCACAGAGAAAAAGTCAGATCTCCATGAAAACGCGCATTAATACCGTGCTGAATCCTTCTGGTTTGATGTCTACATGGTCTCTGACAGCTAGAAAGCAACATCACGACTGATGACAAGTTGCTTCAAGGCTTCCCCCTTCAGTCACTGTCTCTGAGTGGGAGTGCTGAGTTACTTACTATCTGATGGCACACTCAGGGTGCAGTGGGAACGAATTCCAACATGAACTCAACACTGCAGCTCACAATTCCGTGTCAAAGCAACTCTTTTCTGGCATCTGGAAAATAATAGTTTTCATTGTCTCCAAGTGCATAAATATGTGTGTGTGCCTCTGAGGAAAAAAGAATAAATGTATATGCACACACACACACAAGCACACACACACAAAAATGCTTTAATTGGAGTTAAAAGAGCCAAACAAATGTTACCTGCCATATATATAGGAGAGGGAAGGCAAGACATGAATATAAATGTTACCAGATGATCTACTATATTTCCACAGTGTTCTTCTTCTGTGACAATGCATTCTCTTCTTCCTTGATAAATTATACCTAAAACTCTACATTTATTCTTGCATGCCATTGTTCAAAAATAGTATTTATTAGGTAGCTAATATTTGTAGCTGAAAAAGATACCAAAACTTTAAGACACCATATCTGCCCTCAAAAAGGTTAGGCTATAAAAGGACATACGTACTAAAGAGGGATACAAAAATAATTGTATGGTGGGGAAATGTGTGTAAGTTTTCCTTACACCACGAAATTTTTAAAAATATTTTTGGTATTTTTTATTAGATTTTTTCAATGACAGCTCATGCGTATGATTTTAAAATCAAGAACAGAAAAACTACCTTTTTGAAAAATTTTCTTAAAACACTGAAAATAATTATCTTGTTGTTTATTATGGTCAGTTATATAGAAGAAAAAGAGAAGGTAGGGAAAAACGGAAGGGACACCTAAAGAATAGGAGGGGGGAAAAGCATAAAGAAAAACTGTAGGAGATAACAATAATATCTGATCTGGGTTGTGCCAGGCAACATGATGGGCACATTACAGTCATCCCTCAGAATCCGAGAGGGATTCGTTCCAGAGCCTCCACGGATACCAAAATCCAAGGATGTTCATGTCCCTGGTATAAAATGGTGTAGTATTTGCATCTCTCCCTGATCTGATTTGGCTCTGTGCCCCCACCCAAACCTCATCTCAAATTGTAATTCCCCATGTCAAGGGAGAGGCTGGTAATCCCCACATATCCAAAGAGAGAAGTGATTGGATTGTGGGGGGTGGTTTTCTCCATGCTGTCCTGGTGAGAGTGAGTGAATTCTCACGAGACCTGATGGTTTTATAAATGGCAGTTCTTCCTGCACTCTTGTGTCCAGAATTTATTCCTTCTGGTGGGTTCTTTGTCTCAATGACTTCAAGAATGAAGCCGCGGACCCTCGTGGTGAGTGTTACAGCTCTTAAAGATGGTGTGTCCGGAGTTTGTTCCTTCAGATGTTCAGATGTGTCTGGAGTTTCTTCCTTCCAGTGGGTTCGTGGTCTTGCTGACTTCAGGAGTGAAGCCACAGAGACTCGCAGTGAGTGTTACAGCTCTTAAAGGTAGTGCAGACCCAAACAGTGAGCAGCAGCAAGATTTATTGTGAAGAGCAAAACAACAAGGCTTCCACACCACAGAAGGGAACCCCAGTGGGTTGCTGCTGTTGGCTCAGGTGGCCAGCTTTTATTCCCTTATTTGGCCCTGCCCACATCCTGCTGATTGGTCCATTTTACAGAGTGCTGATTGATGCGTTTGCAAACCTTTAGCTAGACACAGAGTGCTGATTGGTGTGTTTTTACAGAGTGCTGACTGGTGCGTTTACAATCCTCTAGCTAGACAGAAAAGTTTTCCAAGTCCCCACTGGACTCAGGAAGTCCAGCTGGCTTCACCTGTCACTCTCACTCTACTCTCTCCTGCTACCTGTGAAGAAGGTGCCTGCTTCCCCTCCCGCCATGATAATAAGTTTCCTGAGGCCTCTCCAGCCATGCAGAACTGTGAGTCAATTAAACCTCCTTTGTTTCTTTATTTTTTATTTTATTTATTTATTTATTTATTTATTTATTTTGAGACAGAGTCTCGCTGTGTCGCCCAGGCTGGAGTGCAGTGGTGTGATCCTGGCTCACTGCAAGCTCCGCCTCCCAGGTTCACACCATTCTCCTGCCTCAGCCTCCCAAGTAGCTGGGACTACAGACACCCGCCATCATGCCTGGCTAATTTTTTGTATTTTTAGTAGAGACGGGGTTTCACCATGTTAGCCAGGATGGTCTCCATCTCCTGACCTCAGGTGATCCATCCGCCTCAGCCTCCTAAAGTGCTGGGATTACAGGCGTGAGCCACCACACCCAGCACCTCCTTTATTTATAAAGTACTCAGTCTCAGGTGTTTCTTTACAGCCTTGTGAAAACAGATTAATACATTCTCATATACTTTAAATCATCTTTAGATACAACACCTAATACCATGTAAATGCTATATAAATAGTTGTTACACTGTATTATTTGTATTAGTTTTTATTGTTGTATTGTTATTTTTATTGTTCTTTTAAAAATATTTTCCATCTGAGATTCATTAAATTTGCAGATGTGGAATAACCCATAGATACAGAGGGCTGACTGTACTGAAATTTTCTCATTTATGTTTCTCCAAAACTATGTGATTTAAGAAATGAGGAAAGTGTTTTACAGATGAAGAAACTGAGGCAAATTAAATAATAAACACATTAAATAATTTGCCTTCAGTCAAAAACATGATGTGACAGGAACAAATAAAAGTATGGAAAGAGACAGTCCTTCTTGGAAAGTGTCCTCATGTTGCTATTTTTTAGAATATTGTTGTTAAGGACCTGGTTTATCACTTCTTAACAGTAGGAGTCATGTAAACATGTCAGTCCCCCATGAAACTGTGACCTCTACCAGGACACTTATTTTCTCTTATTCATGCTGCCAACAACCCCCATCCCCACAGTATGTTGTATATCTTAGTCCCTTAGTAAATGTTTACTGAATAAGTAAAATACTATGAAGCAATTCTGCCAAATCTTCCTTTGATAGCCCTCAATTCGGATTCTTTTTTCCACCATCCTGTCAGAGGTGTTGGAACCAGAGTGACTCCATTTTGAATAGGGGCTGGGTAAAATAAGGTTGAGACCTGCTGGGCTGCATTCTAGTAAGCTAGGCATTCTAAGTCACAGGATGAGACAGGAGGTCGGCACAAGATATAGGTCATAAAGACCTTGCTGATAAAACAGGTTGCAGTAAAGAAGCTGGCCAAAACCCACCAAAACCAAGATAACGATGAAAATGACCTCTGGTCGTCCTCACTGCTCATTATACAGTAGTTATAATACATTGGCATGCTAAAAGACACTCCTACCAGCACTATGACAGTTTACAGATGTCATGGCAGTGTTCGGAATTTACCGTATATGATCTAAAAAGGGGAGAAACCCTTACCTCAGGGAATTGTCCATGCCTTTCCCAGGAAACTCATGAATAATCCACCCCTTAGTTAGCATATAACCAAGAAATAACTATAAAAATTGGGCAAACAGTGGCCCGTGCCTCTGTTCTGCCTGTGGAATGCTTTTTTTTTTTTTTTTTTTTTTTTTTTTTTTTGAGACAGAGTCTCTCTCCGTTGCCCAGGCTGGAGTGTGGTGGCACGATCTCGGCTCACGGCAAGCTCCGCCTCCCAGGTTCACCATTCTCCTGCCTCAGCCTCCCGAGTAGCTGGGACTACAGGTGCCCGCCACCACGCCTGGCTAAACTGGGCTAATTTTTTGTATTTTTAGTAGAGACAGGGTTTTACCGTGTTAGCCAGGATGGTTGTGATCTCCTGACCTCGTGATCCACCTGCCTTGGCCTCCCAAAGTGCTGGGATTACAGGCGTGAGCCACCATGCCTGGCCCTGAATAGCCATTCTTTTATTCCTTTACTTTCTTAATCAACTTGCTTTCACCTGATGGATTCACCTCGAATTCTTTCTTGCACGAGATCCCAGAATCCTCTCTTGGAGTCTGGATCAGGACCTCTTTCCTCTAACAATCCCACTACCACCACTATCCCAGTAAGGAGCAATTTAGGTAGAAAGTAGTAAGGAAGTTGTACAATGATAAGATCTCAAGGACTCTGCAAGTCTCTTAGCCAGTGATGCAACGAACAAAATTATTGACCCAGTAATCATTGTTTCCTTTCTGGTTTGGTCATAGCTGGGAAGAGCCAACCAACCAAATATGAATAAACCAAGGACAGATACAACCATTTAAGGGGAGAGTCAACCGTGCAGAACCCTTGCACCCCTGCGCGCCTTCCTCCAGCTCCACTCTACATACCTCAAGACAGAAATGTATAACCTTAAATACATAGATTAGAAAAAATACAGGCTAAAATCAATTATCTATTCATCTCAAAAGGCTAGAAAAAAAAGACAACTCCATTTCCTCAACTCAGAGAAAATGGAAGACTGGAAATAGTTAAGATAAAGACAGAAGAAGATAAAAAATCCAAAAGCACAGTATAAAAAGTGATATTATAAAAACTTTATGCCTATATATAAAAATTCAATAGAAGGGAAAAATTCCTGGTAAAATGAAAACCTATCAAATAGCTAGAAAAATGTTAAAAATCTGAAAAATTATGTATCTTTCAAAGAAATTGAGTATTGTAAACCAAAAAGTGTCGGAGACAGGTGTCAATCAATTTAGAAGTTTATTTTGTCAAGTTATGGATCATGACCCATGACACAGTCTCAGGAGGTTCTGAGCATATGCACCTGGGGTGGTTGAGTTACAGCTTGGTTTTAAATGTTTAAGACATCAATCAATACATGTGAGGCTTATATTGATTCAGGCTGGAAAGGCAAGACAGCTCAAAGTGGAGGAGTGGGGGTGATAGGTCATAGGTGGATTCAAAGATTTTCTGATTGGCAACTGGCTAAAAGAATTAAGTTATTATCTAAAGACCGGGAATCAACAGAAAGGAATGTTTGAGTTAAGATAAGGAGTTGTGGGCCGGGCGCGGTGGCTCACGCCTGTAATCCCAGCACTTTGGGAGGCCGAGGCGGGCGGATCACGAGGTCAGGATATCAAGACCATCCTGGCTAACATGGTGCAACCCCGTCTCTACTAAAAATACAAAAAATTAGCCGGGCGTGGTGGCGGGTGCCTGTAGTCCCAGCTACTCGGGAGGCTGAGGCAGGAGAATGGCGTGAACCCCGGGGGGCGGAGCCTGCAGTGAGCTGAGATGGCGCCACTGCACTCCAGCCTGGGCGACAGCGAGACTCCGTCTCAAAAAAAAAAAAAAAAAAAAAAAGATAAGGAGTTGTGGAGACCAAGGTTCTTATTATGTGGATACAGTCTCAGAGGTGGCCATCCCTCTGAGGCTGCCAGTAGATGGCAAATGTTTTATATTCAGACCTTTAAAAGGTGCGAGACTCTCAGTCAATCTCTTCAGGATCAGAAAAAGACCTAGAAAGGGAAGGGGGTTCTCTATAGTGTGTAAATTTTCCCCACAAGAGACAACTTTGCAGGACCGTTTCAAAATATTCAAAGAAATATATTTTGGGGAAAAATACTTTGGTTTCTTTTAGGGCCCTGCTGTCATGTGATAGCATCTATTATGCTAGACGGACTATTATGCTAGATGGACTGACTAGAGTTAGGTTGGAATTTGGTGTCTTATTGCTACAAAGAGCCTGTTCTGTCTTAGGATCTCCATTTTAATGTTAGTGCTGATCGGTCATGTGCCTGAATTCCAAAGGCAGGCGAGTATAATGAGGCATGTCTGACCATATCCCATTCTCCTCGTGGTCTGAACTAGTTTTTTGGGTTTAGTTGGGCCCCCTTAGCTGAAAGGATGATCCATTCAGTCAGCTGCGGGGCTTAGAATTTTGTTTTTGGCTTACAGTCTGTAACTAAAAATCTTCCAGCACAGAAACATCCAGGCCCAGATAGCTTTAGCATCTAATATTTAAAAATGTAAAAAAAAGACGTAACACCAATCTTATACATTCTTCCAGATAATTGAAACTTTGTAACTTTTAAAATAATACAAGCATAACCTTCATGCAGATGAGGACAGTATCACAAAGGAAAATTATAGGCTGATATCATTCATGAACTTTGATACAGTATCTTAGATAAAATATAAGAAAAAATAAGTAAACAGCAATATAAAAAGGAATAATACATTATAACCGAGTTGAGTGTATTTGAGAAATGCAAGGTTGGTTTAATGTTTAAAAATAAATTCATTTAAATCACATCATTAGCATAATTCAGAAAATTATGTAGTCATAATAGATGCAGAAAACATTTGATAAAATGCAATATTCCTTCATGATACTAAAAAAATCACTTGGCAGAGTAAGCAGAGAAGGAAATTTTTTTAATCTAAGAGAGGGTATGTATCAAAATCTACAGCAAATATTACACTTAATGGTAAAATATTGAAAACATTCATCTAGAATCCAAAACATGAACAGGCACATCTGTCAACATTTTGCTGGTGACCATCCTACTTAATAAGGAAAGGGACAAAAAAGATATACATATTAGAAAGGAAGAAAAAGGCTACTTATGACTTTATACTTAGAAAGTCTCAAAAAATCAACAGCTTCACTACCCAAATTAGAAACTGGATTCAGCAGAGTTGCTGGATATAGGACTAATATATAAAAATCAAGTGCATTTAACAAACATGTATTGAGCACTTTCTATGTACTAAGGACTGTGGCCACAGCTTAAAGAGACTTAGAAACGATTTCTTACAATACAGAGCGATAGGTGCTATTATGGAAGAATGCAAAAGGCAAAACAGCAAACCTTTTTAAGTCAAGCTTAGAGGGCAGGGAAGGCTTCCCTGAGAAGGTGATTTTTAAGGCATATGTTGAAGGATGAGCAGAAATCTCCCAGGTGATGAAAAATGCATAGAAAAGACACCAAGTAGGCAGAAGAGAATGTGCAAAGGCATAAATCAAAGTGCAGATTGGAAAAGTAAGCTACCTTCTTACCAGTCTGTGACAAATGTGAGCCTCTACCAGGTGATTCACAGTAGGCACTCAATAAACATTTGGCAGATGGATTCATGGTGAGTAAGAATTCCCTTAACCAAAGTCCACCCAGCCAGTGTTCTAGATTAACTAACACCATTTATTCCCCCTAAAGTATACTAATGGCTTCCCAGAGCACTCTGAATTCAAAGATAGTAAGCAATACACCCTTGCTGAGATGGTTAATTTTATGCATCAATTTGGCTGGGCCATGGGATGTCCATATATCTGATTAAACATTATTTCTGGGTCTGTCTCTGAGGGTGTTTCCAGAGGACATTAACATTTGAATTGATGGACCAAGTGCTTTAGCTTCAACATTGATCTTCTCCATTCTCTGTTCTCCTACAAAGGAATTTTACCAAGAAAACTTTTAGCAAAAGGAGCCAGACAGGAACGAAACCATACAGTATAACATTTACATAAAGTTCACAAACAGGCCAGGCACGGTGGCTCACGCCTGTAATCCCAGCACTTTGGGAGGCCAAGGCGGGCGGATCACAAAGTCAGGAGATCGAGACCATCCTGGCTAACACGGTGAAATCCCGTCTCTACTCAAAATACAAAAAATTAGCCAGGCGTGGTGGCGGGCGCCTGTAGTCCCAGCTACTTGGGAGGCTGAGGCAGGAGAATGGCGTGAACTTGGGAGGCGGAGCTTGCAGTGAGCCAAGATGGTGCCACTGCACTCCAGCCTGGGTGACAGAGCGAGACTCTGTCTCAAAAAATAAAACAAAAAAAAAAGGTCACAGACAGACAAAACTAGTCTGTGGTGTTTTAGGTCAAGACAGTGGTTATCTTTGAGTAGAAAGTTCAGGATAGTGATGGGAAGGGCTCACAGGTGGGGGCCTCTCAGGTGCTGGCAATATTCTATTTATTGGTCTGTTTGGTATTTACATGGGTATTTCCTTCACTTTGTGATCATTCATTAACCGTTTTTTCTGATTAGAAAAAAAAGTGCAGCTTCCTGCCAGCCTTCTTTGAATTTTACATAAACACATTCTTTGAGGCTGAAACAAATCTGACTGATTTTCAATAGAAAAATAAAATATAAAAACTGTTCTTCTTGGAGTTGTTTCTAAACAGAATTAACATCAGAACTGTCTGAATCAGGAGAATCATCTATTTCGGAAAAATTGGATTTATCAAATGAATCTTCGGCCAGCAAGTGTTGGAGAATGATGTTAACCTCACACATAGGAATGCTACATTTTCTAGGATTTGACATTTTCAGTGACTGAGAATTACTATATTTTCTAAATGGAAATATCACTACTAAAAACAGAAGCTATAAATACAATGATTTTGTATTCAAAGCTGATACACTAGAGCAATGCAATAATAATAATAAAAGCAAGATATTTTGTCGCAAAGTTATCTCAGGATAATTGCTGCAGCCGCCAGTGCCGCTGGTAGTATTCTCGGGAAAAACGAGAAAAGGGTTAAGCTGTGTACACTGAGGACTGGTATACTTTTCTGAATGTGTGTGATAGAGACAGGAAGCAGCCAAGGGTCCCCGGCGAAACTCTGCCTTCAAGTCTAAAACAGCCTGACGACTGAAAAACTGGACTTCTGGTCCTGGATGAAGCCTGCCCTTTCTGGACTGATTCTTTGTGAATAATGCTTACCTGCACACTGGGAGGATGGGGTGGAGCCTCGGAAAGTTCATGCCATTTGAGATGGGAATGGGCCTGGCCTGGCCTGGCCTGGCCTGGCCTGACCTGTTCCTGTGTGGTGACCTGGGATTCAATCTGTGAGGCAGGAAACCTGCTAGCAGGACTCTATCTCGCTTTACTGAGAGTTTTGTTTTTTTTTTCCTTTTTGCCCAATAAATTTCATTTTCCTCACCCTTCTATGTGTCTGCGAGCCTCATCTTTCCTGGCCATGTGACAAGAGCCTGGTTTTAGCTGAACTAAGGAGAAAGTTCTGCAACATCTGGTGCACTCTAATTAAACATTTTATTAAAAAACAATTACAACATTTGTCATACCGCTTTCAATATTATCCTCTACTATGCCTAAGGGGGGCTTTCTGAGACTCTGTCTTTATATCTCCTGGTGAAACAAAGGTGGCAAAGATGGCTGTCAAGCAAACCTGCACTCCCCTTCATGGGTACACAGATCAAGCTCAGAACTGACGGCCAGCTAGGGACTACATTTCCCAGCCTCCATTGCAGCCTTTCTGACCATAACTGGTTTTCATTAATAAACAAAGGGATAAGTGTCACTCTGGGCCAAAACTTTCAAGAAACAAAACAAGTATTCCTCCGCATACCATCTTTTCCTTTTCAGCAGCTAAACGCAGACAGTGATGGAGATACAAAGTCATAAGAGAGAAGAGGCCTGACTTGCTACATGGAAGAGAGCTGTCTGCTGACCAGGGATACCTAACTTGAGTGGTTATATGAGCAAATGAAAACTTTCGTCATGCTGAAGTCACTAAATTTGGGGCTTCTGTTTATTCACAGTAGCTTACGCTATCCAAAATTACTTTCCTGGTATTTCTCTAGGGAAAAATTTGAATTTTCTTCTCTTTTCTTTTTTCCCCGTTTCTTCCCCCAACCCCTCCCCCCTCCCCCCTCCCCCTCCCCCCTCCCTCCTCCCCCTTCACCCCATCTGTCTCTCTCTCTCTTTTTTTCTCTCTTTCTCTCTCTCCTTTCCTTTCTTTTTATACAATTTTTATTCAGGTGACAGTTGATTTTGATTTTGTTACTACCACTGTGTTACATTTTTCTAAGATCTGATTTATAACAGTTTGCAAACTCTTCTGTCATGTCTAATCTGCTATTTAATTCATTGATTTAATTTATTTCAATTACTTTACCTTTTATGTTTCCAGAAGTTCTACTTGGTTCGTCTTTGAAACTGCCAGATCAGTTTTTTAAGAGTTGCTTATTTCCAGAAGAAGATACTTCTAATCATGTATTTTAAAAAATATATATATAGTAGAGAACAGTTGTTTTATTATCTCTTTTTGGTAATTCCAATATCTAAACACTTTTGAGTCTACACCATCAGTCGTTTCTGCTGCTTCTTGGTCATGGTACCATATTTCCTGGTGTGCTCAGTTAGTTTTGTTGTAAATACTCATTTTCCTTGGAAAATTTTTTGTGAAACTTCTTTGAAACGGAGGAAAAGATAATTTGCTTTTGCCTCAGCCAGGTGTTGGGGGCACTACTAACTAATTCTGGACCATTTTTAAATGAATTAGCAAATCAAGTTGTAACTGACAACCAGGTGTTCTGGATGTGTTTGGGAAATCCACACAAGGGAAAGATTGTGATTACAACTTCCTAGGGATAGTTTTCACCTGTTCTGTTCAATGCCAAACAAACAAACATTTCCCTGCAGTCCCCTGGAACTAGAATGGAAAATTTACATCTAATTCACTTTCCCTTAAGGGTTTGACTCTTAGGGATCCCCGTTTTATGATAGAAGCATCTTCTCTTAGATGTGCACTTTGAGCAGTCTTTTGAGTTTGTTTGTTGTTTCTAGTTTGAATACCCTTCAGTTACAAAGAATGTTTACCTATTTGCCAAATGCCCTCAAGGATAACGTTGCTTCAAGGCTCTGCTTACTTCTCTCAGATCCTTTAGACTGTGGCCTCCTAATCTCTTACAACCTGGTCATTTCTTTGATGCTGTTAAGCATAATTTTTAATGAATATGTTCTCCATAAATTTTAGGTTTTAGCAGGAGAATTGGTCCTAATAACATAACCTGCCATAATATTAGAAAGCACTAAATAAAGATTCTTGGGGAAAAACAGACAAACAATAAGAGAAAATCTAATATTGACCTGAAATTTAAAGTTCTAAACTATGTCTTAAAACATAGGAGTTAGAGGACAGGGTGGAGGGAGAAAATAAAAATATTCTAATTAGCATTGGGGAAGTAGGTCAGTAAGAAAGCATCTTAATGGGGAAAGGTGGGAGTTTTGTACTTCTGTAGAATAGTGGAAAATATACATGATTAGGAGAGTCAAACATGAAATGCCACTAGCAGAATGAAAAAAATACAGTCGTATTTTCAAAAGATAAGAAAAAAATAGAATGAATGACAAAATCAGCTACAAAATAAAACTAAATAAAGGAGAATCACAAAGTAAATAAATATTAAACATAAAGATGGGCCTAATAAAATTAAGTATCATATGTTAAAGTAAATGTGGATAGAATGAATTATCCCATTAAATAACTAAGACTGTCATATTGAGTTAAAAAACAAAACCCAGATATATGCTGTTTATAAGGAGAATTCTTAAAAATGGAAAAGAAATTTTGAAAATAAAAGGATAAACAGAGAGATGTCAAGCAAATGCAAACAAAAAGAAAGCAGGAGTGACAATATTAATATCACACAGGGTGGAACTTAAGGTTAAAAGCACTAAACAAAATACAGAGGAACATTGTGTAATAATAAAAGACAATTTATGAAGAAGAAACAATAATCATAAAGCTGCATGTCCTATAAAAATATAGCACCTAAGTATACAATATTATTAGAGGTTCAAATAATTTTTGGCTTAAAAAACAACTATCATGAAACAGTTCCAATGATTTTTCCTTCTGAATCAGATGGTTCTGGTATACCAAAAAAAAAAATAAAAAATAAAAACTAAAGTTATTTGGGCACAAAAGAACTAAGGAATATATAAAGACATATATGTTTTCCCTCATGTCCATAGACCCTCTACTGAAATCAATTACATAATTGGCCACAAATAAAGCTTACAAATTCAAAGAGGCAGAGTGTTTTTAGGCTATATTACCTGAATATAATCCAATAAACTTAGTTAGAAATAAAGAATATGAGTGGAAAAAACCTTTAATAGTTGGAAATTAGGAAACATACTTCTAAATAACTCTTGGAACAAAGAAATAGGAAATCAAAATTGAAAACACAAGCTAGCTGGATAAAAAAAAAAAAAAGAATATATCATACCAAAATATGTATAGCTGTAGAAGCTATCCTGAAAGGAAAATTAATAGCCCTAAATGCTTTTATTAGTGCAGGTAAGAATTAGAGCTAATTTATTTGAAAATAGAACTAGAAGAAAAGTAATAAATAAATCAACAAGTTTGATTTGGGGGTAAGAAGAAACAATAAAATAGGCAAACTTCTAGCAAATGCAATCAGGGAAAAAAGCAAAACTAAAGAAAGTAAAATTAAAATCAAGACATGGAACATAGTAACAAATGCAGAGGGTAAGTAAATATCACATTCCAATCAATCCATACGATTTCTAACTGATGAAATTCATCATGATTTGAAAACTGTGAAATCACTAGAATGTTTCTCCCCAAAGCCCTGTAAACCTGAATAGATTAGAAGGAACTGAAAAGATGTTGAAAAGATGTTCAAAGAATTTACCATCTAACAAGATTCAGGGCTAAAAATGTGTCAAGAAGAGAGCCAATGTACTAAAGACCAAAAATATTTAAGACTATATAAACATTTCAGGGTCCTGATCCATTATTTAAATTTAAAAAAAACTAATTATTGTAGCAGAAAAGAGAAATTATAGGCCATTCTAATGTATGAAGTTTAAAAAATCCTCAATCAAATACTCAGAAAAAGAATTCATCAGAAAATTAAAAGAATGCTCTTAACAAGATTTAGCTAAAGGACATAAATGATTTAATACGAAGAAATACAATAATTAAATGCACCGCACTTTTTTTCTCAACAGTCATAAGGCAATCACAAATTCACACGATAACTAATAAAAATAGAAATAAAAACTATTAATAAAGGAAACTTACTTTAATTGTAAATTATAAAATGCTGTGAGGGGTCTTTTAGAAGTTCATGAAAATGCATATTATGAAAAAACTTTGCATGGATTTCAAAATTTTTTTGCACCACGATAAACTCATACTAACTTGTTATAACATGTCTGAATAAGATCCACTGTGAGGCACTAAGATGAATATGACATCAATTTGAAAAGTCCTTATCAGAACAACATGAATTCTGCTAAAATTGAGGCAAGAACAAAATCAAATTTATGGTAAAGCTTTTGTAGAAGAATAATGAAAAATAGTTGATTCTTTATGAAAAGTTTACGGGGACAATGCCCCAAAGAAAACAGCAGTTTACGTAGAAGAGCTTGCTATAAGAAGAGACAAGACAATTATGAAGATGAAGAAAGCAGCAGCAAACCATTCACATCAATTTGTGAGAACAAAAATTAATCTAGTTCATGCCCTAATTGAAGAGGACTGATGATTAACAGCAGAAATAAGAGCCAACACCATAGACATCTCAATTGGTTCAGCTTATATAATTCTGACTGAAAAAGTTTACCAAACTTTTCACTCAATAGCTATCAAAACCATTGTGCCTAGGTCAACTGTAGACAAGAGCAGAGCTTTATATAGAAATTCCAAATTAGTGGGATCAAGATGCTGAAGCATTTCTTTAAAGCATGTAACAGGAAATCAAATATGGCCTTCCTAATACTATCCTGAATACAATAAGCAATCAAAGCAGTGGCTACCAAGAGGTAGAAGTGGTCCAGTCAAAGCAGAAGCGGACGGACGGGTCAAGAGCAAGGATCGTGGCCAAGGATTTTGTGGGATGCTCAAGGCATTTTGCTTGCTGATTTCTAGAGAGCCAAAGAAAAATAACACTTGCTTATTATAAGAGTGTTTTGAGAAAGTTAGCCAGATCTTTAGCAGAGAAACACCCAGGTAAGCTTCCCCAGGAGAATCCTTCTCCACCACGACAATGCTCCTGCTCACTTGTCTCATCAATCAAGGACAATTTTGCAGGCATTTCGATGGGAAATCATTAGGCATCCACTTTACAGTCCTGATTTGGCTCCTTCTGACTTCTTTTTGTTTCCCAATTAAAAAAAAAATCTTTAAAAGGCACCTGTTTTTCTTCAGTTAATAATGTAAAAAAGGCTGCATGGACATGCTTAAATATCCAGGATCCTCAGCTCCTTAGGGATGGACTAAATAGCTGGTATCAGCACTTTAAAAAGTGTCTTGAACATGATGAAGCTTATATTGAGAAATAAAGTTTGTATTTTTTTATCTTTTAATTTTATTTTCCACAAACTTTTCAAAGTACCCTTGTATGTAAGGATTACTACCTTCATGTTACTTAGTGCAAGTCTCTACATTTGTGGTGGGTGGCCAGTAAATGTTCATCCAATTGAACTAAATGCTTAGTGCCAAATGAATGGTCTATGCAGTAAACAGTCTACAGTTTCAGAGGAGAGAAACTCACTAAAGCCTGCATTGGTCAGGCATGGGAAAAGAGGTTAGATTCAGCATCATTTCCATTTACAAATCCAAGAGGAAGGCATTCCCCAAGGAGGGGATGTCAGAAGCACAAAATTCAGAGTAACGGAATTAAGAAACAGTTTTAAGACTGTTATTTATCCTGCCAGCACAGGGAGCCATTGACATTTTTGTCAGGGGTGTGAAATGTACCAAGTTCTATTTTAGGGATATGCATTTGAAAGGAGTATGGATTCAAACACAAACGGGCAGTATGATGTATTAACAGTCTATATTGTAACAGTTCAGATCAGGCCCAGTGTTCTATAGAACAGTGAAATGTACCAAGTTCTATTTTAGGGATATTCATTTGAAGGGAGTACGGATTCAAACACAAATGGGCAGTATGATGTATTAACAGTCTATATTGTAATAGTTCAGGTCAGGACCAGTGTTATATAGAAGAGGGAATTGGAGAGAAGGGATAGGTTCTGCTCTGTGAAAAGCCTATACATTAGTCCTCCATTATTCAAAGTTTCTCTTTCTGCAGTTGTCACTTAGTAGCCCTCTCTGTTATCAGATCTATTGCCACAATATTATGGAACTTGTACTCAAGTAACCCTTATTTGACTTAGTAATGACTCCAAAGCACAAGAGTGGTGATGCTGGCAATTTGGATATCCCAAAGGGAAATAATAAAGTGCTTCCTGGGCTGGGCATGGTGGCTCATGCCTGTAATCCCAGCACTTTGGAAGGCTGAGGCGGGCAGATCACCTGAGGTCAGGAGTTCAAGACCAGCCTGGCCAGCATGGTGAAACCTCATCTCTACTAAAAATACAAAAATTAGCTGGGCATGGTGGCTGGTACCTTTAATCCCAGGTACTCGGGAGGCTGAGGCAGGAGAATCGCTTGAACCTGGGAGGCGGAGGTTGCAGTGAGCCGAGATTACGCCACTGCACTCCGGCCTGGGCAACAGAGTGAGACTCTGTCTCAATAATAATAATAATAATAATAATAATAATAATAATAATAATAATAATAAATAAATAAAGTGCTTCCTTTAAGTAAAATGTGACCTTGGCTAGGGTCTGTTACTATCCATAGTTTCAAGCTCCTGCTGAGGGTCTTGGAAGGTATCCCCAGAGGATAAGTGCAGACTGCTACAGTGTCCTTCCCCACCCCAAATCCCTGACTTCATTTTTCTACATCAGTTCAAAGACATGCACCTGACACCTTCCTCTCTCTGCTTCTCCACGGCCACACCATCGTCAAGTCTTGTTGATTTTACATCTTAACTCTCTCAAATCATCTGCTATGTCTCTTTGTTGCCACCGCTTGCATCCTTTCCCATCTGGACTGTCATAAGTTCTCAGCTGCTTTTCCACATCTTCTCCAGCCCCCTTAAAATCTGTTCTTCAAATCAAACATTGGATGATTTTAACTGAAATTATAATATTCCCTTTCTCTCTCTGACACACGCGCGCGCGCACACACACACACACACACACGTACCCTACAGGTTAAGTATCCCTTATCTCAAATGTTTGGGAGAAGAGGCATCTCCAATTTTGGATTTTGAAGTACTTCCATATACATAATAAGGTATCTTAGGGATGGAACTCAAGTCTAAACATAAAATTCCTCTGTGTTTCATATACACCTTATCCACCTAGCTTGAAAGTAATTTTATAAAATATTTTAAATTATATTTTGTGTATGAAGCCAAGTTTGTGTACATCAGACCATCGGAAGGCAACCTCAGCCACCCATATGGTTCTACGTGAACACTCAAAGATTTGGATTTTAGAGCATTTTGGATTATTTGGGTTAGGGATGTTCAACCTGTACTAGTATGCTGTAGCTAGTAGTTGCCAGTAACTAGTCATTGAGCTGCTAGGATATCCAGGCACAATTGTAGACATCGAAAACAGCAATTTTCCTTGCCCCACAGAGGTACTATCTAGTACAGCAGGCAGAAAATAAAGAAAAGAGTAAAAAAACCAATTCAGTTATGAATAAATATTAGCATGAGCAATCAAGCAGGATCAAGAGATAGAGCAGGATGAGGAAAATTCTTCGGGCCTGGGGAGCCAGGGGAAGTTTCCATGAGTGGTACATTTGAGCAGGTGTTGATTAAATACTTAACAATGATGTAGGGAAGGATGGAAAGAAGAAAATTGGGGGCTACAGCACATCCACCTTCGCATGCTGACTGTGGTTTCACAAGGGATTTACCTGATTTTTGGAAGAATTTTAAACCTGCAGCTTGATTTCAATCACTATAACTTCATTTATGCTGTAAGCACTGAGAAGATAATAAACATTCTCCCAGGAATCAAGTGATCAGGTTTGTCTGGTTAATTTTAGAATGCTAAAAAAAAAGTTGGACTGCAAGAATAGGAACTATATTGGAAACTACATTCTCAAGGAGACCTTTTTTTAGGTAAATAAAAGTCACTTGGCTCTTAGTGACTGTATTACACATAGTTTCCTCAGATTTTTCTAGTACTAAACCCTGTGGAAATATATATAACTGACTTAGAAAAATAAAATGTGGCTCTTATTCTGCCTGTCCCTTTGTTGCTGTTGGTTTTTCCACTTCTAGAAGCTTTCATAAACAATTCTCAGGGCAATTTAAATTAGAGAAAGAGCCTCCAGCCTCTGGACCACACCTCAGCTTTCAGTGTAATTCTAGAAAACATGTCACAGTCCAAATAAGAAAATTAACACATTGTCCCCTATTAAAGCCAATTTTTGCCTAAATAAATGAAATATGAACATTTTATGTCCAAATGTCTTGGGAATTTTAGAAGATTACCCATTGTACAAAATAAGACCTCTTCTCAAGAGAGTTGGCTTTCTGGTATATAGATAACTTCATAATAAAACTCAGTATCCTATTTTGACAGGATATCCCAAAAAAGATCCTTCACAAAGGTTACTCAAGTCCCAAGAGAGGAACCATAATTGGGGTTCAGTTAAGAAAAAAACAGGAGGCCAGGTGCAGTGGCTCACACCTATATATAATCCCAGCACTTTGGAGGCCAAGGTGGGTGGATCTCTTGAGGCCAGGAGTTTGAGACCTGCCTGGCCAACATGGCCAAACCTGTCTCTACTAAAATAAATAAATAAAAAATAAAAAGTATCCAGGTATGTTGGCACACACCTGTAAATCCCACCTACTCAGGGAGGCTGAGGCACGAGAATTGCTTGAACCCAGGAGGTGGAAGTTGCAGTGAACCAAGATCATGCCACTGTACTCCAGCCTGGGCAACAGAGCGAGACTCTGCCTCAAAAAAAAAAAAAAAAAAGAATGGTTGTGTTAAAACTCATTAATATAAGAAACTTTAGAGCTGTTGTAATCGCTTTGTAAAATGTGAGATGAATACCAAAAATGCCAGAAGCTTTGAATAAACCATTCCATGCAATAAAAAGGATTTTTTGCAAATGGAAATGCAAATGGGACAACAGAAAAAACTCCAGAGGTTGTTTGTTACAGATATGCAGCATTTCACAGAACAAATTTTACCTAAGAAACATGTAATCAAGGGGTGTGGAGAAGGGGGAAAAGGGTGATAAGTTTTTTCCATTTTAGAAGCAGGTCATTTTTTCAATTTAAATTTAGATTTT
Source organism: Homo sapiens (assembly GCF_000001405.40). Classification (NCBI taxonomy): domain Eukaryota; kingdom Metazoa; phylum Chordata; class Mammalia; order Primates; family Hominidae; genus Homo; species Homo sapiens. The sequence goes on along the minus strand of NC_000017.11, from coordinate 12,368,115 downwards.
TCTATTAATATATTATCAGTAGGAAAGCTATTCCAAAAATAATTTGAGGAACAAGTTGTAAAAGACTCCAGAGCCAATTAAAAAAAAAAGACTATTTTTTAAAAGACATCAAATAAGTTTGATTCTGGGAGTAATGAAAATGTTCCAAAACTGTGGTGATGGTTGTATAATTCTGGAAATATACTAAAAAACATTGAATTGCACACTATACGTGTTTTAAATTAGTCGATTGTATGGTATGTGATATATGTGTATATTTTACAGAGTTTTATTTTAAAATATTTGATTGACAGATAAAATGGTAAATATTCAAGGTGATGATTTGATAAATGTATACATTGTATATTGATTGCCACAATCAAATTGACGAACACATCCATCACCACACATAGTTACCATTTGTGGGGGTGCTCACCAGGGACACTTAAAATCTGTTCTGTTATCAAATTTCAAAGAAGCAATACAGAATTATTAACCATAGTCACCATGCGTACATTAGATCCAGAGCACTTATCTATCTTGTAGTTGAAAGTCTGCACCCTTTGACCAACATGTCCCCAGTTTCTATGTGGTCAGAAGCGAGGCTGGCCTGTGAGAATTTCAAAGAACCCAGATGCTTACGGGGACAGATTTTTAACAGATCCTTGCGTAGAGTAGACCTTGAGATGAATTAGGTAGGATCCAGGGACAGTGAATCTTTTCATCTCTTTTATTTTCCTGCTTTTCCATAAGTCTGCCCTCCACTGCACACCATTCTTTTCCACAGTTGTCAATGTTGTCTTGATGATCTAGTCTTCTAAATCGTTCACAGTATTGAATTAAATATAGCACGAACTACCTGTTACAATTTTTTTAGTTCTCGATTCTCTAGTTAAAACGCTTCGCTTGAAAAACTGCTTATCGGCTGGGAGTGGTGGTTCACGACTGTAATCCCAGCACTTTGGGAAGCCAAGGCAGAAGGATCGCTTGAGCCCAGGAGTTTGAGACCAGCCCAGGCAACATAGCGAGACCTCATCTCTAGAAAACATTTTCAAAAATCAACTGGGCACGGTGGCACGTGCCTGTGGTCCCAGCTACTGGGGAGACCGAAGTGGGAGGATGGTTTGAGTACAGGAATGTTGAGGCAGCAGTGAGCGGTGATCACGCCACTGCACTCCAGCCTGGGTGACAGACAGAGGCTTCATATCTAACAAAAAAAAAAAAAAAAAAAAGAAAGAAAGAAAGAAAGAAAGAAAAAAAGGAAAAGAAAGAAAGAAAAAAAACTTCTATGATTTTTATTTCCTGACTTTTAAAAATGAAAAACTATGTTGCCTTTTTTTTCTGAGCAATAATAGTGTGTGCATGTGTGTGTGTGTGTGTGTGTGTGTGTGTTTCAGGAAACTTCAAGAAAGGTGCCATATGAAACATCTCAGAGTTTGATTTTTTGTTAATCTATAAACATGTTAGTTGGGGAGTTCAGTCAGGAAAACAGAAACAGACAGGTCATTTTCTTGATTTAAACGATGTCAAAATTATTTCTGGGTCTCAGATATTTGCGAGGAATCATGAGTATTTGAGCTCTGGCCACATGAAACTCATTTCACATTATACTCAAACTTCATAGACATGGTTCCTCCTTAAATAGGACCATGCCTTTAAAACCCAGAGTTTCAGACTTAGAAAACAATCTCAACCAGAGGGAGAATTCTTGCGAGGTCAAGAGACTCAATGTCATAGACATCTATGGTAGTGAACTTCTTTCATAAATCTTTGCCATGTAAATGAAGTCACCAAGCTTACTGGAAAATGCAGCTGAAACCCCCTATTTTATAAGATTGTGGTAGATTTGTTGGAAGGGGAATATGAGGCTTACTCCTCTCCTTTCCTCCCTCCCTCCTCCATGTAGAACAAACTGGCTCCAGGAGAAGCACTCCCCAAAGGTCCATCATTTCGTGAAGGCCTTTTTTTTTTTTTTCAGGCATGAGCTCATCACTTTCAGTTAAATAGTAATAAATGATTTGTAAGGAGCAACTTACATCAGTCCTTATAAATAACCACCCACTGCTGCATTTGACTTCCTTGAAATGTTGAGTCAGAGGCTGGATGCGCACAGGGTACCAGCTCTGCAATCTCTCAGTCCCTTGGTGCCAGACAAGTTCGAGTAAGCCTCAGAGCCTGCCAAGGGGACAAGGGCACTGCCTTTCACAGATACAGAACCTCTTTAGGCCACTAAGCCCTGGGTAGAAAAGGCAAAGGCAGCGTGGACCATGTTCCTGGGGTCATTCAGTTGCCATAGACTTTTCCTATTGCTTCTGCCATCAGTAAGTAAACTCTAATCTCCTTTCTACTCTCAGAGCCCTTCATAAACCACCTTTCTCACAGGCTGCTCTCAAGAGTCCTCAGATATAAAGGGCAGACATTCTCATTGTCAGCTACTTTGGGGAAGGCACTTCGTATCCCATACTGAGCAGTAATGTGTGCCTCCCTTCTCTGCTGCTGAACTGTGCGGAAAGCGAGTGACCTTAGTTACAAACAGGGCTAGAATTCAAGGCTTTGAAAGGGCAACACATGGCTTTTCAACTTAACCTATCAGGCATTGACCCCAAATTTTTATCAAAAAGAATGACTTATTAGAAAGAAGGTAAAGAATGGAGGCTGAGCATCAAAAGAACTCGACTTGAGGTTTCTCTTCACCCTTTACTAACCAAGGCTCTCAGCAGTCTTGCTCCAACTTGGCCAAGACATGCAAGCCCTGGACACACAGTGTCCTCCACTGTCAACTGAGATTGTCTAAAATGCCCCTTGCGCCCATCTCACAGGCTTATAGAATCACATGAGAGTGCCAGCACACTTTGGATATATAAAGTGGTGTGCAAATGTTAGGTAGATAGACCACAAACCCACGTAGGATCTGAAGCTATTTCCAACACACAGATACAGAATTCGTAGCTCTAGACTCATAGTGCCCATCCTGCAGTAGATTGAATTATTAATCCCAATCCCGTATGCCTTTCTGCAACCATGGTCTTGACTATATAACTTTGCAATTCTTTCAACTAAAGGCAGAGTATGCTTCCCCTAGGATGACCAACTATCCTGGTTTTCCCAGGACTGAGAGATTTCTCAGGATGTGGCTTTCAGTGCTAAAAACCAGGGAAGTCCCTGGAAACTGGGATGGATTAGACTCTTCCACTTCTTGTATTTGGGCTTGGCCAAGCAACTTGCATTGGCCAATGAGATTCTAGCAAATATGACATGGCAAAGTTTGAAATATGTTTAGGTGGTGATATTTGAGCTCCTGCACTTCTGCCATTGCTATGAAAAGAACTTTCCTCCTCTGAGTAGCTGCTGTCCTTTCTACCTAGGTCCCAGAGTGAACATATATAAAACAGACCTAACTGTAACCTGCAGCCCAGATGGGCCAGTCTGGATATAGCTTAGATTAGTCAACTCCCAACAAACACACAGATATGTGAATAAGAATTAATGTTTGTTGTTTTAAGCCACTGGCTGTTGGAGTGATTTGTTACATAGCAGTAGCTAACTGATATATATCATGTTTCTTCTGTTCAAGGCCACCTTTTGCTTTCTCTGTTCTCAGCAATTTGCCCTGCATTTTTATTATTTATTTTGGGAATGATAGATAAGAGAGATGGTTTGGCTCTGTGTCCCCACCCAAATCTCATGTTGAATTGTAATTCACAATGTTGGGGGAGGGATCTGGTGGGAGGTGACTGGATCATGGGGGTGGATTTCCCCCTTGCTGTTTCCCTGATAGTGAGTTTTCACAAGACCTTATGATTTAGAAGTGTATGGCATTTCCCCCATCTCTCTCTCTCTATCTCTCTCTCTCTCTCTCTCTCTCTCTCTCTCTCTCTCTCTCTCTCTCCTGCTGCCATGTGAAGATGTGCTTGCTTCCCGTTCACCCCTGTGCCATGATTATAAGTTTTCTGAGGCTCCCCAGCCATGCCACCTGTACAGCCTGTGGAACTGTGAGTCAAATAAACCTCTTTTCTTCATAAATTACTCAGTCTCAGGTAGTTCTTTATAGCAGTGTGAGAACAAACTAATGCAATAAGTCATGTTTTGTGGCATAGACTTCTCAGCACCTCTCTGTCTACTGTACAGAAGAAAAATGCTAACTTTGTGATTATTTGTTTTATAAATTGGAAGAAAGAATATATTAATGGATGAGTGTAAACCTCAGACACTTGGTGGTGTTATGATATATTCCCCTCAAAGAAGTATTCTGGATATCAGAAAGTGAATTCTTACAATTTTCTGTTGCTGGGACATCCATTTCGAATACAGGTTTAACTTTCTCATAGCAGAAGCAGGCTCAGTCACCTCGGCAGTTTCCAGTTCTACATCACACCCAAATGGCTCGAACCAGTGCCAGACATAAGAACTCAGAAGCATTTCTTCCACCTATCAGCCTGGGCTACCCGCTTTCCCACTGCTTCCTTTAAAAGGACCATCTCAGCCTGGCGTGATGGCTCATGCCTATAATCCCAGCACTTTGGGAGGCTGAGGTGGGTGGATCACTTGAGGTCAGGAGTTTGAGAACAGCCTGGCCAAAATGGTGAAATGTCTCTACTAAAAATACAAAAAAATTAGCCGGGCGCAGTGGTGCACATCTGTAATCCCAGCTACTTGGGAGGCTGAGGCAGGAGAATCACTTGAACCCAGGAGGTGGAGGTTGCAGTGAGTCGAGATCCTGCCATTGCACTCCAGCCTGGGTGACAAGAGCAAAATTCCATCTCAAAATAATAATAAAAAAAGAACCATCTGGCATTTGTTCAAAAACATCAAGTGACCCACATCCTGCTCCCTCATATTTACTACCAATTGTTATGCATTTCTCTCTCTCTCTCTCTCTTCCTGACTCTTCATTCCTGCCTCCTGTGACCAAGGGAGGGAGGGAGGACTGCCCTCCCAACTCATTGCTTCCTCTCTGCCCAGGATCTGTAAGTAAAAATCTTTTAACATGTTTCCTATTGCGGTGGTGTACTGAATCTCTGCCTTCCACATGAAGAACCAGGGGCTGTCCCAGGCCAGGTTTTCCCCCAGGACGCTGAAGAGAACATGAGGTCAAGCTCCCAGCCGAGAGCAATGGTCAGGCAGGCATAAACTGGACATGGGTCAGACAAGAGCCACAAGGGCATCTGCCAATAAAAACAAGCTTCCCATGTGAGGGACCCCCTGGTCATGGGTCAGACAACTAAGCATTAGGCTGTCTGCCAGGTGAAAGAAATATCCGTGAAAGACAAACTGCAGACTCCAACGCCCATCTCCCCATCACTTCCCATTAGGGCAGGCTTGCTAGCCACTCTGGTACTGGAGATCCAATTTAACTAGAGGGTCTCAAAACACACGTCAAAGGAATAAGCTTGTGATTCCAAAAGAGTAGATGCTTAGAGACACGTCTGACCCCATGCTCCGTATCTTTTCAGAAACACCTATTAAATATAAAAATATGGAAAATTCCCATGAGTGCCAGAAGCTTTGGATAGGCATAATCATTTGTCCCTAAAATATTCATGTTCACTTAGATTTTTTAAAAATCTCTTTCTCCTCTTTTGCAGTGTAGAAAACTTTGTAATACTTGAGCTGCCCCTCTCTTATTATTTTTGTGATGTCAATTTCAGCTTTCTTAAAAAGTAAATTTCCGTAAGTCCTCCAATACCAAGCAGGCACACAATATAATTAATGATTATCATTATGTCATTGTTAAAATCATGCCTCTAATGTATATAAAATAACTTGGGTTATTCATGATATATTCAGAGGATATGTCAAATCAGTATGATCCTATTTGGGGGAACTATCTCTGTGTGCATATAGGCATAGACAAGTTACAGTTCAATGTGGTTAGTAGCTGGGCGCAGTAGCTCACACCTGTAATCCCAACACTTTGGAAGGCCAAGGCAGGCAGATCACATGAAGTCAGGAGTTTGAGACCAGCTGGCCAATATGAGGAAATCCCGCCTCTATGAAAAATACAAAAATTAGCTGGGCCTGGTGGCGCATGCCTATAATCCCAGCTACTTGGGAGGCTGAGGCAGGAGAATCTCTTGAACCCAGGAGGTGGAGGTTGCAGTGAGGCAAGATTGCGCCACTGCACTCCAGCCTGGGCGACAGAGCGAGACTCCATCTCAAACAAACAAGCAAACACAAAAAAAGTGGTTATCACTTGGTGCTACAAATGTATGTCATATTTATTTTCTTCTTTTCACATGACCTTGTTTAATTTTTCCAAAAATCATGAATTTATCATGTAGGAAAAAATCTAAAAAAAAACAAAGCATTTTAGAGAGTAATGCTTCACCTTTCTCTTCTCTTTCCCAAGACCCTCAGGGGCTGGAAACCCACCTGCTCATCTGCCTGCCGTGTCCCAGGCCAGTCCTCTCTCTGAAGCCCAGAATTCCATTTTCCTTGACCTTCCCAGAGTGACTCCTGAACTTTTACTCCATAGCCAGGCTGGGCCTAGACCTTAGGTTCCTCAGACTTCTTGATGGATGAGGAATGAGTCTGAGAAGGCATGAGGCAGATGGAGAGAGAAAAGAGAGGGTGGGTCCTGGGCCCTGACTCTGGGGTGGGCATTCAGGCCATGGAGATCCTATTGCCAAGGAATCAATCCAAGACCTTTGTTTCTTAAGGTGTGTGTGTGTGTGTGTCTGTGTCTGTGTGTGTGTGTAGGATTAATTCAGTGTCAGAGAAAATTGTTAACATTGGCTTTGTTTCTGGGTTGTTGGAGCCCTAACAAAGAGGAGAAAAATCTGTAAAGGCTCAGCTTAACTGTGTAAAGAAACACAAATTACAGGCATTTACGTGATCTGGTCACCATTCATTCGAAAAAGCCTCCCAGCACAATAACAATTATCCATTTTGTTAAATATGTGGATGTTGCCAGATTAACTCTGTTGTAAATTTTAATTAATTGCAACACAAAACTGTTGGCCTGTGCTCAGACATCACAGTTGGCTGTCCCTGAGGCATTATCATCTGCTCCCAACTTTGAGAAACTTCAGAGAACAGTGATTGTAATGGCAAGATGAGTCCAAATGCTTCAGACCACTTAATTGCTATTTATGTGATTATCACTACGGTAGTGACCCAGTAAATCTCCCCAAAATTTAAATAACAAGGCTGTACTAATTCTTCTTCAAAAAGCGAAAACACATTTCTTATTTTTTCTAGCATTTCTCTCAATTACTTATGGGTCATCATTTTGCACCAATATACCAACCAGATGGCTTATATTCATCTTATTTACACTATTTTTCCAGCCAAACAGTATTAATCCAACAGTATAAACTGATCGATGTAAACTTCTTGCTGCCCAAGACCTACAGCAGCCGATTCTCTTCCTTCTTGCCCCTGGTTGGGTCACCTCATGGTCCTCCATCCATCTGTCCAGTCTCTTCATCCTCAAACCGTTTCATGCCTCTCCAGTGTCTTCTCTCTTTTCCACTGAAGCCTTTGTGGGTGGTCTTCACAGCCCAGGCTTGGCATCATCTCCAGTTCAGAACATGTCTTTGTCTTGATGTGGGCTAGTGAAAAGACCATTTGCTGAAACAGAACCACCCACACATATGGAGAACGTGACCCAGCAGATGGATGATTCTGGAACTTAAAATGTCGATTGGTCCTTCTCTTATACATTTACTGCCGTCACAATGGTCATGCTAAGTCAATCAATCAATGCATATTTACTGAGAGGTTAAGAAGTGCCTAGGATTTTACTTGGACTGTAAGAAATACTAAAGTAGCATAGCCCCTTATCTAGAGAACTGTATATTTACTCGGGACAGAAGAACTTGGAGGCAGGGAGCAGGGGAATGAGGAGGGAATTAACCTGCAAGAAACAAATAGAGAAAAAAATAACACACATGCATGCATGTACACACACACACACACACACACACACACACACACACACACACACACACCCCTACCTCAGTCGGATTGGCCACACACACAGTAAGATACAGTGAAGTAGGACAGAGTGAGAGACAAGCAGCAGGTAATCTGAGTGAGCTGTCCCACAGCCCACATCGGTTAAGGGCATCTTGCCATCCTGCTTTCTTGCAACTGTTCCTTGTACCACCCATGCCCATCTTTTCCACTCAGCTTATAAACTCTTCCAAGGCAGGAGGAGCAGCTCGGATATTTTCCCCAGGCTCCAGTGTTATGAAGCCCAGTATTAGTCTTTTAATTCATTTCAGTACCAGCCCCATGCATAAATCCTCTCAAAACATCGTCTAATAGGTATTCTCTAAACAGAAAGAAATGAAACTCGAGCAGTCTTTAATTTGCTGATTTTTCCAAATCTTGCACACAGTTTATTGCAAAACAAGTCATTGAACTAGATCCTTTGTTAAACCTGCTTCAAATCTACTGAATTACATCTGGCTCCTTGTTTTGGACTTACAAAGAAGTAGCCAAATTATAATGTCCTTTCTTCCCCCGGCAAGAAAAGCAGCCATCAAATGAAAAGAAGGGAATACAGTGTTTGTTGAGGGCTGTGAGGAAACCCTTTTCCTAAATGTCCATTTTGGATGGCACTGGTTTCCTGTTTAAAATTTGTTTTCAAATGTAAATGTGAGCCCTAGAAAAAGTAATGTTATTATTATTTGAGGGGGAGACAGAATTCTTGATCAATTGTTCTGGCAGAGGAAAAGGAAAGGGGCAAGGAAGGGGAATTAAAGGAAATGACAATCCATCATGAAACGGGCCACGGGGAATGCAGCAAGTGAGGATGCTGTAGGGCGCTGAGACATCAAACATGACTGACCACTCAAAGGTCAACCACAAGACGCTTGGGAACTGGAGCAGACACTGAGAGCGTGTGCCCAGCCTCTTAGCAAGAGCCTGGAAAGAAAGGGGCTTGATAAAGAAGGGTCAGTCAAGAGGGGGGAGAAGCATTATGTCAATATTTAGACTACCACAGAGAGACAGTCGAAACCTGGAAGAGAGGGGTGGATTTGTGGTCCAGAAAGAAAGAATGAAGCCACCCGAGGCTCAGTGTGAGGAAGCAAGTAGGTTCGCCTGAGGCCGACTTGAACATTCTACATCTACACTAATGCCTTAAGTTACACTGAACAAGTTCAAATAATAATACTACAGGGTTAGTTTGTACCTCCGAGACTTCCACCTACTATAATACAATATTTTCTGTCTCACAACTAGCAATCTTCACTATCTTTAGAGAGGAAACTCCTAGATCCTTGGGTGGTGGAACTTGAGACATTGCAATTTGGGCTTCGCCTGAAGCCATTTCCTCCAAGAAGTGTCTGTTAAGAGTGCAAATAGCAGCAGCTGTGTCTATACACTGGTGATTATAGCATTACAACCACAGAGGACCCTGGGCTGCTCTGAGTAGCGTGTGCTGGGCGTCCTCAGACTGGCCAGCCGTCGTCGGAGAAGGGCCAGGCGCAAGAGCAAGCCACACAGGCCTTGGCAGCGCAGGCTGGCCACCCGGGGCAGAGCTCTGGAGGAATGAGCCTGTGATGAAACCACTATAAATCTCTGTTTAAAAATCCTTGTTAAGTTTTTTGTTTTGTTTTGTTTTGTTTAAATGTTGTTTAAACATCTTTGGTTCTGGAAGGGAGGCAGGCTCTTAGAAATCAGTTCTGAAGAAGTCCTTGACTGAAGCCGAGTGTGTCTGATGAAGTATTAGAATCTTGATAAAGAAAACATTAAACAGAAACTTAAGTGTTTAATGTAAAAACCTGGCAGCTGTGTGTTGCTTTTACTTAGTATCTACCTGCCGAGAGATGGAGGTTTTTCCCTTTGTTTTGGTTGGAAAATTCCTCTCTTTTGATTGGAAAAACATTGTCAGTGAGGTTCATTTTTTTTTTTCAGTATAGAGATCCATCTTTCTAACTGTCATGTGATCGGTTTGTATAGCTCAGAAAAAATGCACAGGCGATCTCAAAAACTCGGGAGCATAATTAAGGGCCAGTGAGTGTCTGCTCTGACTTACTTTTATCAGTCTAATGGAAAAATGCACCCATGGCTAAGAAAGAGAAAAACAATATAGACAGCTAGAAGAAGAAAATCAAAGCAGTGTAAAAGCTCATGATGCCAACATGACATTGAAGGTTGAAAGTCAGGAGTCCGTGTGTAGAACAGTGCCTGCTATACAGTAGATGCTCAATAAATGTTGAATGAAAGAGAGGTCGAAGCTTGAGAATAAGATAAATGATGTTATAGTAAGCCAATTCTAACTAGAAAAGTGTAACATTCTTGGAAAATGCTTTGCATATTTTTATATATAGAAATGCTTTCCAAACATTTTCATGTCAAGGCATACATGGGTAATAATACTAGGTTGGTGCAAAAGTAATTGCGGTTTTTGCCATTACTTTTAATGGCAAAATAATAGTACAGTGAGTTAGATAAAATGGGATTCACACAGACAAAGGCAACAAGCTCAGGAGCTGCAGCCTGGGCCCCTGCCACCACTCTAAAAGCTGACAATCAGTATCCTGGCAGCTCTCTGCTACCTCTGCACCACACCATTCATGCCTTAGCCCACTGTCTGGGGAGCTCTATGATGGCAGGTCTTGAGATCTCTGCTTTTAACTTTCATAGTGTTTCTTTCATAAAGAAATGCTTGACATACAGAGTGGAATAATAGACACAGGAGACTCCAAAAGGTGGGAGTATGGGAGGGGGGTGAGGAATGAAAAATTGCCTATTGGGTACAACATTCACTATTCAGGTGATGGGTGCACTAAAAGCCTAGACTGCACCACTATGCAACATACCGATTGATCAAAGCTGCATGTGTACCCCCCTAAATCTATAAAACTTTAAACAATATAAAATTTTAAAAAAGAATGACAATCTCTCCATGCTTGAAGCCTCATTACCACCTAATAAGAGCTTCTCCTAATTATAAACAAAGCATCTCAGAGGAAATGAGTTATCTCCCAATAAATCTCAAAACGTACTTGCCCCAATATTATTCTCACCATTTTCCCCCTACCACTCAATTTGCTGTACATAACACTTTTACCAAGAAGAACCATAGGATGCTTCCTTTTGTAACATTCTAAACTGTCCTTTCTGTTTTAAGTCTGAGATTTTTGGTTGGGGGCTTAGGCGATCACCTGTTCATGCCCAGTAGGTGTCAACTCTGGCAAACATGCTCACCAAACACCAGTTTTCTCTTCCATCTGGAGCACAACCAGCCTCTATTTTCTAGCAGCCTTTCTTGTAGTTAAAGTGATTCTGTGACTGGGTTCTCATCAATACAAAGTGAGTGATACTCAACTGACCACATCCAGACCCCCCCAAATTAAAAATCAGATGTTCCACCTCTCTGCTCTCTTTCCCTTTGTGTGAGCTAGATTGAGATGGCAAGATAGAACCAGCCTGGGACCCTGAATCACTGCATGGAGTAAAGCTGCCCACCAGTTGGAAACAACCACCTTGAACTGTTATGTGAGGGAAAGTAAACTTCTACTGTCTTTGAGCCATTGAACAATATGGGGTCTGTTTGTTATAGCATCTAGCATGATCCTAACTAATACAACTCCATGGCCATGGGTCTGTGCAGGCCCACTCTCAGAGTCACTTTAATTCATTGTTCCCTGGGCCTCTCACATAACAGCATTTCAGTCATTCTACCTTATGTCTTTTTATACTTCTTCAGATGTCCCGGACACAAGAACCCACTGCTCAGACCAACCACCAAGGGTGACTGCCACAATTGCCCCTCAGTTACCTGGCCCAGAACAGAACTCCCAGTCTCCTGGCTCCAGGGACTGACAGCTTTATCCCAGACCCATTCAAATGAGTGGAATCTCCCATCTGCTTTATTGGCTGACACCATAAAATGTCCTGACCTCAAATGAATTTTATGTATTTCTACAAACATAACATTTCTTGCCATTGTTTAATTTGAGATGTCTTAGGGATTTATTAATAGTTTCATAAAGATATTTTCTGTTTTATCTGACTGAAGTATTTGCCTAGGATAAAAAAATATTCTTTTTTCCATGCATTTTTTATTCTCTATTTGCTCTTGGCATCTATGAGACATTAACTCCACATTTGACTCAAACCCCAGGTAGAACACTCATTCCCAGGAATGGAAAACAAACAGGTCAGGCCCCAGAAGAAAGAAAATGAATATAGAGAGATTATTGTTTTGTGTGGTATCATGGTAAAAATGAAAATCATTTAGAATCAAACTAAAAAGATGTATCAGAATCGGCTCAGCCCTCCCTACTCAACATGGAACAACATCAATTGGGGGCTTGTCATAAATGCAGAATCTCAGGCCATGCTCCAGCCCTCCTGAATCAGAATCTACCTTTGAACAAGATCCCCAGGTGGTTTGTGTGCACATTCAAGTGTGAGAAGCCTGATCCAAGCCCATAAAGAGCTGGTGGTACAGTATAACTCCCTCCAGTCATTTCCTATCAAGGATCTTTAACCTGAATGGGAAAAAAATCAAGAGTTCTCCCATAACTTAACTGACTTTACTGAAGCTGACACTTTTCTGAATGCTTACAACCTAGTGAACCTCCCTGTAAGTAACTTAGGTCCCGCATTTGCACATTAAAATTATTTCCACTTAAAAATGCAAAATGACTAATGATACGGTTTGGCCACGTGTCCCCACCCAAATCTTATGTTGAACTGTAATCCCCACGTATTGGAGCAGGGGCCTGGTGGGAGGTGATTGAATCATGGCGGTAGACTTCCCCCTTGCTGTTCTCATGATAGTGAATGAGTTATCACAAGATCTGGTTGTTTAAAAGTGTAGAGCACTTCTCTCTGTGCTCCCTCTCTCCTGCTGCCATGTGAAGACGTGATTGCTTCCCATTCACCCTTCTGCCATGATTGTAAGCTTCCTGAGGCCTCCCCAGCCATGCCTCCTGTACAGCCTGTGGAAGTGAGTCAATTAAACCTCTTTTCTTTATAAATTACTCAGTCTCCAGCAGCTCTTTATAGCAGTGTGAGAACAGACTAATACAACAAATTAAATGCTGGAGGAATCACTCATTTCCCATCTACCTGTTGTCTGTATGAATTTGCTGGAACTGTGCACTGGAGTAGGGAGGAGGGATGGGGGACTAATCTTGGAGGGAGGAGAAAAGGAGAGAAGGAAACATATATAAGCATTGTGGTATATGTCTTACTAGTATTTTTTTCATATATATATATTCTTAAATGGCTTAAGGTGTACATAGTGTTTAAATTATATTTTTACTTAACAATATAAAATGAAAAATTCTCCATATAAATAAATATAACATGCTCAGTGGTTGTATGGTAGTCTATCCTAAGAATTCTTTACTATTTCTTAATCCATACCCTACTGCTGGACATTTAGTTACTAATTTTTTTCTCCATTATAAAAATGTTTTGGGGATGATTTTTGAAGATAAATTTTAGCCCACATCTCTGATATCTCCTTTGAGAATCTCCTTTTAGAATTCTTTACACTGAAATCTTAATTTCCATCTGAAATTTACCTTATTTTGAGATAAGAAATAGTGAGCAATTATTTTTAGAAATAATTACACCACTATTAGATAATCTATGAAGTTTAATGACACAATCACATCCCGATTTCTTATCCTTTTTCAACTAATCTCATGTGATTTTCATTCTGTTTTACTTATTGTAAATCTGCAACCTATTTTAGTTTCTGATAGTGAAAATGTATAACTAATTTTTTTTTTCAAAAGATTCTTGGCTACTTTGTCAAGCTCTAAAAAATATTATTAGAGTTTTTTAAGAATTACATTCAATACACCAGTTAATTTAAGCTGTAATGTCTATACTGCACATTCCAGAAATATGATATTTCTAAAGGTAGTAAAATCAATTATTTTTGTTTGATAAAGTGTGGTCATATTTTTTGTGTATCCTGGATATTCCTGCCTTAAATTTAATTCAGTTTTTTTCAGAATTACATTCAATACACCAGTTAATTTAAGCTATAATGTCTATACTGCACATTCCAGAAATACGATATTTCTAAAGGTAGTAAAATCAATTATTTTTGTTTGATAAAGTGTGGTCATATTTTTTGTGTATCCTGGATATTCCTGCCTTAAATTTAATTCTATCTGTTTTATGTTTCTTTTGCTATTGGGAATGCAATTATGACCTAAAGCTTATTGCTGACATGTAGGAAAGCTATTGACTTTTTATAGTTATTTTATAACTGACGACTTTACTGAACTCTTTTCACAAATGTAATTGTTTTTCATTGATTTGCTTTGCTTTCCTGTAAATTGAATCTACCTGCAAAGCAATGAAAATTCCTTCTTTCTAATATTTAATACTCTTCTCACCTTTTTTTTCTTATATTGTCTTTCACATTTTCAATGTACTTATTTGACTTGAGTTTTTAAAGGATGATTTATAAATGAAACAGAGTACTGGTTATTGCTATGCTTGTTTTTCAAGTTTTTGGTATTAGGATTTTGGTATTATTGAAAGTATATCCACTTTAGTAAGCTTTGGAATCACTGCATGAGTGAGAAACTTTTTATTCATAGAATACTTGAAAACTTTTCCAAAATGCCATTTTGGTTCGGACATTTGACTCCATATAAAATTTCATTAATGGCTTTAGTCCTGTTATTTCAGATATCAACTTGGGTTGATGCATCTTGATTCTATTTTTCTAATCTGGACTACCTAGATTTTCAAATATTTTTATATATTAAGCACAGTATATTTTAGTTTCCTCCAACTGTTGTTTATTCTTCATCATGATATTGTGTATTTGTCTTTTCTCTCTTTTTCTCATTTTTCCCACTGCCATGTTCCTTCCCATGCAACTTCTCCAGCCCTTTTATTTTCCTGTCACTGACCAAACACTTTATTGTGATGTTTATCAGAGAATTATGCTTCCTGTCCAACTGTTAAAAGGGAATTTTTAGTATTTTTTCCATATATCTCATACATATTTATGTAAACATTGATTTACATCACATATATTTTAAATATGTATTCTCTAATATTTCTACACCCTTAACTGATTGTTTTCCTAGGGCTGTCACTTTTTTTTTTTTTTGAAATGGAGTCTCGCTCTGTCACCAGGCTGGAGTGCAGTGGCACGATCTCATCTCATTGCAACCTCCGCTTCCCGGGTTCAAGCAATTCTCCTGCTTCAGCCTCCCAAGTAGCTGGGACTGCAGGCGCGTGCCACCACACCCAGCTAATTTTTGTATTTTTAGTAGAGACAGGGTTTCACCATGTTGGCCAGGATGGTCTCGATATCTTGACCTCGTGATTTGCCCGCCTCAGCCTCCCAAAGTGCTGAGATTCCAGGCATAAGCCATTGCGCCCGGCCGGATGTCACTCTTAATAGCAAAAGGGTTTCTGACTGTGTGGAATTCTCTTGCCTCCTGTGAGGACTATCTGAGCATGTGCATCCCAGTTCATTGAGCATTCTTTACAGCATTTCAATAACTGCCTTGCTCGAACCATGCAGCTCTGAGCAACCTGCCTATATCTCAAAGTCAACAGTTCCAAAATCTTAGGAAACAGGACCTTCCCTGTCAAAGTCAAAATAGGAAGACAAAAACCGCTTTAAGTGCATTAGCAGAGGGAATTTACAGCAAAAAATTCAGCGGCAATGTGACAGAGGTGAGTTAACCTGGGGATTGGCAACAGCAGGAGGCCAGGGCACATCCTAGCTGAGGGGACACAGGAGAAGGTAGTGATATGGGAGCTCGCGGGGCAGGGGAACCTGATTAAGCCAGGGGCCTGTCCAGTGAGAGCTGGAGCCTAGAAGAGGGGTCAGCCTGGGGGGTCAGCCACTCTGTGATGCGGAGGGGAGCAGGCCAAGGACCAGGAATGGATCCAAGGGCAGACAGGCCCAGTCCTGGCACAGGGCCTTAGCAACAAAAGCCTATTTTATGTTTTTGGCTTTCAACACTTATGAAACGGATTGGCTAGATACTAAATCAACTTTAGTCCACTGTACTTGGTGCAGTTAGGTCAATTTTGCTCTTTTCCATTAGTTCTCAATGGCCTTGTACCAAACCAGAGTGGACAGACTCCCCAGGAGGCTAACGAAGCCTAAGACCAGAGACCATCATCTAGAAGATGCCTTCCAGGGTCCTAGCAAAAGACATAGCAACGTGTGTACCTGGCTGCCTGTTTTATAAAAATGCAAACTCAATCAGCCACAACTACTATCTCTATGCAACTCCACTATCACACCCTGGCGATGGTTGGCACTGGAGTGGGGTTTTTAGAACCAGGCTAAAAGAAGTTTAGTTGGGGATACATTTTGTTTTCACTTAGCGGTATATATTTATGTGGTCCAAGGTCATTTCCAAACAGAGTTAAATTATTGCTTGCCATCCTGGCATAGGAATGGCTTTTAGGAATATTCCTACTGCCTACTGTCTGACTCACTCAGCATCATAATATGAAGGTGTGAGACCACAGGCTATATCATGGTATATCTCTGTCCTACAAATCTTGACACCAGAAATATGAGTAGTGAAGAAAAATAAGGTTTGAAATGTGTGGCAAAAATCCCGCCTGTCTTTACATAGGCAAAATTGTAAGAGGATTCATTATTTTGAACACTTGGTCCAAACCAAAATTTTCTCCTGTCAGAAAAATAGTAATCCATCATATATACATATATACGTATATATACGTATATATACACACACATACGTATATATACGTATATATACACACACATACGTATATATACGTATATATACACACACATACGTATATATACGTATATATACACACACATACGTATATATACGTATATATACACACACACGTATATATACGTATATATGTACATATATACGTATATATACGTATATATATACATATATACGTATATATACGTATATATATACATATATACGTATATATACGTATATATACACACACACGTATATATACGTATATATACACACACACGTATATATACGTATATATACACACACGTATATATACGTATATATACACATACACATATATATACACACATATATATACATATATATATATATATATATATATATATATATATATATTTTTTTTTTTTTTTTTTTTTTTTTAATGGAGTCTCGCTGTGTCTCCCAGGCTGGAGTGCAGTGGCACCATCTCGGCTCACTGCAAGCTCCGCCTCCCTGGTTCACGCCATTCTTCTGCCTCAGCCTCCTAAGTAGCTGGGACTACAGGCGCCCACCACCACGCCCAGCTAATTTTGTTTTTGTATTTTTAGTAGAGAAGGGGTTTCACCATGTTAGCCAGGATGGTCTCGATCTTCTGACCTCGTGATCTGCCAGCCTCGGCCTCCCAAGGTGCTGGGATTATAGGCATGAGCCACCACGCCTGGCCCATCCTATATATTTTTAACTTATTTGATGAGAATGATGTGAAGTATAGTGTGTCAAAATTCCTGTTGTTTATAGGAAACAGATTTATAGACAGATGCAGTGGCAACAGTCAAGCAAAAGCACAGAGTGGTCAACAATGGTTCTCTGGCTGGGAACGAGGAGGTCCCTATAAGAGATGGCAGCAGCAGCCAGATTACCAAGGATTGAGGAGGAATTAGGAGAAAAGGGATGTCGAGTGAAAGAAGCTTGGATATCAAGAAAAGGCAAGAAATCCTGTGGCTATTAGAAATTAAAGAGAGCACAGGATTAAGAGGTGAGTTTATCTTTTGTCGTAAGATAAATAAAACGTAAGCATATCTTTATGTTGAGGTTAAGCAGCCAGTAGAGAGGAAATGGTTGAAGGCATGGCGGAGGAATGGGGATCTCAATGGTGCCATTTCCTGTGTGAACTGGGGTAACTCACACTTCTCTGAGCTCATCTGTAAAACTGTGGCCACAACAGCTGCCTGATCTTCCTCCCAGCATTGTTGTAAGAATCCAATGGCATACTTTAAGAACAAGTGCATTGTAAATGATAAAGTATCTTGTAATTGCTAATTGTGGGCCTTACTTGGGTTGGGTGAGGCCTCCTTGATAGATCATTCTGAGTTCAACTGTAAAAATTCATGCAGTAAATCAAAACAGATAATTTTCAGTCATAATTTGGCATATTCTCCTAGACCATAGCTCTGAAAAACTGAGTCAGTTGTTGAGTTGAGTAGAAAGTAAAGATAATGGCGGAAAATTTTTGCAGTCTCCATCCTAATATTACCTGCTTGAAAGAGTGCCCTGACTCAAGGCCTCAACTTACCCAGACTTTGGAGCAATAATTTAACTATCTCGGGAACAGATGCAATATGACTATCTTATCTTGTTTTCATTAAATCCTCAAGTAACTGCCCACATCCCAAAGAAACCATCGGCTACAATCTGGCTTGCCCTGAAATTCTGCACACAAAGAGAGCATATGCTAACTATGCCAGTGTAAGGCATTCCAGTCTATGTTACAGTGATCACCTGCTATGACCTGCTATCAACACTCACTCTTCTATGTACCAGGAATACAATAACAGGCCCACCGTATTATACAACTCCAGGGGCACCATTTATAACACAGTCTATGTAAAAATAGTATCCACTCAAACAGAACTACAATGGCAAGAAATGCTGACCAAAATCAATGTTTTACTCTTCTTCCTTGACTCATAGCTAGGATATATTTCCAAGCCTCCCTGGCAATTAGCTGTGAGTTCTACCTAATGGAATGAAAGTGTTAGTGATGTGTTTACTTTCAGATTTAGCTCATAGACATCTCCCACACATATTCCCTCATCTTTTTTCTCTTTCTTTTTGGCTGAATGAAGACAACTTCTAAGATGACCTTGAAAACAATGTCTCAAAGTAGAAGAACCATTGTTGTCATGGATCTCTGAATGACTCCATGGAGCAGAATCTCCCCCATTGACCTCTTTCCTTGTTCCTCATTTGTTACATGAGCAAAAATTGATCTTCTATTAGGCTTGAGCTATTATACATCATTTTGGCTTATGTCCTACAGAATTACCTTAATAAAAATAGCACCTTAGACCTAAATGATGAGAAGTAGATAGCTGTGCAAAGACTGTGGGCAGGAGGAAAGATGGGAAAATGTGTCAGGCAGAAGATACTGCAAGTAACAAGAATGATCTTGGTGTATTGTTTCGCATTGAAGAGCACAGATATCCTTCTAGTTTTACCTGTTGATCTCAAAAAAACTTGATTCATGTGATTCAGCCCTAAGAAAGATCATTAAGTACACTGACAAAATTAGGATCCTGAGGCCAGAATCTAGACTATGATATGTTACTCACTTAAATCAATTCAACTTTATGAAGCCATTTGCTAGACTGCCAACATCTCACTGTGTCCTACAGTTTATCTTCTAATTTAATCTTATTGCACTAAAACTGTTAGGATCAGGGCCAGAGACATGCTCTGTGCTGCACTGATGCCTACAAACCCCTGGGTCTTTGAGTGTTCACTGGATGGGAATTGCTGAGTTACTTCTCTTTTTGTTTACCTCATCCAGATTTTGCTGAGTCACTATGCTCTTATCCAGGCCATTTCAAGCCCATAATAGGTCGTATATTTCACATGCTCTAATTATCTCAGAGCCACGGTTCTTAGTGCAAATTGTAAGACAATGTGAGAGGGGCAATGCAATAATATCTCTACAGAATTTTTCATATAGCTCTGTACTGTGCCAGAAAGTCCATGGCTCACATATAGACCCATGAAGACCTCATCAAGCTCTCTTCTAGAAGAACTTCCCTGTTTCCTGTTCCATGTCTCTAACCCCTGACTCTTTGCAAAGAAAAATCTGATGGAAAATACACTCAGACCACAAGCTGAACTTGCAGGAATGACACCACAGAGCCAAACACACTTAGGACCTCTGGCAAGTTTTTGGGCCAGTGCTCCCTGGAGAGAAGGGGGCTCTCAGGGTAGTGGGCAGACCACCAGGCCCACAGGGTGGCCTCAGTGAGGGATAGGAGCTTCGCTTCCCATCACATGTTCTCCCCTTTTCAGTTGTTACCATGAAATCGAAGCAGGTATGTACAAACCAACAGCCTTGCGGTTCTTCAGCGTCCTGATGATCCAACAAAGCTAAATTCAAATGTCATTTCCTCCACAAAGCCTTTTTAGATCCCACCTATTAGAATGAATCTTGCCCTCCCTTATGATTTTCTACCTATTACCAGGAATGATGGCATTTAACTTTTTTTTTTTTTTTTTTTTTTTTGAGACAGAGTCTGGCTCTGTCACCCAGGCTGGAGTGCAGTGGCCAATCTCAGCTCACTGCAAGCTCCACCTCCTGGGTTCACACCCTTCTCCTGTCTCAGCCTCCTGAGTAGCTGGGACTACAGGCATCCGCCACCACGCCTGGCTAATTTTTTCTATTTTTAGTAGAAACAGGGTTTCAGCATGTTAGCCAGGATGGTCTGGATCTCCTGACCTCGTGATCCACCCACCTCAGCCTCCCAAAGTGCTGGGATTACAGGCATGAGCCACTAGGCCCGGCTTTTTTATTTATTTATTTATTTATTTATTTATTTATTTATTTATTTTGAGATGGAGTCTCACTCTGTCGCCCTGGCTGGAGTGCAGTGGTGCAATCTCGGCTCCCTGCAAGCTCCGCCTCCCAGTTCATACCATTCTCCTGCCTCAGCCTCCCGAGGAGCTGGGACTACAGGCGCCCACCACCATCCCTGGCTAATTTTTTTGTATTTTTAGTAGAGATCGGGGTTTCACCATGTTAGCCAGGATGATCTCCATCTCCTGACCTCATGATCCACCTGCCTCGGCCTCCCAAAGTGCTGGGATTACAGGCATGAGCCACCGTGCCCGGCTGGCATTTAACATTTTTATGTGTGTCATCAGTGGTTGTTTTCTGTTGGATTGAGTTTCTCGAGGTTAGGAATTATGTTCCATGGCTCTCAAGTCTAGTCGGGTTTATGTTTTATAATGGGCACTCAAAAAGTTTGTTTTATTAAATTAAAATAATAGTTTAAAAGCCAGTCCTAAGGAACTATTTAGTCCACTGAAAGGCAATATTTCTTAACCAACTGAAACAATAGTACAAAGTCATTACTTAATTACTGGGCAAAATCTTTTACAATTTGGGTATTTTTGTTCTTGCAAATTTTTTGCTTATATATACAGAAAAGAGCAACCATGTAGTTTTATCTTTGTGAGCATTCTTAATTACTTCTATCAGGGAAATATCTGGATTAAACAGTATGTAAAATGCCTGCGACTTAAATTTATATTTCTAAATTACCAACAAAAAAGTTGCAGTAATATTCAGTACCATTAGCTGGGTATGGCAGCAGGCATCTGTAATCCCAGCTACTCTGGTGACTAAAGGAGGAGGATTGCTTGAGTCCAATAGTTTGAGACCAGCTTCATCAACATAGCAAGACTCAGCCTCTAAATTTAAAAAAAAAAATTATTCAGTACCATCAACAATATTAAGAATATATGTTTACTGAGAATTATTATTATTGGTCATGCCTTGCCAATTTTGTTTGCAAAAAAATGTATCTTTTGGTTTAATTTGCATTTCTTGATTAACAGTAAGGTTAAACTTTTCTTCTGTGTACTAGCTATTTGATTCACTTCTTTTATGAATTGCCTAACCATTCCCTTTGCCCGTATATCTTTCGGTATATGAGGGAGATAGAGGTTATCTGAGGACTTGAAATCACTATAAGAATCTAAAGATTTTTAATTCATCCAGATGTCTCACTTTTGTTGTATCCTAAAATGTCTAGCTGTAAAGAAAGTATATCTATCAGTTAAAATTCTTTTGGTAGCAGAAGTCAGAAATCCAACTCAAGCTAGCCAAAGCAAAAAGAACAAAATAGGAATTTATTAGTCTTATAGTAAAAATGTCTACAAGTTCTTCTAGCTTCAGGTGTGGCTTGATCAAGAGCCTCAAACACTGCCATAAGACTCAATATGTCTCTTTCTTTCGACCCTGCCTTCTACAGGTTCCATGTGAGGGGTCTTGACAGCATCCACTCTAAAGAGCTTGTGCCTCTTTACCAACAATCCCACTCAAGTTCTCATTGCATCTCACTGTTTCTGATTTGGTAGTACCAATCTCTCAATCAAACATTGTGGCCAGGGATCTGTGATGTTCTATTTGGCTATGTCTAAGTCTAAAGTCTACCCCTAGAGCTCAGGTGGAATCTAATTTACTGCAGCAGCAAACTGGCCTGAGAGAGGAAAGTACAGTAAATGAGTGCTGGACCATCAAAACCAACAAATGATCATCATAGAGGCTTCAGCAAGTAAGCAGTAGAGGCTAAAGTTTAGAATTAGTAAAACAAAGAGTTTAAAAATAAAAGGATTCAACGTACTAACAGAAAGTGCATTGTACATTGGCTTTCCTTGGGAAGAAAGCACAAAAATCAGAAAGGGTGTTTTGGACTAAGAACACCAGGCAAGATTTGGGACACAAAGATTTCCATAAGAAGAAAGTCCAGGTTCAGCAGCCTTCAGCAAGGTGTGGGGAGAGGCTGTGGTGATTGGAAAAGGCACGCTCAGAGCCAGCATTTTTATCAGGAAAGTCCTCTGAGGAATGGTTAGGTGTACAGTGCGACTGTCAGAGTGCACACAAATAGTGACTGGGAAATGAAGAAGTTGAGGAATTATTAACGAAGAGATCTAGAACAATGACCAATGTGTTATCAGAAGTTACCAAGAAAGATGGCACAAAAGATGACTGAACCAGGGGATGAACTCATTGAGGAAAGTTATTTTGACTTTGGAAAGCCACTATCAATGACAGTGAGATAGTCATTTGAATGAAAGGGATTTTCAAAGAGACAGGATTTTGAGGGGCAGTGGTAGCTTCTCAATTGTTTTTAAAATGTCAAGAGCAAAATTTATGAAAATAATCTTCCAGGTAGGAAAGAAATCAAATGGAATGTAATGAATTAACTCAAATTCACAGGGAAAAATAAGTTAATATAACAAACTCTATGAACACATTCTTGCTCTTTCTTCTTAAAAAAACATAAAATTTGATAAATTAGCAATTATAACAATGTATTGTTGGGTTCATAACACAGACATGATACATATGACAATAATATTACTAAAAAAGGAAAGGAGAAGAAATACAACTATGCAAAAGTAAAGTTTCTATATCTCACTGAAATTAAGTTAGTTTAAATCGGAAGTAGATTCTGGTGAGTTAAGATGTGTATTGTAAGGCCTAGAGCAACCATTAAGAAAATGACTCAAAAATATAGCTAAAAATAATTAAAGGAATTAAAATGTTACACTAGAAAATAGCAACTATAAGAGAACCACAGTGGCTACACCAATAATATCAGACAAAATAGACTTTAAAAGAAAAGCGGTTACTAGCAATAAAGAGGGATGTTTTATAATAATAAAAGAGTTAATCTGTCAGGAAGATACAAGAACTATAAGCATAAATGCACCTGAAAACAAAACCCAAAAATACATAAAGCAACAACTAACAGAATTGCAGGAAGACACAATTCAACAACGATAGTTCAACGATAGTAGTTGGAGACTTCAATATTCCACCTTCAATAATGGGTAGAACAAGTAACAAAAAAATCAACAGAGATATAGACTATTTTAACACAGTAAACCAACTAGACCTAATAGACATCTATAGAACACCCTACCTATCAGCAGCAGAATACAGAATATTCTCAGAAGCACTTGCAACATTCTCCAGGGTAAACCATAAAACACAAACCTTGATAAACGTAAAAGGATTGAAATTCTACAAAGTACGTTAACTGACCACAGTGGAATTAAATTAAGAGTGAAATTGAATGGAATCGAATTCAATTAAGGGCTTTTATAAGAGAGGCTCCTGGCCGGGCGCGGTGGCTCCCGCCTGTAATCCCACCACTTTGGGAGGCCGAAGTGGGCTGATTGCTTGAGGTCAGTTCAAGACCAGCCTGGCCAACATGGTAAAACCCCATCTCTACTGAAAATACAAAAATTAGCCAGGCATGGTGGCAAGCGCCTGTAATCCCAGCTACTCGGGAGGCTAAGGCAGAAGAATTGCTTGAACCTGGGAGGTGGAAGTTGCAGTGAGCTGAGATCGTGCCACTGCACTCCAGTCTGGGTGACAGAGCAAGACTCCGTCTCAAAAAAAAAAAAAAAAGAGAGAGAGAGAGAGAGAGAGGCTCCTAAGAGGAGTGGTGTGTGTCACAAAGGAAAAGCAATTTAGTTAGCAGGTAATTTAAAAACTCTGGTATAAAAGATATTGACTATATAGTAGAGTCTCTTAAACTGTGATCCACATATGGCTTTTGGTAGTATTAACCTGTGGAACTTGTATATAATGTTTAAGGCGGGTGACCCTACAGAAGGTCCTCAATTTTATGAGATTTTTCCAAGTTTATAAGATTGCTCAAAAAAAAAAAAAAGTTTAAAAATTCCTGATGTGCTCCCATCAGAGACAACAGAAGCAGAGAGCATTGGGCCTGTAGAGAAGGAGGGAGAAGAGAGACGAAGCTGGATGAAGAATCAGAGTCAGGGTAGGGAGCAGAGGAAGTTTGTGCTGAATGTTGGGGCATAAATCACAGGCTTGGAGGCAGTGGAAAAGGGAGGATACAGCACAGAAAGAATCTGGAGTAAAAAAAAATCTTCATGCCACTAAATGCTATGACCACTGAACACATATTCCTTTGTGTCTTTCCTGTGTGCTTTGGAAAACTCTGCTGCATAAAGTGACTATTGCTTACTATTTTCGTGGGTCATCCATCCTCAATCAAGAAAGAAGCACCACCCACAAACCTAGCTATTATCTAAAATGTCTTTTTTTATCTTGACATATAGAAGGTGAAGAAAGGTTTAAAATATTTATAAAATGTCAGTAGCAATATCTGAGGCACACAAATGAGGACATGGAAATTATTTCCAGCCCTTTCATCTTTGAGCCAAATTTATTTTTTAAACATTCAAATATATAAAACTTGGAAGTCAGTTAACGTCTTGGAGTCATGAAATCTGTAGGACTGCGCAGGCTCTGTGTATAAACATGTGTCCAACAAATCACAGAGCCCAATTTTCCAACCCTTCGATCCAAGAAAAGGCTAACCCGAGCTTGTGGGCCCTGACTCTGTGGAGGGTGCTGGGCTTTGGAGGGAGGGGCTTTGCCAAGCCATCTGCCAAAGATATGCCCAAGAGTTCTGGCTCTTTCTTATCAGAAGGTTTTATCAATCAGGATCTAACCAGGAAACAAAACCACTTGAATATTTACAACCGAGGGGCTTTCATGCAGGAAATTGGATTTCCAGGTGATGGATGAGCTAAGATGCCAAGTGGAAGATGATGATTCAACCCCAAGATTAGCAAAAGCTAGAGGTTCCTACTGCCCCCTGCTGGAGGGATGGGGGGAGGAGGCAGAGTCTCAGGAGTCCTGGGTTCACCCACAGGAGCCTGTTTGGTGGTAGCTAGAGCCACGGAGGAAAGGCAGGTGCTGCTGAAAAGCCTCCACAAGTGGAGAGGGAAGGAGACAAATACCCTGACCTCTCTTTTCTGCCTCCACTCTTGAGGCTGTCACTGAGAGACCCTGGCCTAATGCCGGCCAACCTGGGAGCCTGGAAAACACAGAGGCTCTAGGATTGGCCCATCTTACAAAGAAAAGAGGAACAGACTGAAGTGTAGAAGAGGGTTTTGGCCACACACGCCCTTATGGGGCCCGTGTGTCATGAATGTCAGTTCAAGTAAATGTCCCTTTGTCTGGCCATGGGTATGACGCCTTCTCACACAGATAGGGACGATCAGGAAATCTGCTTCCTCTACCCATCCCCTGCAACCACGCCCCCTCTGCCAGTCCTCAGGAGGTTCACTCCAGAACATGCAGCTGTTGGGACAATAAATCCTTCCTTCGCCCAGCTGTTCATTCCCAGTCAAATGTTTTCCCTGAAGAAACAATCCACATTTTGCTTCTCTTTTTACCTCCTCCATCAGTCCTGTCTCCAATATCCCTAGAGGAGCCAGTGCATAGTAGACACTAGGGAAGTGTTTAAGTGAATTTCCTTTTAGTCATCGGCCACCAAAGGGTGGATGTTAGAAAGTATGAGGAAGGACTTGTCTAGTGTCTCTAAAAGCAGCCTCCAAAATACCCCCAGAGAGTGCAGTGCCCCAGAAAGGACTGAGTTTAGCAGAGCCTCTCTGTGGCTAGGTCTTCCTTATTCCACACAAGAAATCTCCTGTCATTATTAGGACTGGGGGTGCTACTTATCTTCCCTTGGCCCTAGTTCTTCCATACAGATCTACTTGTAAAAGGTCTGCCTTATCAAATTATAAAATAAGATTATATAAATTAAAGAACTGTGTAAACCTCCAGGCACCACACAAATACATGTCATCTTTATAGTCACTGATATTATTATATGCGCTGAACTCAGGGAAAGGGATTTGGCTTCTTTTTATGGTGCTGAGATTCAGGGAGAGGTGGTTGGGCTACGCCAGCAGAAAAGCAGAAAGATGGAGAGAGTTTTAGAAAAGCTGGAGTTCAGGACGGAAAAAAAGAAGGAGAAGAAACACCAGCTGAGAATTCTGATCTCTCCTCATCCAGGCACCCCTCCCATACCCTCTTCTTTGCATGAATATTCAATTCACAGTAACAGCAGGTCCCCCAGCCCCACCCTGTGGTGCACAACTCCCTGCCCCTCACTCCACCCTGACCACAACCCAACCAAGCTAACACATGTGGGTTTCTTCCAACCAGAGCCCATCTGAGCCTTGAGTGAGTCTCTGGTCCCTCCCATTTCCTTCTCTATTTATCCATTTTTAACTTTATTTCATAATTCCAGCAACAAGGAGCCCAAGGAAACAGCTGCAGATGTGTGATGTGCAGGTGGGAAAAAGCACGAGCAAACGAGGAGGAGCCTGGGCTGAGAGAAGATGACGGAGCCCCGCCTCCCACCCAGCCCAACCCCCACGGTGGGTGCCAGGTTCCTCCTGCTTCCTGCCACATCCCCATTCCCCTCTTCACTGCTTCAGTGATTGGATGGCGTTCACTGGAAATTTCCCACAGTGCCTTTCAGACGTTCTGACCTGGCCTAGCTAGAGTTACTGGGGACAACCCAGCACCCTCCTTTTGAAAGTGAATCGGTCTGCTTTAAGAAGGTGAAGAAGACAGCTTGAAGAGATTGTGAATGTGAGGGGAGCACAAGCTGTTTCCAAAAGACCTAGGGAATCCCTCCACATGAAATGTAAAGCCTTTTGCTCTTGACTCTGGACACATGAAAAGGAATCAGATTAAAGGAAAGATCCATATGGGAATCAAATTGGTCATGGGTGATGGAATTCAAATTGGGTCTTGTTGTGGGTTGCATTGTGTCACTCCCAGCAAGATATACTGAGGTCTTAACTTCCAGTACTTCAGAATATGACCTTGTTTGGAAATAGGGTGTTTAAAGAGGTAATCAAATTAAAATAACATCATTAGGGTGGGTCTTAATCCAGTATGACTGTGTCCTAAGAAAAAGGGAAAATCAGGCTGGGTGCAGTGGTTCACACCTGTAATCCCAATACTGTGGGAGGCGAAGATGGGAGGATCACTTAAGCCCAGGAGCTTGAGACCAACCTGGGCAACATGGCAAGATCCCATCTCTACAAAAAAATTAAAATAAAAATTAGCCATGTGTGATGGCACATGCCTGTAGATCTAGCTACTGGGGAGGGTGAAGTGGGAGAATCACTTGTGCCCAGAAGGTTGAGGCTGCAGTGAACCATGATCCTCCCACTGCACTCCAGCCTGGGTGACAGAGTGAGACCCTGTCTCTAAAAAAGGCAGGGGTGGGAATCACCAGCTCATCTAGTAGGCATCCATGGAATGAGAATTTAAGAGGTTTTGAGGTCCTTCCCTCTTTTGGCTGCCAACAAGCTATGCAATTCCGCAAGTCATTTAAGGTTTTCTGTGACTTTTTTCCTCACCATCCATCAGACTTGGGATGATTATACAGCCAGTTCTACTTTCCTC
Organism: Homo sapiens; assembly: GCF_000001405.40. Classification (NCBI taxonomy): domain Eukaryota; kingdom Metazoa; phylum Chordata; class Mammalia; order Primates; family Hominidae; genus Homo; species Homo sapiens. The sequence goes on along the minus strand of NC_000017.11, from coordinate 12,340,203 downwards.
ATGGAGAGGCTATCATGAGATTGAAATGATTGACAGCAGTTTGGAAAGCCCAGCATGTGTGTGGGGACTGGTGGGTGAGGGGAGGTGGGGTGAGGGGGTTGGCAGTGGGAAGAGAATGGTGCTCTTGTTGCTCCATACCGAAGAGGCCCATTAAGATGCATCTTACCCAGGCCTGCCCCATTCCTTTTCTCTAGATGCAAAAAAGTGATTTCTAGTACAATATGTTTAGAAGAACAACTCAGGGCCATTTGACTTGCTTCACAAATTAGTACAGCAAAACACTGACAACTTACATAGTCCCCTCTGGGAAATAAGTGCGGATAAAGTTAAGATAAATATATACCACTGTATGCTGCACTGTGCTAGACACGCAAGTCTAACAAGGTGAACAACTTGAGCTTCAAGAAGATTCGAACTCAGCTTTCAAGATGATAATACACACACACACACACACACACACACACACACACACACATATATATATATAAAACTATACTGTAAGGAAAATGGGGTAAGTGACACAATAAAAGAACAAATTAAGTGTGGAAGGAAATTAGAAGAGGAAGGATGCCATGGGGGAGGGTAGAGAAAGTAGCATTTCAGCTACATCATGAAGGTCGAGTGACATTTACACATAAAGAGATGGAGGAGGCCGGGCACGGTGGCTCATGCCTGTAATCCCAGCACTTTGGGAGGCCTACGTGGGCAGATCACGAGGTCAGGAGTTTGAGACCAGCCTGGCCAATATGGTGAAACCTTGTCTCTACTAAAAATACAAAAATTAGCCAGGCATGGTGGTGCGCACCTGTAGTCCTAGCTACTCAGGAAGCTGAGGCAGAAGAATTGCTTGAACCTGGGAGGCAGAGGTTGCAGTGAGCCAAGATCATGCCACTGCACTCCAGCCTGGGTGACAGAGTGAGACTCCGTCTCAAAAAAAAAAAAAAAAAAAAAAGAGAGAGAGATGGAGGAAAAGCATGTGCAAAGACAAGTGAGTCCTGAGTGTGCATGGAAGACAAGGAGAGGTCAGTCTCACAGCAGCATGGAGTGCTGAAGCAAGAGAGGAAGGTTGGGTCTAGACTTGGAGCACAGGGCTGCAAAGACACTGACCAGGTGAAGGTGTGGGGCTAGTATGATGTCAGGATCAAAGACTTGTCTCAGGAAGATGAATCTGGTAATGATGTGTAGAGCGAATGACGAAGACAAGGTGTAAGAGTTAATAATACCAGCATTGATAAGACTGTTTAGGAGATGATGATGATGATAACAATGAGGATGACTGCTATGACAATGGTAAGTGGCAGAAGGAAGAAGAAGGAAGAAAATCCATATGTCAAAGTCTTTTACTTTTCAAAATTTATTTTCATAGCATTTGGCATAGGTACTCTCAAATCTGTGATTTGGATGGAAAAAATAAGTGACTATATCAGAAGGAGAGTCAAAGTCTTGCAAAAATGACACACTCAACAGTAGAGTAGGAAGACAAATTGAAAACTAGGTTCCACTGACTATAATTTAACCCCGATGTCTAATTTGTCATCTCCCTTTCTAAAATCAAGGCAAAACATCATCAAAGAAGCTACAGTTTTATGTTGTTTATCCTAGAGAAAGTATATTTGTATTCACAGAATTACCATATATCAAAACCATAAGGCCAAGCCTCTCCAGAACAATTTTCATAGTACAAATCTCCTTCTTTTTCACTAATGCAGTGATGAGATTTGCAAGACAGCAATTGGTTCTACTCAAGTGCACCAGCCACCACCCTACAACCTCCTGTGGGGAGTCTGGCTTTGATTATTTGGGGACAAAAATAATTTCAGCTTGAAGAGAGATTCCAATCACAACTTTCTAAATAATAGACACCAAAAATTCCCAATACTCTAAATAGATGGACTCAACCCCTTCTCCTTCTGCAAGAGGCAATCGACGAACATCACAGTGGGCTGTGGTGCCAAGGACGCATTATGCTTCCCAGATGCACAGATTAACACACTAAGTAAACTATTTATGAAATTTCTCTGGAAGAGTCAAGGAAAATAACAAGCTCCCCTCCTCATCCCACCACCATTACCACCAAAGCTATTTGAAGCAGCTCTGCTTAGAGTGACAGGGACAGCCGACCCAGGTACTGTGGTGTGGGTTTAGTGCAAGGGATCTGTCATCTGCTGTTATCTACAATTTATCTCCCCAGCACTCTTAAGTTTTGCCTTTATTCCAATGCACCTTAAAGAATTGGCTACACTATTGTTGCCAAATAGAATGCAAGATTTCCTCTGACTCCCTATAGCTATGAAGAGCTGTTATTCTGTGCAGGATCTGGGGGGACTAAGTATGGGGTCATACATCCCCCAGCCTCCCAACATATATACACACACATATACATACACACACATGCACAACACACCAGTGATAGGTATTCAGTAACTCATAAATGTTGTGGTCTCATGAAAACCAGAAAACAATCAGATGGTGTTTCAAAAGAGATTTATTGGTGACATAAATAACAAGGCACTATTCCCAGGATAACTCAGTAGCCGCTTTTCTCCTCCAGGTTGCCTTGAATAAGGGGATGGGCATAAAGGTATGGTTTGGGATGGCTTATCCTTAAAATTCATCCTCTAAGATGTGGCTTGCCCCAGTTTTCTTTCAAAGAGGACTCAGGGTATCTCAGGTTCATCCTACTCTCATCCACCACTGTGAATCCTAGTAACCAAGTCACCACTGGGAAACCAACTCACCGCTGGGAAACCAAGCTATATGGTGAATTCAAGATAGGAGGTGTCGATTTCTGATCATCATGGCAGAGAGGAGGCAGGACTAGATTGCAGCTCTGGACAGAGTAGCATGCAGAAACTCACATTGTGCATTTTAGCTCCAAATCGACTGCAAGAACAGAGCAGCAATCCCGAGAGGATCCACCAACCCTCTGAAGGAAGCAGACTGCTTCTACAGGACCTGGAGACATCCTAAATACTGAGTGCCCCAACTGCAGAAATGGGAAAGGGAGACCCTCCTCTCCCAAACACATACCCCCGCTGGAGAAGCTGAAGGTCTCTTTGCAGGAGAAGTTTCTGACTTTACCTGGAGCTGAGTCAATTTAGAGAGCCAAGTGAAATAAAGGGAAGAGGAAGCAATAGAAAGGCCCTGGGAGCTTGCTGCATCCCCTAGCAGACCATTCCTGCCTGGCACCACAGAGATCCATCAGGAAGGTGACCAGAGGAGCAGGACATAAAACTCCATAGGGAGAAGGAAATCTCTAGCTGGACTTTGTTAACAATTTGAATGGGGTGAGAAGCCTTCTGGCCAGAACTCGGGGGAGGGAGCAAATCCAGTGTACAGACTCCACAGTCGGGGGAAGAACCAAGCCCCTTTTCTTTTGCAGCTTGGAGGCAGATAGCGCAGGGCAAGTTTTCAAGCCCATCATGCCCTCTACCTGGAAACAGACTCAGGGCTGTTGCAGGGAATGTGGTGCTGGTGAGACCAGCCCTTCTGTTTGCATGGGAGCTGGGTGAGGCCTGTGACTGTTGGCTTTCCCCCACTTCCCTGACAACTTGCATGACTCAGCAGAGGCAGCCATAACCCCCCCAGATACACAACTCCAGTGACCTGGGAATCTCACCCCCATCCCCCACAGCAGCCACAGCAAGACCCACCCAAGGGGAGTCTGAGCTCAGACACACTTAGCCCCACCCCTACCTAATGGTCCTTCCCTACCCACCCTGGTAGCGGAAGACAAAGGGCATATAATCTTGGGAGTTCTAGGGCCCTGCCCACTGCCAGTTCCTCTCCACACTACTACAGCTGACGCTTTCTGGAAAGCACCACCTCCTGTCAGGAGGCCAACCAGCACAAAAATAAAGCATTAAACCATCAAAGCTAAGAACCCTCACAGAGTCCATTGCACCCCCCACCCCCACCACCTCCACTGGAACAGGCCCTGGTATCCGCGGCTGAGAGACCCATAGATGGTTCACATCACAGGACTCTATGCAGACAACCCCCAGTACCAGTCCAGAGCTGGGTAGACTCGCTGGGTGGCTAGACCCAGAAGAGAGACAATAATCACTGCTGTTCGGTTCACAGGAAGCTACATCCATAGGTAAAGGGGGAGAGTACTACATCAAGGGAACAGTTAGTGGGGCAAAAGAATCTGAACAACAGCCTTCAGCCCTAGACCTTCCCTCTGACAGAGCCTACCCAAATGAGAAGGAACCAGAAAACTAACCCTGGTAATATGACAAAACAAGGCTCATCAACACCCCAAAAAAATCACACTAGTTCACCAGCAATGGATCCAAACCAAGAAGAAATCCTTGATTTACCTGAAAAAAAATTCAGGAGGTTACTTATTAACTAAACAGGGAGGGACCAGAGAAAGGTGAAGCCCAATGCAAGGAAATCCAAAAAGTGATACAAAAAATGGAGGGAGAAATATTCAAGAAAATAGATAGCTTACAGAATGAATAATCAAAAATTCAGGAACTTTTGGGCACACTTTTAGAAATGTGAAATGCTACGGAAAGTCTTAGCAATAGAATTGGACAAGTAGAAGAAAGAAATTAAGAGCTTGAAGACAAGGTCTTCAAATTAACCCAATCCAACAAAGACAAAGAAAAAAGAATAAGAAAATATGAACAAAGCCTCCAAGAAGGGATTATGTTTAACGACCAAATCTAAGAATAATTGGTCTTCCTGAGGAACAAGAGAATTCTAAAAGCTTGGAAAACATATTTGGGGGAATAGTCAAGGAAAATTTCCCTGTCCTTGCTAAAGACCTAGACATCCAAATACAAGTAGCACAGAGAACACCTGGAAAGTTCACTTAAAAGGATCTTCACCTAGGCACATTGTCATCAGGTTATCCAAAGTTAAGATGAAGGAAAGAATCTTAAGAGCTGTGAGACAGAAGCACCAGGTAACCTAAAAAGGAAAACCTCTCAGATTAACAGCGGATTTCTCAGCAGAAACCCTGCAAGCTAGAAGGGATTGGACCCCCATCTTCAGCCTCCTCAAATAAAACACTATTAGCCAAGAATTTTGTATCCAGAAAAACTAAGCATCATATATGAAGGAAAGATAAAATCATTTTCAGACAAACAAATGTTGAGAGAATTTGCCATTACCAAGCCACCACTACAAGAACTGCTAAAAGGAGCTCTAAATCTTGAAACAAATCCTGGAAACATATCAAAACAGAACCTCTTTAAAGCATAAATCACACAGGACATACAAAACAAAAATACGAGTTAAAAAGCAAAAACAAAAACACTGAAGTACACAGGTAACAGAGAGTACAATGAATGCAACAGTATCTCACACTTCAATACTAACATTGAATGCAAATGGCCTAAATGCTCCACTGAAAAGATACAAAACCACAGCATGAATGAGAACTCACCAACCATCTGCTGTCTTCAAGAGACTCACCTAACACACAAGGACACACATAAACTTAAAGTGAAGGGGTGGAAAAAGGCATTTCATGCAAATGGACACCAAAAGCAAGCAGGGGTAGCTATTCTTATATCAGACAAAACAAATTTTAAAGCAACAGCAGTTAAAAGAGACAAAGATGGGTGATAGCAATTAAAAGAGACAAAGATATATACCGTTACATAACAGTAAAAGGCCCTGTCCAACAATAAAATATCACAATCCTAAACATATATGTACCTAACACTAGAGCTCCCAAATTTATAAAACAATTACTAATAGACCTAAAAAATGAGATAGCAACACAATAACAGTGGGGGATGTCAATACTCCACTGACAGCACTAGACAGGTCATCAAGACAGAAAGTCAACAACAACAACAAAAAAACGGATTTAAACTATCTTGGAACAAATGGACTTAACAGATATGTACAGAACATTTCATCCAACAACTGCAGAATACACATTCTATTCAACAGTCATGGAACTTTCTCCAAGATAGACCATATGATAGGCCATAAAACAAGCCTCAGTAAATTTAAGAAAATTGAAATTATATCAAGTACTCTCTCAGACCACAGTGAAATAAAACTAGAAATCAACTCCAAAAGGAACCTTCAGAACCATGCAAATACATGGAAATTAAATAACCTGCTCCTGAATGAAACTGGGTCAAAAACAAAACCAAAATGGAAATTAAAAAATTCTTGGAACTGAACGACAGTAATGACACAACCTATCAAAACCTCTGGGACACAGCAAAGGCGGTGCTAAGAGGAAAGTTCATAGCCCTAAATGCCTACATCAAAAAAATTGAAAGAGCATAAACTGACATTCTAAGGTCACACCTCAAGGAACTAGTGAAACAAGAACAAACCAAACCTAGTGAAACAAGAACAAACCAAACCCAGAAGAAGAAAGGAAATAACTAAGATCAGAGCAAACTAAATAAAATTGAAACAAACAAAAAATACAAAAGATAAATGAAACAAAAAGCTGGTTCTTTGAAAAGATAAATAAAATCGATAGACCATTAGCAAGATTAACCAAGAAAAGAAAGAGAAAATCCAAATAACCTCACTAAGAAACGAAACAGGAGATATTACAACTGACACCACTGAAATACAAAAGATCATTCATACTATGAACACCTTTATGCACATAAACTAGAAAACTTAGAAGAGATGGATAAATTTCTGGAAAAATACAACCCTCCAAGCTTAAATCAGGAAGAATTAGATACCCTGAACAGACCAATAGCAAGCAGCAAGATTGAAATGGTAATTTAAAAATTACCAACAAAAAAAAGTCCAGGACCAGACAGATTCATTGCAGAATTCTACCGGACATTCAAAGAATAATTCGTACCAATCCTTTTGACACTATTCCACAAGCTAGAGAAAGAAGGAACCCTCTCTAATTCACTTTATGAAGCCAGCATCACCCTAATACTGAAACCAGGAAAGGACGTAACCAAAAAAGAAAACCACAGACCGATATCCTTGATGAACACTGATGCTAATGTCCTTAACAAAATACTAGCTAACCGAATCCAACAACATATCAAAAAGATAATCCACCATGATCAAGGGTGTTTCATACCAGGGATGCAGGGATGGTTTAACATACCCAAGTCAATAAATGTGATACACCACATAAACAGAATTAAAAACAAAAACCACATGATCACCTCAACAGATGCAGAAAAGGCATTCTACAAAATCCAGCATCCCTTTATGAGTAAAACTCTCAGCAAAATCGGCATACAAGGGACAAACCTTAATGTAATAAAAGCCATATACGACAAACCCACAGCCAACATAATACTGAATGGGGTAAGTTGAAAACATTCCCTCTGAGAACTGGAACTAGACAAAGATGCCCACTCTCACCACTCCTCTTCAACACAGTACCAGAAGTCCTAGCCAGAGCAATCAGACAAGAGAAAGAAATAAAGGGCATACAAATCGGTAAAGAGGAAGTCAAATTGTCACTGTTTGCTGATGATATGATCATTTACCTTGAAAATCCTAAGGACTCTTCCAGAAAGCTCCTAGAACTGATAAAAGAATTCAGTAAAGTTTCTGGATATAAGATTAAGGTACACAAATCAGTAGCTCTTCTATACACCAACATCAACCGAGCAGAGAATCAAATCAAGAACTCAACCTTTTTTACAATAGCTTCAAAAAATAAAATACTTAGGAATATACCTAACCAAGGAGTTGAAAGACCTCTACAAGGAAAACTACAAAACACTGCTGATAGAAATCATAGGCGACACAAATGAAAACACATCCCATGCTCGTGGATGGGTAGAATCAATATTGTAAAAATGACCATACTGCCAAAAGCAATCTACAAATTCAATGCTATCCCCATCGAAATACCACCATCATTCTTCACAGAATTAGAAAAAACAATTCTAAAATTCATATGGAACCAAAAAAGAGCCCACAGAGCCAAAGCAAGAGTAAGCAAAAAGAACAAAGCTGGAGGCATCACACTACCTGATTTCAAACTATACTATAAGGCCATAGTCACCAAGACAGGTGATACTGATATAAACATAGGCACATAGACCAATGGAACAGAATAAAGAACCCAGAAATAAACCCAAATACTTAACAGCCAACTGATCTTTGACAAAGCAAACTAAAACATAAAGTGGGGAAAAGACACCCTTTTCAACAAATGGTGCTGGGATAATAGGCTAGCCACATGTAGGAGAATGAAACTGGATCCTCATCTCTCACTGTATACAAAAATCAACTCAAGATGGATTAAGGACTTAAACCTAAGGCCGGCAACTGTAAAAATTCTAGATGATAACATTGGAAAAACCATTCTAGACATTGGCTTAGGCAAGGATTTTATGACCAAGAACCCAAAAGCAAACGCAATAAAAACCAACATAAATAGCTGGGACCTAATTAAACTAAAGAGCTTTTGCACAGCAAAAAGAACAGTCAGCAAACTAAACAGACAACCCACAAAGTGGGAGAAAATCTTCACAATCTGTACATCTGACAAAGGACTAATATCCAGAATCTACAACAAACTTAAATCAGTAAGGAAAAAACAAACAATGCCCACCAAAAAGTGGGCTAAGGACATGAATAGACAATACTCAAAAGAAGATATACAAATGGCCAAGAAACACATGAAAAAATGCTCAACATCACTAATGATCAGGGAAATGCATATCAAAACCACAATGGCATACCACCTTACTCCGGCAAGAATGGCCATAATCAAAAAATCAAATAACAGTAGATGGTGACGTGGATGCAGTGAACAGGGAACACTTCTACACTGCTGGTGGGAATGTAAACTAGTACAGCCACTATGGAAAACAGTGTGGAGATTCCTTAAAGAACTAAAAGTAGAACTACTATGTGATCCAGCAATCCCACTACCGGGTATCTACCCAGAGGAAAAAAAGTCATTGTTCAAAAAAGATACTTGCACACACATGTTTACAGCAGCACAATTCACAGTAGCAAAATCGTGAAACCAACCCAAATGCCCATCAATCAACGAGTGGATAAAGAAACTGTGATGAAATATATATGATGGAATACTAAGAAGCCATAAAAAAAATAATGAATTAACAGCATTTGCAGTGGCCTGGATGAGATTGGAGACTAGTATTCTAAGTTAAGTAACTCAGGAATGGAAAATCAAACATAATATGCTCTCACTGATATGTGGGAGCTGAGCTATGAGGACAGAAAGTCATAAGAATGATACAATGGACTTTGGGAACTTGGGGATAAGAATCGGGGGGACAAGGGATAAAAGACTACAAATATGGTGCAGTGTATACTGCTCAGGTTATGGGTGCACCAAAATCTCACAAATCACCACTAAAAAGCTTACTTATTTAACCAAATACCACCTGTACCCCAAAAACTTATGGAAAAATAAAAATTTGAAATGTAAAAATAAAAAGACAAGAGGTGTCCAGTATCAACCAAGGGGACCCTCCCCCCAGGAGCTATTACTACTTCTGTCTTCTTTCCAACACCTACACTTAATTCTCAAAGGAAAGGAGGAGCTTTCAGCATTCTGTCTGGCTGATTGCTTAGTTTCTATAGAAACTTTCCTGCCAAGAGCTTAAAGTCAGTACCAAAAACACTCCATACAAACAAGAAACATTTCCTAACATGACAACAGTGAAAATGAATATAAGGAGTAGAAATTTATCATGTCATCTAGTTCTAGTTCAACATTTCCTCACTCCTACTCTCCCAGCATTATCACGAAACCTAGGGTTTATAACAAAAATGTAAGTTTTCTGTGAACTAGTAAAAAAGTTAAGGTTGGGCACAGTTCACATTCATTTGGGAAGTGCTGCACTTCTATATTCACCCTTTCCCACCTTGGAGACTCACAATGTATATTACAAAGACACAGATTTCCCTGAGAAGTGACCAGTAAATAAATTTGGTTTTTAACTTTGTTTTTTAATCCAGGATCCCTTCCCTTTCATGGAACCCCACACTCCACATCTTTACCATTGAACATATTGATCACATCAGAAGGTAGTATCTACAGACATTTTGGGCAACAATGCTTTAATAAATTTTGAATTAATTATCTAAAGTTAATCATGATTCAGGGAATTGCAATGCTCATCCTTATTTTGCATAAAAACTGCAGCCTCCTTTTAGTCACCAGAATGACAAGGAATGCCTGGATTTGCTCTGAACTGCTACTAGATAGTAGTAATCTTTACCTTCTAAAAAAGCTGATAAGTGATTACAATCCTATACAGAGGGAATCTTGTTTTATGAATAGAGATGTGTCAAGAATGTAGAATCCAACATATTCCCACAAAGAAATTCAAAATCAAAATCAAACTCAAACAGGACATGACATAGTCCAAGGCCAGTTTCAGAAACAGAGTCTGTCTGCCTACAGTTCTACATAATTCAGCATGGCAAAACTTCCAACAACCTGTTATTTTCCACCTATTGAAGCATTGTGAAAGCGACCACTTTCTTTCATTAATAGAAGCCACAAGATCCACATCCGTAACATAATATTTTTAAACTACAGATAAATCTGGGAAATATGAATAAATCTTCTACTAGCATAGAGGAGTGAAAAGACTCAAAGACTTCATCCCTTAAAGACTCAAAGTTAGGAGAATTTTTTAGCAAGAGTTTTTTAAAAAATTATTTCTTTAACGTCCTATAAGAGAACCAATACAATGTATAATAAGGAGAAATAAGTGTAATTTTATTTATGATATGTAACCTCCACAGTCTTCTTTGAGCACAATACAATGAGGCTAAGCCTATGGTTTCAGGAGCCTAAGATATTTAGAGAAAAGGGTTTTACAACTCAAGGAGGAAGACTTCTAGAAGATTTCTGCTTCTAGCTAAGACAAGCTACATTGTATCTCCCACTGAGAACAGCTAGAACAATTAGGTTTTCTAAAAAAGAAAAAAATAAGTAATACGTGTTTAAAGGAATCAGAGATAACAAGACAGACAGGAGCTAAACCAAAATCACAGATAGAGAAGGGACTCAAAGCATTTGCTACTTTATAAGCACCATTGTGCTGAAATTCGAATTTCTTCATTCACAGAAGGGTAAAAGGATAAGTAACAATAAAGGAGAAACAATGCAATAATTTAAAATGCTAATTTGGGCTAATTAGCCAAAGAAAAGGGCTAAAAGCCTATATTATTTTTTATACGTAATGTCCAACAACCAGTCAAAAAACATCAGACATACAAGGACACAGAACCAAAAGACCAAATATCAAGATGGGGAAAAAAGGTAATAGAAACAGACTCACAGATGATACAGATATTAGTTATCTTCTATGGCTTCTTAAATAACTAACATTAATATGTTCACTAAAATATATAAAACGTAGAGAAATTTAGTAGAAAATTTAAATCTGTAAGAAAGAATGAAATATAAAATCTAGAACTGAAAAGTGAATACATGAAGTTAATAACTCAATAAGTGGATCTAACAGCAGGCTAAGCACAGCTGAAGAAAGGATATAGCTGTGCTCCCAGGCTGAGGTGCAGCAAGAAAAGACAATGAAAAGTACAGGAAGTCATACGAGAGGCATATGGGTCATGGTAAAGACTGTAATAAATGTGTAATTAAAATCCTAGGAGGAAAGAAAATGAAGATAAAATTTTATTTCAAAAGTTAATAACAAGAAAAATTTTCAAAACTGGAGAAAGACAGCAAGCCATAGTTTTAAGAAACACTATCATATCCAAGTAAAATTAAACAAAGAAAAATTACACCTTAGCATATCATAGTAGAACTGCTGAAAAGCAACAATAGAGAGAGAAGATAACCTTTACTTCAAACGATCAATAAGACTTACAGATGACTTTTTAACAGAGAAGATAGAAGTCAGGAGACAATGGAACATCATCCTTTAAAATGCTGAAAGAAAATAATTGGCAGCCCAATTACCTAACCTGTGAAAATATTCTATTAAAAAACCAAAAGTGAGATGAAGTATATTAAATAAGCAATTACCAACAAAAGTGGTTTAAAAGGAATACTAAAGGAAGTTCTTCGGGGGAAAAAAGTGGGGAAAATTACCTAAGAGGAAATCCAGAAATGCAAGACAGAATGAGGACCAAGAGAAAGAGTATATATGCAGTAAATCTAAATAAATTTTTGAGGTACAATAGAATAATAACAATTCCTTGTGGACTTAAAAGGCATGTAAAATACTTAAAAAACACAAAAGGTGGGGAAACCTTATGAGGAAAGCAAGAAAAATACCAATTTACACACTTATATGTCAAGGAAGTATGCTTTTGTCACTAACATTAATCATTAAAAGATGAGTAAAAGAATATATAGCTAACAGTAAAGGAGAAAAAGTGGAATAATAAAAAATGCTAATTCATCACTAAAGCAAAATTTTTTTTAAATAGATAAAGCCACAATCAAAATTGGAGACTTAAATACATTTCTTTAAGTAACTGATGAAATAAGCAGACAAAAAGTTAGTTAAAATATAGAAAATGTGAGCAAACTTAACCTAATTGACAGAAAAAACACTGAACTCAACAACTGCAGAATACACATTTTTTTCAAGTTCACATGGAGCATTACAAAGTTAAAGTTAACCTATAAACTATATGCCAACCCTTACAGTAAGTTTCAATAAATTTCAAAAATCTGAAGCCATGCAGAGTATATTCTCTGAGTTCAGTGGAATAACATTAGAAATCAATATAAAAGATAATATAATATGCTCAAATGCTTAAAATGCTTTTAAATAACTAATAGGTAAAAGGATAAATAGAAATAGACTAGAAAACCCTTTTAATAGAGTGATTATGACAATATGGCATATCAAAACTTTAGGCTATCACTAAAGTGGTACTCGGAGGTAAATTATAGCCTTAAATACATGCACTAGAAAAAGACTAAAAAACAGTGATTTAAGTATCCATCTCAATATCATAAAGATTTTTAAAAACAAACTCAAGAAACTAAAAAGAAGAAAATTATGATTAGAAGAGGAAAATTGGTGAAATAGAAAACAAATACAAAATAGAATTAACAGAGTCAAAAAATATTTCTTTAAAAAGACCCCAAAACAACTGATTTTTTTTTTTAAATTACCTGTTCAAAAAAGTAATACAACTGGTCAAGAAGTGAGAAGGTACAAATTTCCAGTATCGGATCTGAAAAGGAGACTATCACCACAGATCCTATGGATAATCAAGAAACAGTAAAAAATACATGTGTTTTTGAACAACTTTATGCAAATATATTTAAAATTTCAGATGACATGACATTCCTAGAAAAATACAGTTTACAAAACCAGCATAAGAAGAAACAAAAAATCTAAATAATCCTATACCTGATAAAGAAATTGAATTTATAACTTTGAACCTCCCCACAAAGAAAATTCCAATCTCAGAGAGCTTCATCACTGAGATCCACTGAACATTTACGGAAGAAATAATAATTTTGAACAAAACTTCTAGGGACTGGGGAAAAAAGGAAATGCTTCCCAACTGATTTTATGAAACCAATAAAATCTTATTACTGAAACTTGGCAAGTATATTACAAGTAGGGAAAATACAGGCCAGTATCTCTCATGAGCAAAGTTGCAAAAGTTCTGAACCAAAGAACAGCAAATCAAATTCAGCGATACAAAAACAATACATCAAAGGAAAGAGTGGCTTATCCCTGCCATATAGAGTTAGTTTAACATTTCAAAATCAATCAATGGAATTTTAAAAATTATATGATCATCTGAAAAGATGCAAAAAAAGTATGTGATAAGCCTCAATATCCAATCATGATAAAATGTAGTAAACTAGAAATGGAAGGTAATTTTCTCAGCCTGCCAAAAGGTATTTAGAAAAGCATTTACATCAATCATAACTCAATAATAAAATAATAAAAGATTTTCCCATCATATCAGGAGAATAATGACATCAACTCTCAGTTTCGATTCAACATTGTACTAAAGATTCTAGCCAGTACAGCAAACAAAATAAAAAGAAACAAAAATGTTAAAGACTGAAAGGGAAAAAAATTCATTCCTCACACATGGCAAGATTATGTGTATAGGAAATTCAAAAGAATCTACAGATATTTTATTAGAATCAATAAGCGAACTTAGCAAGGTCAATAGACAGAAATTCAATACACAAAAATGCATTGTATTTTTATTCGTTAGTGATATGGTTTGGATGTGTCCCCACCCAAATCTCACCTTGAATTGTAACAATCTCCATGTGTCAAGGGCGGGGCCAGGTGGAGATAATTGAATCATAGGTGAGGTTTCCCCCATACTGTTCTCATAGTAGTGAATAAGTCTCATGAGATCTGATGATTTTATAAATGGGAGTTCTCCTGCACAAGCCTTTTTGCTTGCCACCATGTAAGACGTGACTTTGCTCTTCATTCACCTTCTGCCATGATTGTGAGGCCTCCCCAGCCATGAAGAACTGTGAGTCAATTATAAATTACCCAGTCTTTGGTATGTCTTTATTAGCAGCATAAGAACAGACAAATACAATTAGCAATAAAAATAAGAAAATGAAATACTAAAAATAGTAACACAACATAACCAAAAATATATCAAATACCTGAAAATAAACCAAAAGGAAGATGTAAAAAGCCATATACCCAGAAAATTATAAAACATTATTGAAAGAAATTAGAGAATATCTAAATAATAGAGAGATACATGATGTTCATGGATTAAAAGGCTCAATGTTATATATATTGCATATGTATACTCTCCCAATCCAAGTTATAGATTCAATATAGTCCTACTCAGTATCTCAGTAGGCTTTGTATGTATATGAAAGCTGGTGAGGTGATTCTAATGTTAAAAGTCAAGACAATCTTGAAGAAGAACCGATTTACACTACCAGATGTCAGTGTGTGTTATAAAACTAGAATAATTAAAACAGTGTAGTATTAATACAGGACAGACAATAGACAATGCAATTAATGAAATGTATACATGCACACACATATACACACAGAAAGACATTTGATTTATGACAAAAATGTCACTTTAGAGCAATAGAGAAAGACCAATGTCTTCATTAAGCAGTACTGAGTGAATCAGATATCAATATGGAAAAAAATGAATCAAATCATACATAAAAATATATTCCATATGGATAATACATCTAAATACGAACAGTAAAACAATAAGCTTTTAGACATCTTAAACCGGATGCAAAAACACAAACTCCAAAGGGAAATAATGGTAAATTGGATTATATTAAAATTAAAAACTTGTATTCATTATTAGACATTGTAAGAGAATAAGAAGGCACTCAGAGTGGGAAAATATATTTTTGTACACATATCCCAAAAAATATTAGTATCCAGAATATATATTTTTAAAAACCTTCATATCAATAAGAAAACCTCTCAAAAATGGGCAAAAGATTTGAACAGGTTCCTTAGAAAGCAGGGCACTTATTAAGTGGCAAATAAACATATTGAAAAGCCCTCACCTTTTTGCAAATCAGGGCAAATCAAATTATATTACTATGGGGAATCACAACACACCATGAGAGTAATGAAATTTAAAAAAGACTGATGTGGAGCAAATGAAACTCTCATAAAGAGCTGGTGGGCATATAAATTCATTCAATCGCCTTAGGAAAACTGTCTTGCATTATCTTCTAAAGCTGAGTGCAAGCTGGCTGGGTGCGGTGCCTCATGCCTGTAATCTTAGCACTTTGGGAGGCAAAGAAAGGCTGATCGCTTGGGCCAGGAGTTCCAGACCAGCCTGGGCAACATGGAGAAACCCCATCTCTACTAAAAATATTTTTTAAATAGCAGGGTGTGGTGGCACATGCCTGTAGTCCCTGCTACTTGAGAGGCTGAAGTGGGAGGATCACCTGAGCCCAGAAAGCCGGGGCTGCAGTGAGCCAGGATTGTACCACTGTACTCCATCCTGAGCGATGGGAGTGAGACCCTGTCTCAGAAAAATATAAAATAAAATAATAAAATAAAATAAAGTTGAATACATGCAAATCCTCTCACCCAGCAATTCTACTTCTAAGATATATGTATTTATATGCAAAATATATATATATGTTTACAGCAACATTTTATATATAAATATATATAAAACATTTATATATAAAATATTATATATGTTTATATAAATGTTTACAGCAACATCATCGGTAATAGTAAAACTTGGGGGGAAGTGTCCATCTACAGTAAAACAAATTGTTCACTGTGGTATATTTGCACAGTACACAAATAGCACTGAAAATGAACTACAACCATGTTCAACAAAATGCATGGCTCTCATAAACATAACATGTGGACGGCATCCACAAATGGATAACTCTTACAATACTATACATTGTGCAATGATTAAATCAGGTAAAAGAAGCAGACAATAAAAGGTGCATAGTATGATTTCATTTAGATAAAATTCAAAAACAGGCAAAACTAATCAATGGTGATATAAGTCAGGACAATGGGTCAGTTCCCTTTGGGGAGGAAGTGATCGCAGTGACTAAAAACGAAGCCAGAATGGAGAGCAGAACTAAGAGATGGAGAAAAATAGGCTCCTGAGGAAATCTTTGGAACCCTGGGATCAAGCACATCTGCATTCATTTTGCTCTGCCCCTGAACTTTTCAATTACATGAAACTTCAGTTTCAGATGGGTTTCTTTCATTTTCAACGGAGTCTTGACCAATAAATCTGACTGGAAGCTACCTCCTGTTAGAAATTGAAACCCGAAGAGATCATTTCTCTTCCATTGTAAATGAGAAAACAGAGTGAACTACAGAAAACTAAAACGGGAGGGTTTTGTTTTGTTTTATTTTGTTTTGTTTTTTGAGACAGAGTCTCGCTCACCCAGGCTGCAATGCAATGGTGCGATCTCGGCTCACTGCAACCTCTGCTTCCCAGGTTCAAGCAATTCTCCTGCCTCAGCCTTCCAAGTAGCTGGGATTACAGACACATGCCATCACACCCAGCTAATTTTTTGTATTTTTAGTAGAGACGGGGTTTCACTGTGTTAGCCAGGATGGTCTCGATCTCCTGACCTCGTGATCCACCTGCCTCAGCCTCCCAAAGTACTGGGATTAAAAAAAGGGAGGTTTTTTTGTTTTGTTTTGTTTTAATCCCTTTGTGTCAAGGCTCTATACTTCCTAGGGTTTGGTGGTTTGTCTCTAGCGTAAGTGGACTGGATTCGGTGTGGTTGCAGTGGGTTCATGTTTTCTCCATCAGCACCTTCAAACCTGCCCCAATACATCTACCTTCTTTTCCTTCAGGAAGAAGCAATAGTTTCTTCCAGTCATTTTCAGATTTTACAGAACAGTCCTATTTTTAGATATTAAAAACCCCAGTTCACACTGATACCAAAACTTTGATCGCACAACTACATCAAAGCATCTCCTATTCTGTAATGAGTTGAATTGCGTACCCCAAAAAGAGATATGCTGACGCACTAACCTCCGACTCCTCAGATTGTGACATGATTTGAAAATACGGTTGTTGCAGATGAAATTTGGTTTTGGGTTTTTGGTTTTTTGGGTTTTTTGAGACAGGGTCTTTCCCTGTCACTCAGGCTAGAGTGCAGTGGTGCGATCACGGTTTACTGTAGCCTTGAACTCCTAGGCTCAAGCGATCCTCCCACTTCAGCCTCCCAAGTAGCGGGTACTACAGGCATGCACAACTATGCCCGGCTGATTTTTGTATTTTTTGTAGAGACGAGCTTTTGCCATGTTGCCCAGGCTGGTCTCGAACTCCTGGGCCTCAAACGATCCACCTGCTTCAGCTTCCCAAAGCGTGATGTCACGCTGGAGTAGGTTGGGCCTTTAATCCAACGTGACTGGTGTTCTTATGAGAAGATGATGGGAAGGCACGGGGAAAGAACATCACATGATGAAAGAGGCAGAGGCAGAGACTGGAGATATGACATGTGCAAGCCGAGGAGCACCAGAAATTACAAGAAAATCATAGGAAGATTCTTCCCTAGAGCCCTAGAGAGAGTATGGCAACATCTTGATTTCAGAAATCTGGTCCCCAGACCTTTGAGAGAATATGTGTCTTTTGTTGTAAACCACCCATTTTACCGTGCTTATAGAAGCAACCCTAGGGAATGAACACACCTATCCACCACTCAGGCTATTCAATACTTCCTCAGACCAACAGTAGGGAAGAGCAGTGAAAACTTAGAAAAGAAAGGGATAATATCAGTTGGTCAAGGTTTCACCAATGAGTACATTTTTTCACAGTACACTGCATTGGTATCTAATTTATTTCTGCCCTCCTATTTAACTGATCAGGCCTTTTGTCATTCCATCAGAAATATACAGCAGACCAGAGACGAAGGCTTGCTGGGGACCTAGAACAGAATCACAGAGTGATGGATAGACCTTTGTGGGTGTGGCCTGAAGAGCGCTCAGGCGGCTTCTTTCTTCACCTGGTGGCTCTTTGGCTACTGAATGAGAAAGTGAGTTTCAAAGTGGGGATGGGACCAAAAGGGTCATAAAAAGAGGCTGGGTTCGGTGGCTCATGCCTGTAATCCCAGCCCTTTGGGAGGCCGAGGGGGGCAGATCACGCGGTCAGGAGATCGAGACCATCCTGGCTAACATGGTGAAACCCCGTCTCTACTAAAAATACAAAAGAATTAGCCGGGCATGGTGGCGTGTGCCTGTAGTCCCAGCTACTCGAGAGGCTGAGGCAGGAGAATCTCTTGAACCTGGGAGGCGGAGGTTGCAGTGAGCCGAGATGGCGCCACTGGACTCCAGCCTGGCAGCAGAGCAAGACTCCGTCTCAAAAAAAAAAAAGGAAAAAAAAAAAAGAGATAAAAGAGGATAATTGTACTACTGACAGCGCATGATAAAGAACTCAAAAGCTCCATGTCCAACCCTCCGCCCTTCATCTCTATTAGCCACACTTCCAGATTAAAAACTTAAAAGCCCTGAGTACAACGGAAAAAGCATCTTATCAGATGACCAAAATGAGGGACTGGGCCGTTCTTATTTTAGTTTTCAAATTTTATTTTGTTTTCAATTGACACATAATAATTGTGTATATTTCTGAGGTACAGTGTAAATGTGAGGGGAGGGGAGTGTCAGGGTCTTGCTCCGCCACCCAGACTGAAGTGACACAATCCTAGCTCACTGCAATCTTGAACTTCTAGGCTCAAGCAATCCTCCTGCCTCAGCCACCCAAGTAGCTAGAACTACAGGTGCACGCCACCACAACCAGCTGCATATTTTATTTCAAAGCATTTTGATAGATGTATACATGGTATAATGATCAAATCAGGGTGATTAGCATATCTATCATCTCAAACACTTGTCATTGTGATGAGAACATTCAAAATCCTCTTCTCGCTGTTTTGAAGTCTGTGGTTCACGGTAGTCAACCAACTGCACTAGAACACCAGGGCAGGCTTGGCAGGGGGACTCCAGGAAGGCTGAGGAGGAGGGGAGAGAACAAGCGAGCAGTGGGCAGCCAGGAGGGTGAAAAGAATGATTTGGGGAAAGAAATTTAGAGAATCAAAATCCTGGCAAGGATCTTGCAGGAGATTACATCGGAGAACTTCACTTTTAGGTGAAAGAGAAGAGCAGCAGATGCCTGTTTTTCTGGAATTTGCCAAATATGCTCAGGGTGAGGGCAGAGGAGTTTCAAGTCACTCATTTCTTGAGCTCCTAGTAAGCCCAAGATGCCATGCTGAGGTTTAGATGCTGAAGGATGAGTAGATACAGCTCCTGCCCTTGACACGATCCTTCCCATCCCGTAGGGGAGCATGAGTCATGTTTCCAACTCGGGATATGAGGCAGAGAGAGAAAAGCACAACTACAGGGAGGTACAAACAATTGCTAATGCTTCTGTTGAGTGCTCACCATGCGCCAGCCATGAGTCTAAGCAGTTTATGTCTATTCATTCCTCTCTTGCTCACCATAACCCTCTTGTGCTATTATAATACTCATTTTACAGTCAAGATCAGAGAGGTTAATTACCTACCCAAGTAGCACAGCCAGCAAGCAGCCTGGTAGGGATTAGAACATCTGTTGTCTCCAGAGCCCACATGCTTAAACACTAAGCAAACTCTTGCAGAATACTACATCTGACAGGCAGGGGAAGGGGAACTCAGGATAGTTCTAATGGCAGAGAATATCCTTCAAGAAGTGCTTTGAGGCACAGATAGGAAATACAAGCCCCCAGAAACCATGGATGAGAGAGGGCCTCCTTCTCTATGACTAGAATCCTAAGTGATCATGTGGCTTTTTGGCACAGAGTCTGCCTCAGAGGAAATCAGCAGGTAATGATCAGTTGCCAAAGTCCTCTCTACCTCTAAGATCATGGATCTGTGAGGCCCAGAGTGCAAAAGCCCGTAAGTCATAGGGACCTGGTGGTCCCACTTCCAAGACAAAGGAAATGAGGGGTTAACAGGCAGCTAATGAAAGCTGCTATAGGAATAAACATGAAGAACAAATCACCAAAGCTAGTGATCTGGTGTCAAATAATACAGTTAATTTCAGAACACTGTCAGCTTCTGTTAAAATTATCTTTTTAATATTAACCTTTCAGGTAAGTGTTATGTTGGAAAGCTGATTTTTTTTGTTTTTTGTTTTGTTTTGTTTTGTTTTTGTTTTTTGGTTGGTTGGTTGGTTGGGTTTTTTTTGAGACAGGGTTTTGCTCTGTTGCCCAGACTGGAGTGCAATGGCGTGATAACAGCTCACTGCAGCCTTGAACTCTTGGATCACTTAAAGAGATCCTCCTGCTTCAGCCTCCCAAGTAGTTGGGACCACAGGCGCATGTCACCACACCTGGCTAGTTTTTGCATTTTTTGTTGAGATGGGATCTTGCTACGTTGCCTCAGGCTGGTCTTGAACTCCTGGGCCCAAGCAATTCTCCTTTCTTAGCCTCCCAAATCACTGGGATTACAGGCATGAGCCGCCATACCCAGTCAGGAAAACCTTAACTTTAGGAGAATTTGTTAGCTATGTGACATAAATGAAGGCATTGTCACCTGATGTTTAAAAACATGTGTCCAATTTTGTGACAAAGTCCATCAATCCAAGCATTCTAAAGACAAATGCCTAGAAAGGAAGAAATGGGAAACCAGAGGATGTGATTCCCTTTCGGCGCCATTTAGTCTAAGACCAGCTCTGGGTTGAGGAAGGGAAGAGAACTAGGAGTTCCTTATTTTTCCTACTGGGTTGAGGGCCCGGTGCCACCACAGGGTCGACATTAGCTCCAGTTCTTTATTTAGTAAAAAGAAAACTCCATGAACATTCTGGCACTCGGAGGCACGAGTTGGCTCTTCTGAACTGAAACCTCTGCTATTTAGGGACTCTACAAAACAGAAAAATGTGTATTACCAAATAACTATTTAGAGAAAATATTGAAAAAAGATCTAGAGAGAACTGTTTGTTTTAATATGGTCTGTTTACAATGCATTATTACTGGACTGCAAAGCGTGTGCTAAGGGAACAAAAATGCATTTGCATTTTTTCAGGGTCAAAATAGCCATACTCAAGACAGCACACAACAATCTCTCTTGCAGTTATTTTTCTCCTCTCTCTTTTTCTGGCATTTGATAGTTCTAGAAGTTTATCTAATTTGACCTTTGGCTGAACTGCCATTATTGCTATGAAAATGTATTCTGCCCTTAAACG
The DNA here is from genome assembly GCF_000001405.40 of Homo sapiens. NCBI lineage: Eukaryota > Metazoa > Chordata > Mammalia > Primates > Hominidae > Homo > Homo sapiens. Next base: position 12,318,622 of record NC_000017.11, on the reverse strand, counting down.
AGTCCTCTTTCTCATAAGGAGTCTGTTTCTCCGAGCTGATGGTTCTCAAACTTTAATGTGCACCAGAAACATTCGAGAAATTTGAGATTTGAGATTTGAGAAAGCACACAGAGAGTCACATCCCTAGGTTTTCTGACTTTGCAGGCCTGGGGTGGGGCCAAAAAATATTATTTCTTGCAAGTTCCCAGGTGATGCTGATATTGCTGGTCCAAGGAGCCCGCTTTGAGATCCACTGTTCTAGGCATACTGCAGAAGGTGTATAGCAGCAGATATTCTGACATGATTTGGAAAGAAAAGAGTGTGAGGGTTACTGATAGTCCTGGGGCTTGAGTGGATACTGGTGGATGAAACTAACCAGTATGTCCTACCTCCTGACCACTGGGAGGAATTGGTGATACAATGCCATGTGACCCTACTCAGATCAATAAGCCAGGCTCTGGGCATTGGTTTCACTGTTGGGAGAGAAAGCTGCTTCTTTTCCTTGTAGATATGAGGCTCAAAGAATGCGACACCAGGATTTGAGACAACCATCTTGTTCCCATGAAAAAAAAAAACAACCTAGGTGATAAGCAACCAATATAGCAAGGAAAACAGAACCAAGTTAGAGACTATGAGAATCCAATTCTAATGAAGATATTTGCACCTCTGCATCCAGCTGGACCCTGGCCTTACCAATTATGTGAGCCAATTAATTACTTCTTTTACAAGAGTAGTTTGGATTGGGTTACCTGCCATTTTGTGAGAAAAGAATCCTGGATCATTCACCAATTTTCTGGACTTTTATAGCACAGAGTCCTACTGTTCTTTAGTTCTCTTATCATTTAATGTTGCTAAGGGAGGATCTCTGTGCAATTGCCTAAAACCCATGTTTAATAATTTATGCTCCCAAGTCTACCATCTATTTACCTTGTTTCTTTTCTCAGGAATTAACTTAACTCGGGAACTTCTACCACACAAATCTCATGCTATCCAACCCTAAACTTCATTTTTCTGGGCATGGGAATACACATGCTTGTTTGTACACCTGTATAACTCCCTGGATTATTCATACTCTGAAGCACAACACTACAAAAATAAATGTCAAAAGCAGGAATCTGGAACATCTCCTTATTGAGATAAAGCTGAAGGGTTCTAGCTAGTATACTTCTCATTCTTTGTTCAATATTTAGTCAAAAGCACTAATAAAGTTAGCTTTTGAGTATTTCTGAGGCTTCTATGATTTCAGAGTTTTCTGATCAATCCTTAGACTTTTAGCCAAACCCTATTGCTAAGAACATCCTGGCATGTCCTGAGTTGGGATAAGTCCCCTAGCAATCATGCATGTTACATGTGTAACTGTCCATGAATGTGTAAGATATCAAGCATAGCATGTTGCATTTTGGACCATATGGTCCAAGCTTTAATCCAGATTTCTTTAGACTGTTGTCAAAACTTATAACCTCTCTAGAAGTTTATTGAGGACCGCAAATAGAATGTATCATCAGCCCTGAAGGCAATTTTACAAGGCAACTTTGAGAGATGTCCCCAATGATGGCAGTTTTATGAGGATGAGTGGCAGCATTGAATGGAACAACACTCACTTGGTTCACAAAAGAGTCATTTATTTTGAGTCCCATTTCATGTGTATTAAAACTAAAACAAAATGCTGATTAAAGCCATAATATAGGAAGACCAATGAGTACAACCATTACTTAGCTTCTTAGTTTTAGTTCAGTCATTAATAAATGTGGAATTCAATTGATTGACTTACATTTAATCACTAAATAGACATGTCCCTAGTGCCCAGAAATTACATGGAATTCTAAATACATAGTAGTATAAAAAATAAACACAGCCCTTATCTTAAGGAAAAATGCAACCTAATAAGAAATACAAAACCAAAATACTAACAAAACATATATGGAAAGTGTGAATGAAAGTACTACTATTATTTTTCTAATAAAGTGACAGAGCACACATGACCAAATCAATGTATTCTTCAAAAAATCTAAAGAGACATCCACAGTTTACTTTGCAACTGTTTTTTAGAACTGTCTTCAGAGCCAGTCTACAACCATTCATACTTGTGACAAACACAGTTGGTGACCACCCCATTCCCATCTCATCTTTGTCGTCAGAGCCCCATTTTGTCTGGGAAAGCACTGTGCTCCAATCCAAGCTATGGATTATGCTTGGTCCAAGGCAATAATGACAAGCCTATTCCCAGCTTTCCCAGTGCCCTTGCTGATGGGATGGCAGTGTGACCCAGTTTTGACCAGTGACACTGGAGCAATCATTGGTTGCCCTAATAAACGGGGAAAACACTGGCCATGTTCTTTGCTCTTTCCCTTTCTTCCATGGATATAGAAGTGATGCCTGGAAGTAGACCAGTCACCTTATGACCCTGAGGCAGCAGTCATGAGTAAAAGACAAAAGAATTGCAGCAATGTGAGCCCTGACATCACTGAGCAACTTATACCCATGTCACAAGCCTTGTACTTCTTAATATGTTAGAAAAATTAATTCATTTTTTAAGCTACCATAAGTGGATTTTTCTATTATTTGAAGCTGAACACAATGTTGTAAGTGATACAACATTGTAGTCTCATTTTTTATTAATCAAGCATACCCAGCAAACATATGCTCCAAACTTTAATCCAGATTTCTCTAGACTGTTGTCAAAACTTATATCCTCTCTGGAAGTATACTGAGGACTGCAAATGGAATGTATTGTCAGTCCTGAAGGCAATTTTACAAGACAACTTTGAGAGATGTCCCCAATGATGGCAGTTTTATGAGGATGAGTGGCAGCATTGAATGGAACAACAATCACTTGGTTCAAAAAAGAGTCATTTATTTTGAGTCCCATTTCATGTGTATTAAAACTAAAACAAAATGCTGATTAAAGCCATAATGTAGGAAGACCAATGAGTATAATTATTACTTAGCTTCTTAGTTTTAGTTCAGTTGTCAAGAAAAATATTTAATTAGCTTAAAGCCATATGTGAAGGTTGCTGGGCTGAATCTGGAACCTGGTTTATTTTTATTCTGTCTCACAAGCAAATGGTGAAATCCATTTTTGTGATAATTTCCAAAATATAACCCATTTTCCAAGTCTTCAGTGAGAGATTTTCAAATTTCACTAGATGAAGCTAGTTTGGTGTTCTATTTAATTTGTCCGACAATTTTGTCTAACATGCTGGTTCTTTTTTTTGTTAGTGCCAGAATTGAATTGTTTAGTCATAGGTTACTTTGGAAAATATTAAATGGAAAAAAAAACTGAGTATATTCCACTTCACAGTCTCATCACAGCTCTCACCAAAAAATAATTTTTCAAATAATAAAATATATTTTAAAACTTAGAGTTCTGATGACAAAGGATACCCTTGATATAAATTACAGAAGATTTAGAGTCAGACATAAACCTTAAAACAAAAAGAAAAAATATTGGTGAATATTCATCTGATCTCAAGGTACTGAAAGACTGAGCACAAAATGAAAGGAAAAAAACTGTGAAAGAAATTATGACTGCCTGAAAAAAAAACTGTGTATCACAAATTAAACTTCTGGGTATCACAAATTACCGAAAATTAATAAGTAATAATAATAAGCAAAAAAATTATAGCAAACATACTAGATGGGAAAAACAGGATGTTGTAATATAACCAATAGACAAGACTGAGCAAGACCATGAATATGAATTTTAGCTAAGAAGAAATGCAAGCCACCAAGAAGCATTTATTTAACAAATCCCAAATATTGGGATATGGGAGTGAACAGGGAGCTCATGGAGCTTATAGTAGCTATTAGCATATAAAAAATGTTACAGATGCCAGTGACCCTGTCCCTCCCTCCATCACCCCCTACCTCCCAGTGCTGCCATCATTGCCAGTGCAAACGAGCAAGTACTTGGATGCCAGCTGCCCCACCCATCCCCCACACTCCCACCACCACCAGTGCAAAAGCACATGCAAAGACCAGCAGCCCAGCACCCGTCAGCACTCCACCCTCCTGCTGCTGCCACTGGTGTGAGTGCGAACACAGACACCAGCAACCCTACCCCTGCCTGAGACCCACTACCAGCCTGAGTGTGCACAGGAATGCTGCAACCCCACTTCTGATGGTACCCCACCCCAGCCAACACATGCACCCCGTTGTGCTGACACACACGAGGAAGCACAGATCTGGCTGCTACCACCCCCAACAAAGTGCTTTGGCTGGTACCACCCAATAGAGTGGGTGGCCAGCAGACCCAGAGTGCCTCAGTCCCTTCAGCACAGCAGGTTCCTAACCTCCAGAGGCCAGAGAACAAAGCTGGGGGCCGGATATCAGCTTCCCAGAGTTACAGGATGCAGACCAATAGTGTAGAGCTGAGCCGTGACCCCCTAAAATCTCCCAGAAACACATCCAGTCAACTGAACCCACCTTATACCGCAATCAAACCCCCAAGGGAATCAAAGAAGATAAAAGCAAAAAATCAAAAAAAAAAAAAATTCCAAAGGACAACAACTTCTAAGACTGAAGGAACATCAGCCCATATAGCTGAGAAAAAACCAGTGCAAGAACTCTAGCAACTCAGAAAGTAACAGTTTCTTCTTACCTCCAAACAACTATGCTAGTTCCCCAGTAATGGTTCTTAACGAGGCTGAAATTGCTGAAATGACAAAAGTAGAATTCAGAATATGGATAGGAATGAAGATCACTGACATTCAGGAGAAATTCAAAACCTAACCCAAGGAATCTAAGGAATACAAGAAAATGATACAAGAGATAAAAGCAAAATGGCCATTTTAAGAAAGAACTGATCTGATTGAGCTAAAAAAAAAAACCCACTTCAAGAATTTAATAATAATATCACAAATATTAACACCAGAATTGACCAAGCTAAGGAAAGAATCTCAGAGCTCAAATAATGGTTCTCCAAAATAACTCAGTCAGACAAAAATAAAGAAGAAAGAATAAAGAAGAATAAACAAAGCCTCCAAAGAATATGGAGTTATGTAAAACAACCAATTCTATGTCTCTCTGGGATCCCTGAAAGAGAGGGAGAAAAAGCAAACCACCTGGAAAACATGTTTAAGGATATCATCCATAAGGATTTCCCCAACCTCACTAGAGAGGGCAATGTTCAAATTCAGGAAATGCAGAGAACACCTGTGAGATACTATACAAGACAACCATCCCCAAGACACATATTCATCAGATTCTTCAAGGTTAAAATGAAAGAAGAAAATGTTAAAGACAACTAGAGAGAAGGGGCAGGTCACCTACACAGGAAATCCCAACAGGCTAATAATGAATCTTTCAGCAAAAACCCTACAAGCGAGAAGAGATTGGGGGCCTATATTCAACATTCTTAAAAAAAAAAAAAACAAAACAGAACTTCCAATGAAGAATTTCATATCCAGCCAAACTAAGCTTTACAAGTGAAGGAGAAACAAGATCCTTTTCAGATAAGCAAATGCTAAAGGAATTTTTTACCAAGAGACCCACCTTATAAGAAGTCCTTAAGGGAATGTTAAACAGGGACAGGAAAGACATTACTGGCCATCACAAAAACACACTTAAGTACATAGACCATTGACACTATAAAGCAACCACACATTCAAGTCTGCATAACCAGCTAACAACATGATGACAGAATCAAATCCACCCATATCAATATTAACCTTGAATGTAAAGAGGCTAAATGCCCCCAGTTAAAAGGTACAGAGTAGTAAGCTGGATAAAGAAACAAGACTCAACTGTATGCTGCCTTCAAGAGACCCAGCTCACACACAATGACACCCACAGGCTCAAAGTAAAGGAATGGAGAAAATTCTACCAAGCAAATGGAAAACAGAAAAAGCATGTGTTGCTATTCTGATTTCAGACAAAACAGACTTTAAAAAAACAATGATTTAAAAAAAGACAAAGAAGGGCATTACATAATAGCAAAAGGTTCAATTCAACAAGAACTGTTCTAGATATATGTATACCCAATAACTTAACTGTCCAAAATATAAATGTACCCAACACATGAACACCAAGATTCATAAAGCAAGTTCTTAGAGACCAATAGAGAGACTTAGATAACCATATAATCATAGTTGAAGTCTTTAACACCCCATTGACAGTATTAGACAGAACACTGAGGCAGAAAATTAACAAGGATATTTGGGACCTGAATTTGACACTTGACCGAAAGGACCCAATAGAAATCCACAGAACTCTTCACCCCAAAACAACAGAATATATATTCTTCTCATCACACGTGGCATATACTGTAAAACTGACCACATAATGAACTGTAAAACAATCCTCAGCAAATTTTTTAAAAACTGTAATCATACCAAACACAGTCTTGGACCCCAGCACAATAAAAATAGAACTCAATATTAAGAAAATTGTTCAAAATCATAGTTACATGAAATTAAGCAATCTGCTTCTGAATAACTTTTGGATAAGCAGTGAAATTAAGGCAGAAATCAAGAAATTCTTTGAAACTAATGACAACAAAGATACAACATACCAGAATATCTGGGACACAACTAAAGCTGTGTTAACAGGGAAGTTCACAGTGCTAAATGGCCACATCAGAAAGAAAGATCTCATATTAACAACCTAACATCACACCTAGAAGAACTAGAGAAACAAGAGCAAAGCAATGCCAAAGTTAGCAGAAGATAAGAAATAACCAAAATCAAAGCTGAACTGAAGAAAATTGACATGCAAAAAAAAATACAAAATATCAATGAATCCAGGAGTTTGTTTTCTTAAAGAATAAATAAGATCGACAGACTACTAGCTAGACTGATAAAGAAAAAAAGAGAGAAGATCTAAATAGACACATCAGAAATGACAAGGGAGACATTACCACTAACCCCTCAGAAATACCAAAAACCCTAAGAGACTACACCCACAAACTAGAAAATCTAGAAGAAATGGAAAAATTCCTGGATACTCCCAAGATTAAACCAGGAAGAAATTGAATCACTGAACAAACCAATAATGAGTTCCAAAATTGCATCAGTAATAAAAAGTCTACAAACCAGAAAAAGGCCAGGACCAGACAAATTCACAGCCAAATTCTACCAGATGTATAAAAAAGACCTAGCCCTGTTCTTAGTGAAACTGTTCCAAAAAGTTGAGGAGGAGGGATCCTCCTTAACTCATTCTATGAGGTCAGCATCATCCTGATACCAAAGCCTGGAAGAGACACAACAACAAAAAATAAAACTTCAGGACAATATTCTTGATGAACATAGATGCAAAAATCCTCAAAAAAATACTAGCAAACCGAATCCAGTAGTACATCTAAAAGCTAATACATCACCATCAAGTGGGCTTTATTCCTGAGATGCAAGTTTGGATCAACATATGCAAATCAATAAATGTGATTCATCACATAGAAAAAAACTAAAAACAAAAACCATATGATCATCTCAATAGATACAGAAAAGGCTTTCAATAAAAGTCAACATCCTTTCATGTTAAAAATCCTCAACAAACTTAGGCATACCTCAAAATAATAAGAGCCATCTGTAACAAACCCACAGCCAACATTGCACTGAATGGACAAAAGCTGGAAGCATTCCCCTTGAGAATGAGAATAAGACAAGGACGCCCACTCTCACTATTCCTATTCAATACAGTACTGTAAGTCCTAGCCAGAGCAATCAGGCAAGAGAAAGAAAATTCATCCAAATTGGAAGGAAGGAAGTGAAACTATCTCTTTACAGCAGATAATATGATTCTGTCCTAGAAAACCCCATAGTCTCTGCCAAAGGCTCCTAGATCTGATAAACAACTTCAGCAGTTTCAAAATACAAAATCAATGTACAAAAATCAGTAGCATTTCTATACACCAACAACGTCCAAGTGCAGAGCCAAATCACAATGCAATCCCATTCACAATAGCCACAAAAGAAGAAAATAACTAGGAATAAAGCTAACAAGGGAGGTGAAAGATCTCTACAATGAGAAATAAAAAAACATTGCTCATAGAAAGCAGAGATGACACAAACAGCATGATACAAAAAACATTCCATGCTTATGGATAGGAGGAATCAATATTGTTAAAATGACCATAGTGCCCAAAGTAATTTACAGATTTAGTGCTATTCTTATCAAACTACCAATGACATTCTTCACATAATTCAAGAAAACTATTTTAAAATTCATATGGAATAAAAAAATATGGAGCTCGAATAGCCAAGGCAATATTAAGTAAAAAGAACAAAGCTGGAGGCATCATGTTACCAGACTTCAAACTAAATTACAATCTGGAGGCATCATGTTACCAGACTTCAAACTAAATTACAAGGCTACAGTAACCAAAACAGCATAGTAACCAAAACAGACACAGACCAATGGAACACAATAGAGATCCCAGACATACTGCCACATACCTACAACCATCTGGTGTCTGACAAAGTTGACAAAAACAAGCACTAGAGAAAGGACTTTCTATTCAATAAGTGGTGCTGGGATAACCGGCTAGTCAAATGCAGAAGACTGAAACTGGACTGCTTCCTTACACCATATACAAAAAAATCAACTTAAGATGCATTAAAGGCTTAAATGTAAAACCTAATACTATAAAAACCCTGGAATATAACCTAGGGAATACCATTCTGGATGTAGGCCCTGACTAAGATTTCATGACAAAGACACCAAAAGCAATTACAACGAAAACAAAAATTAACAAATAGGATCTAATTAAACTAAAGAGTTTCTTTACAGCAAAAGAAACTATCAACAGAGTAAAAAGACAACCTACAGAATGAGAGAAAATATTTGCAAACTATGCATCCAACAACAATCTAATATCCAGAATCTATAAGGAATTTAAACAAATTAACAAGCAAAAAACAAATAACTGCATTAAAATGTGGGCAAAGGACGTGAACAGACAATTTTCAAAAGAAGAAATACATGCAGCAAACAAGCATATGAAAAAATGTTTGACATCACTCATCATTAGAGAAATACAAATCAAAACCAAAATTAGGTACCATCTCATATTAGTCATAATGGCTATTATTAAAAAATCAAAAAATAACAGATGCTGGCAAGGCTGTGGAGAAAAAGCAATGCTTATACACTGCTGGTGGGAGTGTAAATTAGCTCAGCCATTGTAGAAAGCAATGTGGAGACATCTCAAAGAACTAAAAACAGAATTACCATCTGACTCAGCAATCCCATTATTGGGTATATACCCAAAGAAATATAAACCATCCTATCTAATAATAAAGACACATACACACGTATATTCATGGCAGCACTATTCACAATAGCAAAGACATGGAATCAATGTAAATGCCTATCAATGGTAGACTGGATAAAGAAAATGTGGTACATATAAACCAT